>NC_000019.10:42392389-42695419 GCF_000001405.40 Homo sapiens | reverse complement strand
TTTTACCTTTAAGACCTTCACATTTCTTAAGAGTGTTGGTGACTTATTTTGTAGAATGACCCTCAGTTTGGACTTTTCTAATATTTTCTTATGATTAAACTCAGGTTATATGCTTTGTACAAGAATACCACAGGGGTGATGCTGCACCTTCTCCATCCATCATATTTAGAATGCCCTAAGATGTCGTTATCTCTGATTACTGGGGATGTTAACTTTGATCACTGGGCTAAAGTTCCTCCACTGCAAAATGACCCTTTTCCTTGAAAGCATTTTTAAACAACCAATCCCTGGGCCACACCACACATCAGCGAAATCAGATACACTTGAGGGATGGTACAGGCATTGGTAGGCTTTAAATGCCCTGCAAGTGACTCTAATCAGTATCCAGAGTTGGAAACCTATGGCTTAGACAGTGAAGATTAGAATCCTGAAAATCAGCTAGGAGACCATTTCTAAGGCTTCTCTTTAACAACAACAAAAAAAATTAATTCTAGACAAAAGCAAATACATCTGGATTTTGGCATGGACATATGGTAGAGAAATAGAGGAAAATTAGAAATCACCTGATGGGAAAAGTGATGAGTGAGTAGACTGCAGTCCAATTAAAAAAAAAAAAGGCAGAATCAGGTGTGATGACACTTGCTTGTAATTCCAGCATTTTGGGAGTGAAAGTGGGCAGATCACTTGAGCCCAGAAGTTTGAGACCAGCCTGGGTTTTCACCAGCCTGGGTGAAACCCCATCTCTACAGAAACAAACACAAAAAATTAGCTAGGCATAGTGGCAAGTGCCTGTGATTCCAGCTATTCAAGAGGCTGAGGCAGGAGGATCACTTGAGCTCACAAGGTTGAGGCTGCAGTCAATTATGATCTTGCCACTGCACTTCAGCCTCGGTATGAGAGTGAGACCCTCTCTCTTAAAAAAAACAAAACAAAAAAACAGTAAAAATAATGTTCTAAGGTCAGATCTAGTACAAAAACTTCATCTTATTCTGTGATGTTTAGATGCTATAATTAAAACAGAACATGGAGGTGTTTCCATATGCATAGCTGAAAGATTCCATACTTTTTATGCAGCTGCATCATATTCTGTTGTATAGATATAAGGTAACCTGTTTAATTAGCATTGTGCTGGTGAAAGTCTAGGTTGTTCCCAATATTTTGCTGTTAAACAATACAGTGAATAACTCTGATTAGGTGTCATTTTTTATGACTGTGACCGTGATAAATTTTTCCCAGTAAAGTTTGGGAGGCAAAAATATATATATTTTAAATTTTCACATGCATTAAGAAATTTTACTCTACAAGGTTTGCACAAATTTTTATGTTCCAAGAAAAGTAGGGGAGGGTAATATCACCTCAGTTGCTCTCACACGAAGGTCGTGAGTGACAGGACCTTTAGGGACACAGGCACACGGCCGTATCCCTGGTGCCCACACAGGGCAGGTGCATCTGGATCCTGGGAAGCTACAGGAAAGGTGAGGGTGCCCTCTAGAGGACACCCTGCTAAGGATCAGAAAGGGGCCAGGGGAGTTGAGAAATTACAGCAGGTCTTAAACTAAGGGCAAGTTCAAGTGGAAGGCATTAAGCTTCAAGGAGCAAGCTGAGGTGAGAAAGTGGTAGAGACTGATGGAAGGAGAAGGTAAAAAGCTCCAGAGAAGCTAGGGGAGGCATATCAGGGCTCTCCACTCCTCCTCAGCATTGAACATTGTAGTGGTCATGCTGGTGGGGCTCTGTGAGCTCTAGAATGTTCAGCACTATCTGGGGACTCTACCCACTCAAGGCCAGCAGGACTCCCTCCCCCAGCTCTGACAACCAGCAGTGTCTCCAGACTTTGCCAAATGCTTTTCCGAATGAAAAAATTGCCCGTGGCAGAAGCATTAATCTACACTAATCTATAAAAGCAAATCACCACTAAAATCCATCACCTCTTGGTAGAAGAATTACAAGTGTGAGAGTGGTAAAATTGAGGTCTTCAATATCGATTGAAATGGCTTTTACTTAATCAGCAATTTGATGTCCCAGAAGGCATGTTTAGAGATGATGCCACATGGCTGCCTGTACCTCACAGCAGAAATGGTATGGGTTTTCCAAGGGTCTGTAACCATGAACCGGAAAGGTCTGTAACTGCGAATGGGAATGACACCCACTGGGTTACATTACAAAGTGGGATGTAGGGAATTCTGTAGATATTGGGAGAAAAAAATATACAATGTAAACCCAAACCCCATTCTGCTTCTCTCACCATCTTAGGGCCATCTTAGCTATCTATGAATGGTAGCATAGGGATTTTTGTATATTTTCAAAATTGTATACTGTTGGATCATCTT
Organism: Homo sapiens; assembly: GCF_000001405.40. Classification (NCBI taxonomy): domain Eukaryota; kingdom Metazoa; phylum Chordata; class Mammalia; order Primates; family Hominidae; genus Homo; species Homo sapiens. The sequence continues at coordinate 42,693,092 of NC_000019.10, read as the reverse complement.
TAAAATATTAATAAATCCCAAAATGGACCAAGTAACTGGACACTGCTGGAGTCTCACTTTTGGCCAGGAGAGCTGACAACATCCTGCTCCCCCTGTCCTGGACACTGTCTGACTCAGGGGCCTAAATGCTCCCTTATTATGGAGAAAGAAGATGTTTTGAACATTCTCACCATTCACCCATCCACCTCTCACACCCGTCGACCTCTCAAACCTCTTGCCCACTCTTGGATTTCATTCTTAATTTACTGAGCTCTATTTCTGTCCCTCATCCATTCCAACATGTGTTGGGTCCAGGTGGTGGCTTCTGCCCATGATTTTGTAAAAAAAAAAAAAAAAAAGACTCTCAAAATTACTTTCCCTGACACCCACCTCCAGCCTGACCTCCACCTGCAGCCCCATGATCATTATCAGCAGCATTTGGACACTTTCTGGTAGTCAGATGCTTTCCATCTCTCATTAGGAAATGTGACTCTCTCCACCCTGCATAAATATTTCCCAGTAGAAATGAACACAGAGATACTGCCTGTGTGTTCCCAAAGAAAATGGTTTCTATAAGAACATATGAAAGCTGCAATTATAGAAAAGACCACTTAAAACATACATTATGTAGATGATTCTCACCATTCCTTTAAGAGATACATTGTAAAACATGACATTAATAATTATTCTAGAAGAATAAAGCATGCATACTGTTTTCTTAAATTAATTTTAACAAGGTGGCTCCTCCCATGTGCCCAGGCTGGGCCTCTGTACAAAATTCTCCATCTTCAGTGGCAATGCCTGAGAGGATGACATGGACATAGGCCTGATATGCAGCCATTCCTGTCTACCCTGCCCCTGCTGCAGGACAGTACCAGCCCAGGGCCCAAATCTCCTGCTGAAGAGCTGAGAGAGAAAATGAGATACCCAAAGCCTCTTACCTTTTTCAAGTCCACTGCAATGGGTACCAGTGCAGTCCATTTGCCCCTGAGGACACCCACCTGCTGGTCTTTGACTTCTAAGAGTCAGACCTCCCTGGCTTCTCTGGGTCCCAGCTGCCTTCACTCTGCTGAGCCCTGCTTTTTCCCATGGGGGTCACTCCCCTGCCAGGCATGTCCTCCAGCTCCAGCTGACAGGTCAGCCAACCCAGAACCAAGAGAATGAACAAAGATTTCAATATCTAGTATGTCCAGCAGAGATGCAAGTTGTACAAAAAAATAAACAAGTAGAGATGCACACAGCTACCCTGACAACATTGTGTCCCAAAGCAATGTCTTCTGTGCCCCTAATTATGGAGCTCACTGTCCTTCACCACATGGGCAAGTGCTTCCAGGGTCTCTCAATTCTTCAACGGGAGGCAACACACATTTTAACACAGTACCTCAGCAAAGGAAGTGGTGATAATTCACCTACTTTGATAAAGTTCTTGAAAAGATCCCTAGACAGCAAAATTTGCCTCCAAAACAAGACAGAAAAGGCTTTCCCAATTGCAAAACATTGGCCTCCTTGCTTTTCAAAAAAGTACCCTTGAAATAGCCAAAACAATTTTGCCAAAATAAATTGCAGAACTTGAACTTTCTTATTTGAAATCTCACAAAACATTACAACTATTAAAAACAGAAGCTGCTGGCATAAGAATACAAATAGAGACCAAAGGGATAGAATTGACAGTCCAGAAATAAACCCTCACCCTTAAAGTCAATTGCTTTTGCACAAGGGTGTCAAGATAATTTAATGGAGGAACAATCATCCTTTCAAGTAATGGTGCAGAAACAACTAGATAACCACATGCAAAACAATAAACTTAGAGAACTGTACTCCAACCGTATCAAACAATTATCTAAAAATGGATCAGTGAGTTAATTATAAGATCTATAACCATAAAAACATCTTAGAAAAAGACATAGGGGTAAAACTTAATGACCTCAAATGTGCAATGGATTCTCAGGTATGACCCAAAAGCATGAGAAACAAAAAGGAAAAATAGATAAATTGGGCTAAAGATGCAAGCCTTTTGTGCATCAAAGGATATTATCAAGAAAATAAAAAGACCAAACACAGAATGAGATAATATTTGCAAATCACATAGACAATGGTTTCATGCCCAGAATATATAAAGAACTGCTACAAATCAATAACAAAAATACAAACCACCCAATTTATATAAATGGGAAAAGGACTCAAATAGACATTTCTTCAAAGAAGATATGCATATCATCAAGAGGGACATGAAAAGAAACTCAACATCATTAGTCATTAGGAAAATACAAAGTCAAAGCCACAATGAGATACCACATTACACCTACAAATATGGCTACCATTCTTTTAAAATGTTAAATAACAAGTGAAAGCCTTATGTAGAATTTAGAATCCTCATACATTGCTGGTGAGATTATAAAAAGGTACAGCCACTAGGAGAAACAGTTGTGCTGTCCCTTAAGAAGCTAATCATAGAATTCTCATACAAAACAGCATCCATTCCTAGGTATATACCCAAAGAATTGAATCCAGGGACTCAAAGAGGTACTCACATGGGAATGTTGATTGTAGCATTATTCACAAAAGATAAAATATGAAAACAATCTAAGTGTTCATCAACACATGGATAAACAAATGTGGTGACACATACAACAGAATGTTAATCTGCCATAAAGAGGAACAAAACTCTGACACACACTGGAACATTCATAGACCTTGAAAACATTATGGTAAGTGAAAAATGCGAGAAGCAAAATGACATATATGTATGATTCCATTTATATGAAACATCAAAAATAGGCAAATTCATAAAGACAGAGAGTAGACTAGAGATTATCAAGGTCTAGGGTGGAAAAAATAGGGAGTTATTGTTTAAAAGATACAGATCTTTAGCTTAAAATGATAAAAATTTTCTAGGAAAAATAGTGGTGATGGTAATGTAACGCTGTGTGTGTGGTTAATTTTATTTGATTGCACATTTTAAAGTGGTTAAAATGGCACATTATATATAAATTTAATATATATTTATATTTCTATAAATATACATATATTTATAGAAATATATATTAACATCTAACACATATAAATATGCATGTGTGTCTATACATACATTCTACTACAGCTTTTTGAAACGTCTTTGGTGAAAAATAACTCCACTATGTAAAACACACCCACCCTGATCAGATAGCTTTTATATACTTATATGCAGACTATTACCTTATCCACAGGGTGATACAAGAATTTAGAGACATGAGACTGACCAGCCAACAACACATGCAAAACATAAATGTATTTGCAAAGAGACTGAGGGTTCATCTGGGGCATAGACCTCAGCACTGCCAGGACACACACCCATGCTGGGGATTCTGACTTTATCTGACCCGGCCCACTATCCAGATCTTGTTGTGGGGTTGAGGCAGGGGAGGTCATGAAGCCTGTCCCCTGGACACTCTGTGTGAGCACAGAAGACCCTTCATTAGGTCTCCACACACAGCCCTGACCATCAGGTATTGTGAGGAGGACTCTAGAACAGGCTCAGGAATCAGGCCAAGAGAATCGGCTACAAAGAGGAACACGAAGTTGAAGGAGCTGGTTGCTGACATGAAGCAGAATTCCTGTAATTCACAGGTCCAGCCAAGTCAAAAGTGCCGCCAACTTGTGATCCAGGCCACCCTGAGAAACAGCTTTTTCCCACAGCCTCCTCTGTAGTGACACATCAGTGTTCCTCATTATCAAGCTTCAGGAGAGGGCAGCAACCTGGACAGCGCCCATTCCATCAGACTCCCCCTGGAGATGGAGGTCACTGAGATCAGAATAAGTTTCACAGATGGTCCAATGGGACGGATGGGTCCCAGGATTCAAACCCCTGGCTCCAGCAGCTTAAGCTGCCATTACTGCACAGGAACCCCAGGTGATACTGGAAATTAAAAGAAGCGTGGACCTCCTTCTGAGCACTGGAGGCAGCCTCTCTCTTCTCTCTAATCCAGGCCTCCCCTCTTCCTGTAGCATGACTGTGATAGACATCTCAGGAAAGGTTCTAACCCAGTATTTTTCTCAACCCCTTAGTTGTAGAGTGGGAGACCTATTATTTATACATGCCTTCTTAAGTATGTCTGAAAGTCTCACTCCTTTATTAGGTAGAAATATTTTTAATCACACGGGGGCCAACATCCTTACAGCCCCAGGATAAACACTTTGTCTCCCCCAGTGGAAGCGAATATTAATCCAGAAGCGTGGGCCGTTCAAGGAAGAATAGGTTGAGTCCTCCTCAAACCCTGTAACAGCCCCTGCAACACCCCAATATTAGGAGTGCAAAAACTCAGTGGGGCATGGACGCTAGTTCAGGACCTCTGCCTCATTAATAAGGCCACAGTCGCAATTCATCCTGTGGTCCCTAATCCCTATATCTTGCTAACTCAAATACCTGAGGGAACTAAATTGTTCACAATCCTAGATATAAAGGATGGCTTTTTCTGTATACCATTACATCCTCACTCTCAATACTTGTTTGCCTTTGAAGATCCCTCTGGCCAGACCACCCAGTTAACATGGATGGTGCTGCCTCAGGGATTTTGAGACAGTCCTCACTTCTTTTGACAGGCGTTGTCAAAGGACCTCTCTGAGTTTTCCCATCCTCAGGCCAGGCTCTTGCAATATATGAGTGACATGCTGCTCTGTGCTGCAACTGAGGAAGCTTCTCAGGAAGGCACTGAAAACTCTTCTTAATTTCTTAGCAGACAGAGGTTTCAGAATCCAAGGCCCAGCTCTGCCAAACCTCAGTGAAGTACCTAAGCTTAATAGTGTCTGAAGGGACCAGATCATTAGAAGAAGAAAGGATTAAGTCCATTTCCTTTTTCCCACTCCCTAAAACCCTCAAGCAACTAAAGATTTTTGGGCATCACAGGATTTTGCAGACTATGGATACCTGGGTACAGTGAGATAGAACATCCCTTATATCACCTCATAAAAGAAACTCAAGTGGCTAAAACTCATTTTCTAACCTGGGAACCTGAAGCTCGAAAGGCCTTCAACCAGCTAAAACAAGCCTTACTTAAGGCACCATCTCTCAGCTTTCCCATAGGTAGGGCCTCCAATCTTTATGTATCAGAAATGCAGGGAACAGCCCTGGGAGTTTTAACTCAAGCCCGAGGACCAACTCAACAGCCAGCGGACTACAGCGGAGCAAAGAACTTGATTGATTTGATGGCTAAAGGATGGCCAGCATGCCTCTGAGCAGTTGCCACAATGGCCCTACTGGTATTGAAGGTCACCAAATTGACCCTTTGAAATGGCCTAACTCTTTATACCCCACATAATGTAGCAAGATTGCTGTCTTCTAGGGGAAGCCTTCAGCTAACAGACAGCTGGCTCCTTAAATATTACGTTCTGCTGTTAGAAGGGTCTACAATCCAATTGAAAACTTGTTCTCACCTAAACCTAACCACTTTCCACGCTGAGGAACCTGAACATGACTATGAAGAAGATGTGGTAAAGACCTGCATAGCCAGGGAGGATCTCAGGGAACCTCCTCTAGAAAATCCAAACTGCAGCCTCTTCATGGATGGAAATTTCTTTGGAAAGCAGAGTCCATAAGGCAGGATATGTCATAGTCACTCTGAATGATGTTACTGAAAGTGGGCCCCTCTCTCCAGGCACAAATGCTCAACTAGCTAACTGATAGCTCTTACAAGAACACTTGAATTAAGCAAGGGAAAGGTAGCTAACATTTACACTGACTCCAAGTATGCTTTCTTAGTTCTCCATGCTTGTTGCAGGAAGTCAGGGACCCCAAACAGAGGGACCAGCTGGAGCCATGGCAGAGGAAAATAAATTGTGAAGATTTCATGGACATTTATCACTTCCCAAATAATACTTTCATAATTTCTTACACCTGTCTTACTTTAATCTCTTAATCCTGTTATCTTCATAAGCTGAGGATGTACCTCACCTCAGGACCCTGTGATAACTGTATCTAACTGTATAAATTGATTGTAAAACATGTGTGTTTGAACAATATGAAATCAGTGCACCCTGAAAAAGAACAGAATAACAGCGATTTTAGGGAACAAGGGAAGACAACCATAAGGTCTGACTGCCTGCGGGGTCAGGCAAAAAGAGCCATATTTTTCTTCTTGCAGAGAGCCTATAAATGGACGTGCAAGTAGGGAAGATATCACTAAATTCTTTTCCTAGAAAGGAATATTAATATTAATACTCTGGGAAAATAATTGCATTCCTGGGGGGAGGTCTATAAACGGCCGCTCTGGGAGTGTCTGTCTTACATGGTTGAGATAAGGACTGAAATATGCCCTAGTCTCCTGCAGTACCCTCAGACTTATTAGGGTGGGAAAAAAAACCCGCCCTGGTAAATTTGAGGTCAGACCAGTTCTCTGCTCTCAAACCCTGTTTTCTGTTGTTTAAGATGTTTATCAAGACAATACGTGCACAGCTGAACATAGACCCTTATCGGTAGTTCTGTTTTGCCTTTTGTCCTGTTTCCTCAGAAGCATGTGATCTTTGTTCTCCTTTTTGCCCTTTGAAGCATGTGATCTTGTGACCTACTCCCTGTTCTTGCACTCCCTCCCCTTTTGAAATCCTTAATAAAAACTTGCTGGTTTTGTGGCTCAGGTGGGCATCACGGTCCTACCGATATGTAATATCACCCCCAGAGGCCCAGCTGTAAAATTCCTCTCTTTGTACTCTTTATTTCTCAGCCAGCTGAAACTTATGAAAAATAGAAAGAACCTACATTGAAATATTGAGGGCAGGTTCCCCTGATACATGTTCATGCTGCAATTTGGAAGGAAAGAGTCTTACCACTAATGGATCTCCTATAAAATACCATCCGGAAATTAACAGGTTATTATCCTCAGTTTTCCTTCCACAAGAGGTAGCAGTAATGCATTGTAAGGGACATGAGAAGGGAAGAGATGAATTAGCCAAAGGAAACAAGTTAGCTGATCAGGCAGCCAAGTCAATGGCAAGAAAGCCTCAGGATCTTAACACACTAAAAGGCTATCTAATCTGGGAAGGCTCCATAAGAAAAATTAAGCCTCATTACTCCCCTGCAGAGATAGATTGAGCCATCTCTCAAGGGTACACTTTTCAGCCCTCAGGATGGCAATAGTCAGAGGATGGCAAACTCCACTTGCTAGCCTCCAGCCAGTGGAACACCCTTAATATCCTTCACCAAGATTTTCACTTGAGAAATGATAAAACTTATCAGTGTGCCCAGAGATTGTTTTCAGGAGATAACTTATTAAAAACAGTTGAGCATGTTGTTAATGCTTGTGAAGTCTGTCTTAAAAATAATTCCAACAGGCGGCTTCTTCCTCCTCAAACTTAAAGGATGAGAAACTATCCAGGGGAGTACTGGCAGACAGACTTCACCCACATGCCAAAGACGAAGGGCATCCAATACCTCCTGGTATAGGTAGATATTTTCACTAACTGGGTAGAAGCATTTCTATGCCTTACAGAAAAGGCCTCTGAGGTAATAAAAGTGTTAGCTAATAAAATAACTCCCTGCTTTGGTCTACCTAAGTACCTCAAAATTGACAGTGGCCCCTCATTTAAGGCAGCCATCACACAGGGGGTCTCAAAGGCATTAGGCATACAGTGTCATCTCCATTGTGCTTGGAGACCCCCATTCTCAGGAAAGGTAGAAAAGACAAATGATATTATCAAAAGACACCTCAGAAAATTGTTCCAAGAAACCCACTTTCCTTGGGTCACTCTTCTTCCCATGGCTTTACTGTGGGTAAGAAATACCTTTTCAAAGTTAGGCCTAAGCCCTTTCAAAATGCTGTATGGATGACCTTTCCTTACCAATGATTTTCTTTTTTTTCTTCTTTTTTTTTTTTGAGATGGAGTTTTGCTCTTGTCACCCAGACTGGCATGCAGTGGCACAATCTCCACTCACTGCAACCTCTGCCTCCCAGGTTCAAGCCATTCTCCTGCCTCAGCCTCCCAAGTAGCTGGGATTACAGGTGCCTGCCACCATGCCTGGCTAATTTTTTTTTAATTTTTAGTAGAGATGGGGTTTCACCATGTTGGCCAGGCTGGTCTCGAACTCCTGACCTCAGGCAATCCGCCCGACTCGGCCTCCCAAAATGCTGGGATTACAAGCATGAGACACCATGCCCGGCCTTACCAATAATTTTCTATTAAACCTCTGAATTGGTTAAACATGTAACTTCTCTGGCTCACTTTCCACAGAAATTAACACAACTAGCAGAAGTCCAACTACAGAAAATAAGACCACCTTTATTTAACCCAGGAGATTTGGTATTAGGAAAGCTCTCCTTTCTCTCTCTCCTTCCCTAAGCTCAAGCTGGGAAGAAATTTACACTGTTCTTTCAACACCCTCAGTGGTAAAAGTTACAGTTATTGACTCTTGGATACGTGACGCTCGAGCCAAAGTCTGGAAAGCTGAGGGAGCAACTCCTGACAGCCTAGAGGAATGTCCCAGATATCAATGTGAAGAGAGAGGAGAACTTAAGCTAAAAATCATAAGAGATAAGTAAATGAGTGAGGTCTACTCATCCTCCTCAGTCCCACCCCTACCTCACCAGATACTTTGTCATTTCTACCTTTCCTCTCAAGATTCACCACCACATACTAGAACTTCTTTTTGACACATACTTGCAGGGAGATTTTGATTATCCATGGGATTACATTTGTAATTTCATAGACCCCCAAAGGGAAATTCTATATCTTGGGGAGTAAAATTTTACATGAAAATTATTTACTACACCACCCTTGTGGGAATTGTTATACTCACTCTACTATTTGCAGCATGACTATACACTGTGGCACTCACAATGTGAAACTCTGGATGGAAAATTCTAATTGCTGTAATATTCTGCTTAATTATCATCTTTATAGCAGGACTAATCATTACAGAAAAGATTTAGCCAAAGTTAACACTAAAGTTACTCCCAACACCCAATCCAATGCCACTTATCCAAAAAAAAAAGTTTCTATATTAACACTTCTGGTGAGGTGCAGTGACATCTGGTGGAGGAAATCAGTATTACAACCCATCGGAACAGCTAACAGGTATCAAACTCTACTGTCATGGTTGTGGCCTGTAGTACCCCAACTAATAATGATAATCTTAATACTCATATTCAAATTCTATACTCTAAACCATCTTGTAACATTTATCTCTTCTCATCTAGAAGCTATTAAACTCCAAATGGTGCGGCACACAATGGAACCACACATGGACGTGCATCTCTTCTGAGGACACTTAGATTGACCTCAGGAGGAGACTTAACTGTTGTTTCCCACACTACACCCCTTTTCAGCAGGAAATAGCCAGAAAGAGTCATTGTCCAACACCCCTTAACAGCAGTTAGGGTTACTACTCCTAAGGGGGGAAATATGATACAGGAGATAGAAAGAAGATATTTAGGCAGATAGTAAAAGCAACAGAGTCCTTGGTGAAATTTCCCTTTCAATAAAAAAGCAGCCCCCAAATCATTTCTTTTCTAACAAAGAGCAGCCTGAAAAATCGAACTGCAGAAATAGATAAGCAAGCTGGAATCTTGCACAGGTGAATGCCAGCAGCTGTGCCAATAGAAAGGAGCTACCGGTGGGTGGGGGGCAGACATGTTCTACATGGAGGTTCCATCTTTCCTTTTTTCACCACATGTACGGTAAAGAAACTGGCAACATGGTGCCAGTCAGGTAGAAAACCCATCTGCATAATAAAAGATTAGGGTGGGGGCGGCCAGATTTTCACACCCTATGCAAATGGCACACCTAGCCCTAACCAGCTTTTTGCACCTTATGCAAATGGAACACCTGGTCTGACTAATATCTCATGCCCTTCGTAAATCAGACACCACCTCCTCAAGCTCATCTATAAAACCTGCTGCTTTTCACCACAGAAGCAGCAACCCATTTCTCCAGGACCACTCTCTGCTGCAGAGAGTTCTTCTCTTTCTTTCACCTATTAAACTTCCACTCTAAACCTAGTTTTCTGTGGCCATGAGACAATATATCTTGGGAATTTACCCCAGACAATGATGCTGCTTCACTTTTCTGCTTTTCTTATTTGTTTCTTGAATTTTTTTTTTCAGGTGACTGGAATCATTTTAAATCATGTGCTTAGTCTCTCTGTTCCTTTCTTAACAATTGTTCTTTTATTCATTCCTCTCTTTATCTCCCTCTTGCTACCATTGATGCCACACGAAGGGACCTAAAGAATTCTGAACAGCCTGGGACCACTTAGGAAAAACAGGAAAGATGCCACAGACTTTTCTGTTTGGGAAGATTCTGTGTTTTTCCACATGGAACCCCAAGAGTTGCGAGTGAATGGATTCCTTTCTGGTCTAAAACCCTGCTCTGTTTTCTGTTGTGTTACCTGACCTCTGGCTTTTAGGGTCATCAGCGATTACTTTGTACTGTACAAATACTTCATCTTGTGTGTGTGCTGGCTGCTGGGTCAGTGGTAAATCTATGGTTTTGGAGGTGACTAACAGTGGTTATAATAAATGAATACTACTTCAGAAGACTACTTATATCTTTGCATGTTTAGATAAGAAAGACACAGTTCAAACAATGAAAAAAATGCCTTTGTAGCAAAGTAAACTGTGGAAGTGTTGCACATTATGGTTCCCATGGCATTTTACTCTTCTTGGGGACCTGGGATTCAGTGAAATCCTTGATTTTTAAAGGTCTAGGTCCTCTCCCTTCCAATTGTGTCTTCTTTTCACATATTTAAATTATTAGGATCTAAAAATTGCAAAGACTTTGTCATCCCTCTTCTTTAATGGGCTCTGTCCTGAGCTCAGTGGTCCAGTTGGTAAACAGAGACCAAATTAAAGCTACCTATTAAAATAAAATTAGTTTCCTTATAAAATCTTATGGTAAATTTCTATCTTTTTTGTGTTACCTTAGCATCTATTTTTAACCTTTCTTGAACACATCCAAAGTCCTTCTTGTAAAAGCTTAAATTCTATCCCTTTCTGTGTTTTGAGAGGTAAATTTGCTACCCATTTTTTCTAAAACTCAGTAAGGGCTTCTTCAGATAAATGTTACCTTTTTCATTTACAAAGGCACAATTTGAATCCAACTGTCCTTTTAAAATAGTGAGTTTTACCCATCCCATGATTAAAGTCCTAAAATTAAAACCCTACAGTCTTTTTGTCACCCTTTATCTTTATGGGTAGATGTATATGCAATATGTTACATTACATATATGTATATGTCTATCCATATGTTTGTATATAGTTTACACATGGTATCAATTTAATGTAAAGATAAATGAGTACACATAAATAAAGTAAATAAGCACAAATGCTTTTCAGTTCATGCAATTTTAGTAATCTTTAAATAAAGATAGTTTTTAAATTATTGGTAAAATAAAGTAGAAATGTCTTCAGAATTTAATTTAGATATTTGTGCCTGGGTCTGTTGGCAGACAGGTTTATAATGTCTACTAGATGTCTTAAGGTCTTCAAACAGCTGCTCTGCATATATACATTTCCTTAATTTGTCTGTAGGCTTATGTCTTTAGATTTGAGCTCTTAGATTCTGAGTTCAAGTGATGTAACCACAGCAAAGCCAGTCCATGTCCCAGCTATGCCTCTTGGCCGTGCTGGGAGAGATTCCAGGCATTATCTTCATAGCTCTGTTTTTTGTCCTGAGCTTCACATCAGGTACATAGTTAGAACTGCTTACTTTCTAGTTTGTTCTACTGAATATAAGGGTGTATTAGTCTGTTCCCATGTTGCTACCAAGAAATATGTGAGACTGGGTAATTTATAAAGAAAAGAGGTTGAGGCCAGGCATGGTGGCTCACGCCTGTAATCCCAGCACTTTGGGAGACTGAGGCGGGCGGATCACAAGGTCAAGAGATCGAGACCATCCTGGCTAACACGGTGAAACCCCGTCTCTACTAAAAATACAAAAAATTAGCCGGGCATGGTGGTGGGCACCTATAGTCCCAACTACTCGGGAGGCTGAGGCAGGAGAATGGAGTGAACCCACGAGGCAGAGCTTGCAGTGAGCTGACGTCATGCCACTGCACTCCAGCCTGGGTGACAGAGTGAGACTCCGTGTCAAAAAAAAAAAAAAAAAAGAAAAAGAAAGAAAAAAGAAAAAGAAAAGAGGTTGAATTCACCCATGGTTTGGCAGGCTGTATAGGAAGCATAATTCTGGCACCTGCTCTGCTTCTGAGGAGGCCTCAGAAAACTTACAATGCAGGAAGGCAAAGAGGGAGCAAGGCATCTCACATGATGGAGGCAGGAAGAAGAGAGCAAGGGGGAGGTGCTACACATGGTTAAACAATCAGATCTCACAAGAATTCTCAATCATTATGGCAGCACCAAGGGCAATGATGTTATATCATGAGAGACCTCCCCCATATTTCAATCACCTCTCACCAGGCCCCACCTCCAGCATTGGAGATTACAATTTGATATGAGATTTGGGCAAAGACACAGATCCAAACCATATCAAAGGGTTACTAGGAGCTTATTATGTAATCACACTATGTGATTAAAACAGATATAGACAAAACAACCCTATATGCAAAGTATATTATAAAAAGTAAAATATGTTTTTAGTTTAAAAAGGTACTAGAAGAAATGGATAAATTCCTGGACACATACACCCTCCCAAGTCTAAACCAGGAAGAAGTCGAATCCCTGAAGAGACCAATAACAAGTTCTGAAATTGAGGCAGTAGTTAATAGCCTACTAAGCAAAAAAAGCCCAGGACCAGATGGATTCACAGCCAAATTCTGCCAGAGGTACAAAGAGGAGCTGATACCATTCCTTCTGAAACTATTCCAAGCAATAGAAAAACAGGGACTCCTCCCTAACTCATTTTATGAGGCCAGCATCATCCTGATACCAAAACCTGGCAGAGACACAACCAAAAAAGAAAATTTCAGGCCAATATCCCTGATGAACATCGATGCAAAAATCCTCAATAAAATATTGCCAAACCGAATCCAGCAGCACATCAAAAAGCTTATCCACCACGATCAAGTCGGCTTCATCCCTGGGATACAAGGCTCATTCAACATATGCAAATCAATACACATAATCCATTACATAAACAAAACCCATGACAAGAACCACAGATTATCTCAATAGATGCAGAAAAGGCTTTCGATAAAATTCAACACCCCTTGATGCTAAAAACTCTCAATAAACTAGGTGTTGATGGAATATGTCTCAAAATAATAAGAGCTATTTATGACAAACCCACAGCCAATATCATACTGAATGGGCAAAAGCTGGAAGCATTCCCTTTGAAAACCAGCACAAGACAAGGACGCCCTCTCTCACCACTCTTATTCAACATAGTATTGGAAGTTCTGGCCAGGGCAATCAGGCAAGAGAAAGAAATAAAGGGTATTCATACAGGAAAAGAGGAAGTCAAATTGTCTCTGTTTGTAAATGGCATGATAGTATATTTAGAAAACCCCATCATCTCAGCCCAAAATCTCCTTAAGCTGATAACCAACCTCAGCAAAGTCTCAGGATACAAAATCAATATGCAAAAATCACAAGCATTCCCACACACCAATAACAGGCAAACAGAGAGCCAAATCATGAGTGAACTCCCATTCACAATTGCTACAAAGTGAATAAAATACCTAGGAATACAACTTACAAGGGATGTGAAGGACCTCTTCAAAGAAAACTACAAACCACTGCTCAAGGAAATAAGAGAAGACACAAACAAATGGAGAAACATTCCATGCTCGTGGATAGGAAGAATCAATATCGTGAAAATGGCCATACTGCCCAAAGTAATGTATAGATTCAATGCTATCCCCATCAAGCTACCATTGACTTTCTTCTCAGAAAAAACTACTTTAAATTTCATATGGAACCAAAAAAGAGCCCGTATAGCCAAGACGATTGTAAGCAAAAAGAACAAAGCTGGAGGCATCATGCTACCTGACTTCAAACTTACTACAAGGCTACAGTAACCAAAAAAAAATTGTACTGGTACCAAAACAGATATATAGACCAATGGAACAGAACAGAGGCCTCAGAAGTAACACCACACATCTACAACCATGACAAACCTGACAAAAACAAGCAATGGGGAAAGGATTCCCTATTTAATAAATGGCATTGGGAAAACTGGCTAGCCATATGCAGAAAACTGACACTGGACCCCTTCCTTACACGTTATACAGAAATTAACTCAAGATGGATTAAAGAGTTAAACATAGGCCTAAAACCATCAAAACCCTAGAAGAAAACCTAGGCAATACCATTCAGGACGTAGGCATGGGCAAAGACTTCATGACTAAAACACCAAAAGCAATGGCAACAAAAGCCAGAAATGACCAATGGGATCTAATTAAACCAAAAAGCTTCTGCACAGCAAAAGAAACTACCATCAGAGTGAACAGGCAACCTACAGAATAGGAGAAAATTTTTACAATCAATCCATCCGACAAAGGACTAATATCCAGAATCTACAAGGAACTTAAACAAATTTACAAGAAAAAACAAACATCCCCATCAAAAAGTGGGAGAAGGATATGAACAGGCACTTCTCAAAAGAAGACATTTATTGACCAACAAACATATGGAAAAAAGCTCATCATCACTGGTCATTAGAGAAATGCAAATCAAAATCACAATGAGATACCATCTCATGCCAGTTAGGATGGCAATCATTAAAAAGTCAGGAAACAGATGCTGGAGAGGATGTGGAGAAATAGGAACATGTTTACACTGTTGGTAGGAGTGTAAATTAGTTCAACCATTATGGAAGACAATGTGGCAATTCCTCAAGGATCTAGAACAAGAAATACCACTTGACTCAGTAATTCCATTACTGGGTATATACTCAAAGGATTATAAATTATTCTACCATAAAGACACATGGACACATATGTTTATTGCAGCACTATTTACAATAGCAAAGACTTGGAACCAACCCAAATGCCCATCAATGATAGACTGGATAAAGAAAATGTGGCACATATATACCATGGAATACAACACAGCCATAAAAAAGGATGAGTTCATGTCTTTGAAGGGACATGGATGAAGCTTGAAGCCATTATTCTTGGCAAACTAACACAGGAACAGAAAACCAAACACCACATGTTCTAACTCGTAAGTGGGGGTTGAACAATGAGAACACATGGACACAGGGAGGGGAACATCACACACCGGGGCCTGTTGGGGGATGGCGGACTAAGAGAGGGATAGCATTAAGAGAAATACCTAATGTAGGTGATCGATTGATGGGTGCAGCAAACCACCATGGCACATGTATACCTACGTAACAAACCTGCATGTTCTGCACATGTATCCCAGAACTTAAAGTATAATTTTAAAAAAAGAAAAGAAAAAGTAAAAAAAAAAAAAAAAGAGTCACCTTCTACTGCAGATGAGAAGAAGCTGAGGGAATTTAAGTAGCAAACCTGCACGTTCTGCACATGTATCCCAGAACTTAAAGTATAATAATAAAAAAAAGAAAATAAAAAAAGTAAAAAAAAAAAAAAAAAGAGTCACATTCTACCGCAGAGGAGAAGAAGCTGAGGGAATTTAAGTCAGTGGTCCATGGTCATCCAGCCAGTTCATAGCAGAACTACTGTGTTTCATCTTAAAGTTTATGCACAGTCAGAAAAGTGAGACACAGAAGGAAGGTAAAGCTAATTTTTGTTGTAGTTGATGTTCATGAAGGGTACGTGTGTTACACAGAATCATGGCCTCCTAAAAATGTCCACATCCTGACCCCTGGAACCAGTGCATGTTACTATATTTGGCAAAAAGACTTTGAAGATGTGATGAGGTTAAGAATCTTGAGATGGGAAGGTTATTCTGGATTATCTCAGTGGGCCCAGTGTATCATAAGGGTACTTGTAAGTGAAAGAGGGAGGCAGGAGGGTCAGGGTGAGAATGATGCAGCGTGAGAGACACCATTGGCCATCGCTGGCTGTGAACGTGCATCGAAAGACAAAATTACTATAGATCTATAATTAATTTAGTTACAAATCTAATTGGCGCTTTTTTTTTCCTGAGACAGAGTCTCGCTTTGTCGCCCAGGCTGGAGTGCAGTGGCACGATCTCAGCTCACTGCAAGCTCCGCCTCCCAGGTTCACACCATTCTCCTGCCTCAGCCTCCTGAGTAGCTGGGAGGCACCTACCACCATGCCCGGCTAATTTTTTTTTTTTTTTTTTTTTGTATTTTTAGTAGAGACAGGGTTTCACCATGTTAGCCAGGATGGTCTCGATCTCCTGACCTTGTGGTCCACCTGCCTCAGCCTCCCAAAGTGCTGGGTTTACAGGCGTGAGCCACCGCACCCGGCCAGATCAAATTGGCTTTTAATTGTGATTCATGATTTGGGGCAGAACTCATTCTATAAATACAGTGATAGCTCCCCCTGGGCAATACAATAACAGAACAGTGGATTTTGTCAAATGAGAACCAGTAAACAGAGCCATAGAAATGGATTGGTTAGCCGCCCCGTCCGGGAGGGAGGCGGGGGGTCAGCCCCCTGCCTGGCCAGCCGCCCCGTCCGGGAGGTGAGGGGCGCCTCTGCCCAGCCGCCCCTACTGGGAAGAGAGGAGCCCCTCTGCCTGGCCAGCCGCCCCGTCCGGGAGGGAGGTGGGGGGGTCAGGCCCCCGCCCGGCCAGCCACCCTATCCGGGAGGGAGGCGGGGAGGTCAGCCCCCAACCCTGCCAGCCGCCCCATCCGGGAGGGAGGCGGGGGGGTGAGCCCCCCGCCCGGCCAGCCGCCCTGTCCGGGAGGTGAGGGGCGCCTCTGCCCGGCCGCCCCTACTGGGAAGTGAGGAGCCCCTCTGCCCGGCCACCACCCCGTCTGGGAGGTGTACTCAACAGCTCATTGAGAACGGGCCATGATGACAATGGTGGTTTTGTGGAATAGAAAGGGGGGAAAGGTGGGGAGAAGATTGAGAAATCGGATGGTTGCTGTGTCTGTGTAGAAAGAGGTAGACATGGGAGACTTTTCATTTTGTTCTGTACTAAGAAAAATTCTTCTGCCTTGGGATCCTCTTGATCTGTGACCTTACCCCCAACCCTGTGCTCTCTGAAACATGTGCTGTGTCCACTCAGGGTTGAATGGATTAAGGGCGGTGCAAGATGTGCTTTGTTAAACAGATGCTTGAAGGCAGCATGCTCGTTAAGAGTCATCACCACTCCCTAATCTCAAGTACCCAGGGACACAAACACTGTGGAAGGCCGCAGGGTCCTCTGCCTAGGAAAGCCAGAGACCTTTGTTCACTTGTTTATCTGCTGACCTTCCCTTCACTATTGTCCTATGACCCTGCCAAATCCCCCTCTGCGAGAAACACCCAAGAATGATCAATAAAAAAAAAAAAAAGAAAAAAGAAAATTGGAAAGGCTTCAGGATTGTCAGTTAAATATAATTGTTTTTTCCTGGGTCTACTGACACACAGGTTTACATTGTCTCCATTACTTTTTTTTTTTTTTTTTAATTTGTTTTTTGTTTTTGAGCTGGAGTTTTGCTCTCATTGCCCAGGCTGGAGTGCAGTGGTGAGATCTCAGCTCACCACAACTTCTGTCTCCCAGGTTCAAGTGATTCTCCTGCCTCAGCCTTCCGAATAGCTAAACTACAGGTGTATGCCACCATACTTGGCTAATTTTTGTATTTGTAGTAGAAACAGGATTTCACCATGTTGGCCAGGCTGGTCTCGAACTCCTGACCTCAAGTGATCTGCCCACCTTGGCCTCCCAAAGTGCTGGGATTACAGGCGTGGGCCACCGTGCCCAGCCTATTACATGTTTTAAGATCATAAAACTGCTACTTCTGGAATATTTCTTAAACTTGCTTGATTTGTCTAAATTGAGCTAAAGCTGTAAGGTCTGGCTGCTGGGCTCCCTGAAACCTTGCACATATCTTACTGTATGACTGTATTTCGTTTTGAGTCTCTGGATTCTGGGGTTTGGACAGATGACCATAGTGAGGCCCGCAGAAATATGCATGTCCTCAGTGTTTGGACTGCCAGCTGCAAGGCAGAGCCAAACCCAATATGGCCCCATCATCCCTGGCTCAGCTGTGCTACCTGGCCATGCTGGAAGGGGTTTGATCTTCCAGGAATTTGCTTCACAGCTCTTTCCTGTCCCAAGCTCTATGCCTGATGTGTAAATTCAGGACCCAAAAGGGCACAAAAAAGCAATAACTACTAAATATAAGGAAAACAACTCTGTATACAGCATGTATAAAGAAAAGCAAGATATATTTGGGGAGATAAAAGTTGTAAAGGCATTAAGATGTGTGTTTGTTGAGAAAAAATAAATTTGTGCATTTAAGAAGTTAAAAAAAAAAAGAAATGGATTGGTTAACATCAATGTACTTCAGGTCACTTTTTTTGTAAAAGTTAAAGCAGAGGTGACTTCCTTATTATGCTGACTCAGGTAGACTGGAATCTCCTGTTCTCAGAAAAAAAAATGGTCTGTTTTGGAATCT
The DNA here is from genome assembly GCF_000001405.40 of Homo sapiens. Taxonomy (NCBI): domain Eukaryota; kingdom Metazoa; phylum Chordata; class Mammalia; order Primates; family Hominidae; genus Homo; species Homo sapiens. The sequence continues at coordinate 42,674,690 of NC_000019.10, read as the reverse complement.
GTCTGCTTCCTTAAAATTTCAGTCGGAGTATGTAGCATTTAGCATGAGTGGCTCTGTTTTGGAGTCTCTAGGACCTCACTAAGGGACCAGAACTTAAGACATTAGCAATCCTTTCTATCACCATCATTTTGGGCTTCCATCATTCATAGGTTATAATGTCCTCCTGATCACACATTTCTTTGAGTTTTTGTAACTCCAGCCAAAGAGACACTATTTGATATTCAATGGATGGCTGCATGCAAACATTTAAAAACTTTTGGAGAATACAACAGAATACAACACACCAGGAGACTACTAATATGACTATCAGGAAGATAATACCAAGAGTTTGGAATATGCACCTTAGGCAAGATGCAAACCAACTAAAATAGAACACATCAAAGAGTGAGCCAGAAGAGCCTAGCCATTTTAACCAAGCAGCACATTTGTTAATTTTTGCAACTAAGTCTCTATAATATCCGACGTATTTATCCATGTGCAACAAGAAGTGTCAGAAACTGCACAGACTCCTTCCTGTTCAGCTAGTAGTGGCCAATTTATTAACTAGCATCCCATGGCTGGGTTAAATTAAACAGGGAGTGAGAACAGGTGAGTCTGAAGGTCTAAAGTCTAAAAGGGACCACTGTACATCTGAAAAAACAGCTGTGTTAAAGATGCTGCTAATGAGCCTGAGGCTCTCACCAGAGGCAGATGCCCAATTTTGAACTTTACAGCCACCAGAATCATAAGCCATATAAACCTGTTTTCTTTATAAGCTACCCAGTCTCAGGTATTTTGCTATAGCAACATAAAATGGACTAAGACAAGTATACAGCTGTTAAAAGACTAAGAGATTTTTTATATCCTGATGTGGAATGACCTGCAAGATGTATTGTTAAATGAAGAAGCCAGATGCAAACAGTGTGCCTCAAATGTTTACCATTTACTTTTGAAAAAAAGAAGAAAGACTAGACCAATGTGCTTATAAGATGTGTTGGTGGTATAGTGGGGAGCATAGCTGCCTTCCAATGTGCTTGTAAATATTAGGTTGGTGCAAAAGTAATTGTGGTTTTTGCCATTAAAAGTACGGGCAAAACCGCAATTGCTTTTGCACCAACCTAACACATAGAATATGTCTGGATAAGACATAAGAAACAGATATTCCTGGTTGCCTCTGCAGAGGGAAACCAGGTGATAGGATGGAGGAGGGATAGGTGTTATGAGGGACACTTTCAGTATACGCTTTTCTACCTGTTGAAATTTGTACTGTTAATGCATTACCTGTTCAAACAAGTAAAATTTATGATTATAAAAATATACACTAAATCATTAAAAGTGGTTATTGCTGAAGGAAAAAAAAGATGCTGCTAATGTCAGCCATTGGGTAGACTAAAGGATCTCTTATGTTATGTGGAAATAAGGGAATGAATTCATCCCAGATTCAACACTCTGTTAAGCTACCCTCAGAAGATACTTCTTGTGAAATTCTAATGACAGCATTATCTCACCAAGAAAAAGAGGCAGACATGAGCAAGGACAAATTAAGAGGGGCAAGAGCCTCATCAGGAAGGGGAGTCTTGTTTTGACATCTTGGGAAAAGCTGTCCACAGTGTGAGGTCATCAACTTCTTGTCCTGGTTTGCAGTTAAGTGCCTCTAGTTATGGTGTCAAATATTTTGGTGAGCTCTGAGTGGCCCATACCTCAGACATGAAGGTTTTCCCATGAAATTTACATTGAGTTGTCCCCCTCCAGCTTATAGGGCTTCAGGAACACAGCAGATCTTGTTCTTACTGATTCCATAGGAGAAATTGGGTTGGAGAAACTAGAAGAATTCAGGGTCCAGTCCAGTCTACAGGTGGATTATAAAAACTCAAAAACAATGAACAGAGCTGAAATCTCATAAAAGTTGTGCTACAGTTTTTCTTCTCAACATAATTTTTCTCTCTATGGGCATCTCTATTTCTACCAAAGATAATACCACTAAGGCAAATTTGTTTGCAAAATAGATTGAGTCTCATCAAACTTGGCCTTTACATTAAGTGCAGAAAGAGTTGTAATGGATCACATAGGCTCTTCTTAAACTTTGCTTTGCTGGATATTTTTTATAAGGAATCTCAGATTAAACTTTCAAAAACCTCTTGAGACCAGGAAGCCAAACCAAGGCTTACTTTACACTTGCCTGCAGTATCTGTGGTTTCATTCTATTTATATTTTCAAATGTAATATCCCAGTCAAAGCCTTGGTAATATAACCAATGTTTTCAAATGTATCCTGTTATAAAGAGAGCAGATATTTATTGAACTTAAGCAAATATCTGTATTACCATAAACATATGAATACTCATGAATAGTTGCCCAATTCTAAGGCAGTCAGGTAGGGAGCAAAAGTAAATGCTTCAATTTTTGTTCACAAAAGTATACTTTGTCAAATTACTGTGTGCTATAGATTGGTTAAAAGAAAAAATTCCATAAATCTGGAAAACAAACCACTTAAAGAATCAGCAAAACTCCAAACAAAAAATCATAAAAACATTCTCATCATTATTATTATTTAGTCCAATGAAATTGAGTTTTTTCCTGCTTGGTCTTGGCTGGCAATTTCATGAAGGTATCAGAAGAACTTGGAAGTTCTTAGACAGTCCAGTGGTATCTTAAATTCATCAAAAACTTGTATTAAAGAATCCTTGTCAGAGCCTTTTCTGTAAATCTCCTTGAAGCAAGAAGCAATTTTGGACTGTAGCTGATTGGAAATACTTTGAGGAAGAATCAAAACAACTGTCTATGAATGACAGATTTAAAATAACTATGGTTAAAAATCTGATGAGCGTTCATTAAGATAAAGACATGGCTCATATAGAAATCTAGTTGCTTCTGTGGCATATGACATTATGACTGATATTAGATTTCTATGAATCTCATATAATTTTTGGAAGACTCATATCAGTAACATACCCATAAATTAACATTGAGAATACACGCCAAGTTTGATGAGACTCAATCTATTTTGCAAACAAATTTGCCTTAGTGGTATTATCTTTGGTAGAAATAGAGATGCCCATAGAGAGAAAAATTATGTTGAGAAGAAAAACTGTAGCACAACTTTTATGAGATTTCAGCTCTGTTCATTGTTTTTGAGTTTTTATAATCCACCTGTAGACTGGACTGGACCCTGAATTCTTCTAGTTTCTCCAACCCAATTTCTCCTATGGAATCAGTAAGAACAAGATCTGCTGTGTTCCTGAAGCCCTATAAGCTGGAGGGGGACAACTCAATGTAAATTTCATGGGAAAACCTTCATGTCTGAGGTATGGGCCACTCAGAGCTCACCAAAATATTTGACACCATAACTAGAGGCACTTAACTGCAAACCAGGACAAGAAGTTGATGACCTCACAAACTTATCATTTGACAATGCTTCCCATATAATTTAACATATCAAATAAAGTGGCTTTTCCATTTAGCTTGTGTTTCTTAACTGGATTACTGAGTTCTCGGTGTAGCCCATTAACAAATATGGCCAACAAAGTATAGGCTTATGTATGTTGAAAAACCTCCCTAGGTCATCTAGCTAAAAACCATTAATTTAGCCCTACGTCCTACCTATTTAAACAGGAGAGTTCACCATCCTGGTTACACATTAGTAGCATCTGGGGAAGCTTAAAAATTATCAATGCCTGGGTCCCACGCCAGACCACTAAATCAGAAGGTATGGGGAGTGAGGGCTTCAGCATCCATTTTTAAAAAATGTTTCCCTGTGATTCCAATGTGTGGCTGTATTTCCCATCAGATTTATCTGAATTCTTGTGGCATTCATTTTGTTCTATTTTGGTATTATAATTACTTTTTTTTTCTTTTTGGCTGTAGGTTTATTCAATGCAAAATAATCCTCTCCAATTTTTCTGAGGTGGTTGACCACGTCCACATCCAAATCCGCCTCTAAACTGGAATTTGGTTGCTGACCCGGCCCCAGCCTCGGTTTTCTTGTCGGCACCAGGGGGCACAGCACTCCGTCTGTAGGTATCTCTGTCGGTTTCCTCTCTTTTGAGTCTTGCAGGTGGCTCACCCTCCAGACCTTTAGGCGGAGGCCTGCCAGTCTCTGGACGGTTGTGGCGTAGGGTGGCAGGCACAATCTCCAGGGGCAGATGAAGATAATCACGGAGATACTGGATGCCTTCATTGGTAAGGTACCAGTAGAAATGTCTCCAGGCAAACTGTTCCTTCACGTAGTCTCAGGACTTGAGAGACTGCATGGCCTTCATGACATGAAGGTTGGGCACATTCTTGTCTGCCAGCTCCGGGTGCTTAGGCATGTGGACATCCTTCTTAGCCACCGTGACTCCTTCCTTAAAAAGGAGTTCATGGCTGGGCGCCGTGGCTCACACCTGTAATCCCAGTACTTTGGGAGGCCAAGGCAGGTGGATCTCGAGGTCAGGAGATCGAGATCATCCTGGCTAACACAGTGAAACCCCGTCTCTACTAAAAATACAAAAACAAAATTAGCCGAGCGTGGTGGCGGGCGCCTGTAGTCCCAGCTACTCGGGAGGCTGAGGAGGGAGAATGGCGTGAACCTGGGAGGCGGAGCTTGCCGTGAGCCCAGATCACTCCACTGCACTCCAGCCTGGGCGACAGAGTCAGACTCTGTCTCAAAAAAAAAAAAAAAAAAAAAAAGTTCATAAATGGCAATCCGACTCTTCTTAGGCATTAACATCTTGGTGGCTGTAGGGTCCAGGGCCGGAGTTTATAATTACTTTTAAGGTCCTATCTTGTGTCTTAGGCTTTATGATCCCTGGGGTAGGGACCTTGCCTTCTTCATTTCTGTATTTTTCATGAACACATAAATTGGTTATCAGGGAAAGCTTCCCAACCACATGTATATTGTGTCCTAAGTCTTAGATTCACACATTAATGCTAGAGTCATTGTTCTCCATGAGGTCAGAGGTTGCTTGTGATGAAGGCTGTGGGTAACTTTGCAGTGCAGATGATGGAGGGCGGTCACCCTGTTTTAGGCATACAATTTGAACTAATAATCCCTTGTGTATATGGCATGGGTGGGCAGGCATATGTAGGGAGACAGATGTAATTAGGATAGAGGAATTATATAAGGGAGTGGTGGTAAAGGAAGTAAGAAGGATTAGTAAAGAGAAGAAATGTAAACTTATCTAATAGGCCAGAGTCGGCCCCTGTAGATTCTTGAGTAGGTGAGTGAACTAGATTTTAGGAAGGTAATGAGGAAGTCATATGCAAGGAAGATTTCAAATACTGGAGACAAGGAGTCAAGCAGGAATTCAAGCAGTTGTTGAGGTCTATGGGAATGGAGAGAATGACACAAGTGAGAGATGTTAAGAAAGGATCAAAAGACTTTCATAGTGTATTGAATCTGGGAAACAAATGAGCAGAGGCTGGGGATAATCACATCTAAGAGACAGTGGGGTACAGGCAGCATGCAGACCAGGGAAGAAGAGACCTGCAGGAATTAGTGCTGAGAAGCAGGAGTTTATTGGGAGGAGGAGGAGATCCAGTCCTGGGATATAGGTCCCTCTCCCAAGCATGGCAGTCAGCCCTGCAGGAAACAGGACAAGAGGAAAGGCCATCATACCCGCCAGTCTTCCTGAAATGCAGAAACTACACCAAAGCTGCTATATCAGAGCCACCCTGGCCAGTACTCCAATCATGATGCTGACAGTGGCCTTAGTTGGGAGGACAGGAGAACTTCCCTGTGCTGAAACATCTGTAATGGAAGGAAAATAAAAGAAGGAATAAAAGTGATGTTGTTTTACACTGGGGTGCCCCAAGAACCAGCTCTCGGCATGGAGTACTGTACTTGTTCCTTCAAGGAATAAATTATTTGTATAAGAAGGCTGATGAGAGATGATTAGCCAACCACATTTTTGCCATTTTTTCCTTCTCTCACCATGTTTCTAGGTTGGTGATAGTCTTCTGTCATTCCTTCCTGGTCTTTCTGCACTCAGATATTTTTGAAGGCTTTGGGATGTGAGAAAGGCTGATGGCTATTTGCTATGTCATTAGAACCTTCCACCTTTTCATGGTTGCATCTTTTTCTCAGTGTCTCAGTTTTGGCAGCCATGAATTAGACCCTGTCAGTCTCTATGGCAGGGAGGTGCTTGACAGAAGGGCCAGGTCAGTGCGTTTCAAATTCACTACCTCCCTTGCAGAGACCTCACTTCCCAGGGCCTCCCAGCAGGGGTATGAAAGCAAGCCCAGTTCTGTGAGACTCTGTGTAACTCTAATGGGTGACTGGTGAAGGCACTCCCCTTCAGCCCTGCAGAAACTCTTTTTGAACTGCATTGCTATCCAAAATTTCTTTCTCTTTATCTTTCACAGAAATCAGATCTGCGTTGTGGTCTGAGAGCTCTCTCAGGCTTCTCTCACACTTGCCTTCCTTTCCCTCACAGGCATTTACCCTAATAAATTCTCTTCCATGTCTAATCCACTATTGGCTGCATCTGAATGGGTTAAAAACTAACATTCCAGGCTTGATTCTTTGCACTTAGTTTTTTCTCTCTCTCCCACATGTAGTCAGTAACAGTGTCCTAGTATTTTCTGTGTTACCTCTTTTTCCATATTTCCATATGTGTGTGTGTGTTGGGAAAAGGGATTGTGGGGTGCCTGTATAAACTGGCCACAAAAATATGGGACAATAAGCTGTGGAAAGCCACAAGAGGCCTCTGAGGAGGAAAGCCTCCTAATTGCCATCATATTCCCATGTTCAGAGTGAGACCTGCTTTCTTATCTATAAACACTGTGTTCAAGGAGAAAGACACTCCTTTGAAACACTGGAATGTGGACAGACATGCAGGTTCCCAGTTAAGCCCACTCCCACTAGCTACTCTCCGATAAGTTAAAGATATGCTGTTTGAGCGCAAAGGAGATTCATTTAAACTGCTATTGCTATAGATTACACCTATGACATACTGCCTCCCTTTCACTGTTTTGCCCTGAACATCTGCTTCTTAGATCTAAGTAATTGTACTCAATAAATAGTATGGAGACCAGAGCTTGGCACCTTTTGCAGCCTCCATTTTGCAACTGGCCCCCTGGCTCCCACCTTTATGAACTCTTAACCTGTCTCTGCTCATTCCTTTGTCGCCACCAGACTTCAGGTACCCTACGGGTGGTGTTGAGGCTGGTCTCCAACAGTGTGTTTGTATTTACATAAAATACCTTTTACACACACACACACACACACACACACACACACACACATTTTTGGCGTATGTTTCTTTATTTTTGTTGCAACCATTTACTTTTAGCCCTTACCAGTCAACTCAGGCTGATGAATAATGCTATGTTAGCTATGACTGAGGGGCAATTCCTATGTGCCGGATTCTGTGCTAAGTACTTTGCCTGTATCTTACTTGATTCATACAATAAACCTGCCTGGTAGACATTACTTCCATTTTACAGATGAAAAGACAGAGGCTTGGAGTAGTGAAAAAACTTTTCAGATGTCATATGGCTAGTGAGAAGTGAATCTAAGATTTGATTCTAGGATTACCTGACTTCAAAGCTAATGATAATAGTAGTAATATAGCAGCTAACATTAACCATTTGCTGCGTGCATGGCATTTTTCTGAAGGTTAAATTGATGATTACATTAAACCTTTAAAACAATAGTATAAAGAAAGCGCTGTTACTGCAATTTTCAATTGAGGAGTCAGAAGCTCAGATAACTTAAGAATTTTGTGCAAGAAATTTATAACTGTTAACTCTCATATTAAAAAAGAAGAAGGATCTCAAGTCAACAATCTACTTTACAACTTCAGGATATAGGAGAAGAACAAACTAAACCCAAACACAGTGAATGAAGGAAATAATAAGGTTTAGAGTCGATATAAATAAAATGGACAATAGAAAAACAATAGAGGAAATCAATGAAACCAAAAGTTGGCTCTTCAGAATAAGATCAACAAAATTGACAACCATTAACTAGATTGACTAAGAGAAGAGAGAGAATATTGAAATTATTTAAAATCAGAAATGAAAATAAAGTCTTGGCATGGCTCATGTTTTAATCCTATCACTTTGGGAGGCCATAGTGGGAGGATCACTTGAGGTAAGGAGTTTGAGACCAGTCTGGGCAACAAAGGGAGACGGTGTCTCTACAAAAAAAAGTTTTTAAATTAGCGGAGCATGGTAACATGCACCTGTAGTCCAAGCTACTTGGGAGGCTGAGGTGAGAGCATCACTTGAGCTCAGGAGGTTGAGTCTGCAGTGAGCCCTGATCATGCCACTGCACTCCAGCATGGTGTGAAACTATAGAGTACAAGCCTGTCTCTCTCTCTATGCAAAAAGAAAAGAAAGGAAAATTTAGATATTACTATCAATTATACATAAATAATGATTAGAAAAATACTAGGAATAATTGTATACCAATAAACTGGATAAACTAGATGAAATGGACAAATTCCTGGAGACATACAAAATATCTGAATAGACCTATAATTAGTAAGAAGATTGAACAACTAAAAGCATTTGACAAAATTTAATAATTTTTCATAATAACATTCTCCATATGAATGAAAAAAAAACACCTCAACATAATAAAGGTAATATGTGAAAAGCCCAAGGCAAACATCATATTCAAAGGAGAAAAACTGAAAGCTTTTTCTCTATGATCAGGAACAAGACAAGGATGCCTGCTTTCACCACTTCTATTCAACATGGTATTAGATGTCCTAGCCAAAGAAATTAGGCAAGAAAAAAAAGATTCAAATTGGAAAAAGTAGTTATATTATCTATCTGTTCACAGGTAACTTTACCTTGTATGTAGAAAAACCTAAAGATGAAAAAAACCTGTAAGAATTAATAAATAAATTCAGTAATGTTGCCGGATACTAAATTAACATGCAACATCAGTTGTATTTCTATAAACTAATAATGAACACTCTGAAAGGAAATTAAGAAAAAATTTTCATTTCAAATTAACCTCAAAAGGAATAAAATATTTAGGAATAAGTTTAACCAAGGAGGTAACAGAATTGTATGCCGTAAACTACAAAACATTGCTGAAAGAAATTAAAGACAACACCAATAAATGGAAAAACACTTCATTTTATATGGATTGGAAGACTCAATATTGTTAGGAGGACAATATGCAAAGTGAGCTGCAGATTCAATGCAATTTCCACCAGAATTTTAGTGACATTTTTGGCAGAAATAGAAAAATCTATCCTAAAATTTATATGGAATCTCAGGACCCTAAATAACCAAGCAACCTTAAAAAGAAAGAACAAAGCTGGAAGTCTCACACTTCCTTATTTCAGCAAAGCCACAGTAATCAATACAGTGTGCTACTGGCATAAAGGAGGACATAGAAACCAATGGCATAGAATAGAGAGCTCAGAAAGAAATGCTTGCATATATAGCCAAATGATTATCAACAAGTGTGCCAGGACCATTCAATGGGGAAAGGACAGTCTTTTCAAAAAATAATATTGGGAAAGCTGGATATCCATGGACAAAAATGAATTGAACCTTTACCTAACACTGTATACAAAAATTAATCCACAATGGATCAAGGACCTAAATGGAAGACTGAAAACTACCAAACTCTTAGAAGAAAACAAAGAAAAGAAGCTTCATGACATTGGATTTCACAATGATATATTGGTTATAACAACAGAAACATAGGCAACAAAAGAAAATGCATAAATTGTACTTCATAAAAGCTAAAATCTTTCAAATTTCTTTTTTTTTTTTCCGAGACAGAGTCTCGCTCTGTCGCCAGGTTGGAGTGCAATGGTGCGATCTCCGCTCACTGCAAGCTCCGCCTCCTGGGTTCATGCCATTCTCCTGCCTCAGCCTCCCAAGTAGCTGGGACTACAGGCGCCCTCCACCAAAGCCCGGCTAATTTTTTTTGTATTTTTAGTAGAGACGGGGTTTCACCGTGTTAGCCAGGATGGTCTTGATCTCCTGACCTCGTGATCCACCCACCTCGGCCTCCCAAAGTGCTGGGATTACAGGCGTGAGCCACCGCACCCGGCCAAAACTTTCGAATTTCAAAAAACATTATTGAGAAAAGTGAAAAGGCAACCTATGAAATGGGAAAAATATTTGCAAATTATATATCTGATAAGGGATTAATTTCCAGAATATATGAAGAACTATTACAAATCAACAACAGCACAAATCCAAAAAAAAAATTAAAAAATGAATAAAGGACTAAAATAGAGATTTCTCCAAGGAAGATATACAAATAACCAATAAGCACATGTAGAGATGCTCGACATCACTAATACTTAGAGATATGCAAATCAAAACCACAAGTATACTCCACCTCACACACTTTAGGATAGCTTTGATAAAAACAACAACAGCACAAAGCAAAAAGTATCTTCAAGTAAGTGGAAAAATTGGAGCTGTAGTGCATTGCTGATGGAAATGGGAAATGCTATAGCTGCTGTGGAAAATGGTATGGCTATTTCCCAAAAAATTAAACAAAGAATTACCATTTGATCCAGCAATCCCACTTCTGGACATACACCCAAAACAATGGAAAGAAATCTGATTAGATATTTATGCACTGCCATTCACAACAGCATTACTCACAATAGCCAAAATGGTGGAAACAACTGAAAAGTTTATTGAAAGATAAGTGGATAGAAAAATGAGGTGTATCCACACATTGCAATGTTATTCAATCTTAACAAGGAATAAAATTCCAATACAAGGTGCAAAATGAATGAACCTTGAAGACATGATGCTAAGTGAAAAAAGCCAGACACCAAAGGACAACTATTATATAATCCCATTTATGTAAGATAGTTAGAATAGTCAATCACTCAGACACAGAAAGTAGAATGGTGAGTAGTAAGGGTTGTGGGGGAAGGAGTGAGAGTTATCATGTATTGAGTACAGAGGTTTAGTATGGTAAGATGAAAAAGTTCTGGAAATGGATAGTGATAACGGTTACACAACACTAAATTGCACGCTTAGAAATAGTTAACGGTAAGACTTATTTTATATATATATATATATATATATATATATATATATATATATATATATATATATATATATATATATATATATATATATATATATATATATATATATATATATATATATATATATATATATATATATATATATATATATATATATATATATATATATATATATATATATATATATATATATATATATATATATATATATATATATATATATATATATATATATATATATATATATATATATATATATATATATATATATATATATATATATATATATATATATATATATATATATATATATATATATATATATATATATATATATATATATATATATATATATATATATATATATATATATATATATATATATATATATATATATATATATATATATATATATATATATATATATATATATATATATATATATATATATATATATATATATATATATATATATATATATATATATATATATATATATATATATATATATGGTGCCTGGTAGCCTTACCCTCTCTACAAATACACACTTTTTGACACTGCCCCTTCCCTGCCCCCAAGGGTTAATCTCCAAATGTTTCCATTGCATATCACTCACTGTCCTCTGTGCTGTGTCCCATGTGCTGTGCCCACAGCCTCATACAGCCAGTGACTTCAGAGCCAGGACACAGCTCAGGAGTCTGCCCTGAGGCTCCCTCTCTTCCCATTTCCCTGCAGCCTAACCTGGGGGAGGCTTTGCTTCTGCTGGCAGCTAGATTTAGCCAGATTCGGGACAGGCCACCCAGGCACCTTTTCCACCACCCTGTTCTCACACCAGGTGGAGTCAGGGCAGGGCCAGTCACCAAGTGAGCCTGAAGCAGAGCAGAGAGCAGAGTCTGAGCTGCTTCTTCCTCATCCAAGGGGCGTCCTCCTCTCATTTGGGAAAAAGTGTGAGCTTGTTTCAAAGCTTCAGATGTTCCTTGTAGCTCAAGGAGTAGGTAAAAGAAAACAAAGAGGTAACAGAAAAAAAAATGTGTTGGTAATAGAGAGAAGCAACGTGGCCTTGAGAATCCTCCTCCTTCCCCCTCAGTGAAGTGCTCTGGGGCTGACAAAGCCCCCTCGACATATTTCTCAGGCTGGACCCAAGGGCAGCCATGAGAAAGAAAAACAAGGGGCAGGGAGTCATATAGATGCATCGGGAGGGTCCAAGAGAAAAATTTGGGATTTCCTTTTGTCCATTGGACATTGACTGAGAATAAAATATTTTTCCTCACTGATCTCTAAAAGCCAGATAGACTCCACCCAAAAACATATTGCCAATGATGCAGAGATCCACTTATCAGAGACTGTGATCCTCTTGACTGTGAACTTACTGAGGTCAGTGGCTGAGTTACGGACAAAACAAGCATAGACCCCGCTATTCTTTGCAGTGATTTTGGGGATAAAGAGCTCTTGTGTGTATTGCTGGAGCTTTTCATTGATAAGCCAAGAATACTCCTGGTCTGTAGAAAGGCCACAGTGTCCCTCTGAGCCAAAGAAGAAGAATCCTTAAGTCCCAACCAAACTCCTGCTGTGTCCACTGAGCTGGAGTCTGAGACATCCACCTGTTTCCCCATCACAAACTGGGGACCTCAAGTCTCCTGTGACAGGAGCATCCCATTCCTCTCTTATTCTTGGTTAAGGCTGGGCCTACCAAAATTTGCCTGGGGCAGGCAGTCATGGACAGCTTTGATATCCAGGGCTGAGAGTCTCTGTTCTTGGACCTGAGAAGGACTGAGAGGCCTGGATTCTGGCCATGTCAATTTGGGTTGGCAGCCTGGGCTACAGAGGACATCCAGGGTGACAGGGTAACTGTGACTGACACTCACTCGATTCCAGATTTCACACTTATAGGGTCCTGTGTAATTCCTTGTGACATTGAGTACAGTGAGGGTCCTGTTGTTATTGGACAGCTGCAGCCTGGAACTGGCCGGGAGGCTCTGACCATTTACCCACCACAGGTAGGTTGTGCCCTGGGTCTCAGGTTCACAAGTTAAGGCCACAGCATCCTTGTCCTCCATGGGGTTGGAGTTGTTGCTGGTGACGGAGGGCTTGGACAGCTCTGCTGTGCAGATAACAGAAGATTGCCCTGCGTGGCACCTTTGATTCCCCCATGGGCATCTTTCAATCAGAGTTGGCATCTCCCACCTCTCAGCCCACCCAACTCTTTAAAAACCCATGGCAGGTGTGTGTGTCACAAGACAGATGCATGATGATCTGAGGGCTCAGAGACCATGAGTCTGCCTGCTCTGTCTTAGAGAAGCACAGGCTTTCTCAAGTATAAATTGAGCAGCAGCACTGGGTCATGGATAAACACAAAAGCAGAAGTCACCGCTCCTGGTGCCTCTCCTGGTCCCTCCCTGACTTGCTGCCTGCCTGGCCCACCTTGGTATCCACACCTGGAATGTGCAGGTGCTGTGCTCCTTCCAGCTTCACAGTCCTACTTTGCCCCCCACCCCCACCCACCACCACCCAGTTGTTTTCTCTGTGGCTTCCCTTTCCAAGAGCATCTTAGAGATGGGTGACAATGGGACTTTTCACTGTCCTTAGCCTGGGACTGGATGTTTTAGTAGAATTAACACAGAAGAGACCAGGGGCAAGCCTGGAGGCCAATTCAGTCATCAGGCAGTGGAGCCACTAGGTGGAACAATTTTCACCAAATATTTCATGGTGAATGACTTGAACCAGTGACCTCTGAAGATAGAGCAGAGTCTAAAGAATGATCTAGAAAGAGTGAAGAGGACAAGCAAAAGCTGGTGGCTTTGGAGCAGAAACATATTCCCCCTCCTGGGTTTTTGATGTTCCCTCTCCCTTTGCAGAGGGCAGGTGAGGACCATGTGGATCTTTCTAGAAATACATGTGGATGTTTGCAAATGCAGAACTGACTGGTGGAGACAGGGAACATGAACTGTTGGAAATCTGGTCCTCATGGACCATGTGTGTTTGATGGAATATGAGACAGAAATTTGGGAGGAAGTTTTGCAAATATTTTCTCCTGTTGGACATTCTACACTCAGATTTCATGAGTTTGACTACTCTAGGGACCTCATATAAGTGGATTCCAGAGTGAATCAGAGAGTAGAATGGTGGGTGCCAGGAGCTGGGACTGAAGTGAATAGGGAGTTTTTCAATGGATATGCAGTTTTAGTTATGCAAGATGAGGAGGTTCTAGAGATCTGCTGTACAGCTTGGTTCCTACAGTTCATTAAGACTGAGTAGTTCTTATGCATAAGGCTTAAGACCAAATGTGTTTCGGGTTTCTAACTTTTTTAGATTTGTGAATATTTGTAGTATGCTTACTGGTTTAGCATCCTGAATCTGAACATTTTAAAATTCAAAGTGTTCCAGTGAGAATTTCTTTGGAGCATTACATCAGCAGCTGATAAATGTTGAATTTTGGAGTATTGCAGATTTTGGATTTTTGAATTTGGGGAGCTCCATGTGTAATACTGTAATCTGCCCTTAAAATTTTGTCCGGAGTTTAGAACTCATGTTATGTTCTGACTATAGTAACAAAAAAAAATTGGAGGAAACATTAAATTTTTTCCATAAGTAGAAATTGTTATTAATAGTGCAAATATCTAAGTTCGATTGATGGAAGTAGTATTTCTCTAGATACCAAAATAAGGTTAAGGTGTGCTGTGAATTCCAGCAGGATGGCATTATGCTCAAAGGAAGATGCTGAAGGTGGTTTGAAATTAGCAACTCCCTGAATAGAGAGAGGCTCATGGTTCCTGTTAGGAGGACAGTACCAGTCAAAGAAGAAGTCTTATGTGTGTCAATTACAATACATAAAGGGAGGAAAGATGCCGAATTAGGAGAAGCAATGTGTGTTATATTAGCAAATTTAGAAAGACCTCCCTATCCCTAATTCCTGTGCAGACTTAGGAAAAATGGGGAAGAGCCTGAAACAGGCATGTGAAATGCTTTCCTCATTTTCCCTAGACCTCAGGAAACACAACTAGAGTTTAAGTTCGTTTAAACTGGGCAGAGTCTAAGTAAGATGCCAGTGGCTTGTGCATCTCCCCACCTGAAAGACCCCACCTTATGGCAATGGCATCACGATGAGGACACAGATGTGTGTGAAACAGGCAGTAAGCCCATCAGATAGCACCCACCTGGCCACCTCTGCCTGGTCCCAGTATTCCCATTATGTGTATGTTACAGCCTTTGTAGTTGTCCCACAACTACAAAACATAAAATATGCTATTGTCAATACAAAATATTCAGTATGAACTTGAATATGTTCTTCCACTTTTTTGTCACTCTTTTTAAACTTTACTGTTTCAGTTTTTGAAGTTTCTATTAACACACCATAAAGCTAAAGATCTTTTCCTCAGCTGTGTTAAGCCTACCAGTATACACACTTTCAAAAGCTTATCAAGGGCATTTTTCATTTCTCTTACAGTGTTTTTTATCTCTAGCACTTCTCTTGGTTCTTTCTTAGAATATCCATCTCTCTACTTATGTCACCCATCTGTTTCTGCATAGTGTCTAATGTTGCCTCTTAGTCTGCCTTGTATGGTTTTTTTGCAAATCAGACATGATGTACTGGGTAAAAGAAACTTGGGTGAGCAGGCATTCAGTGATGCTGTGGTGAGTGAGGCATTCAGTGATGCCATGGAGGGAAGGGTTCTGTGGTATTGCATTAGAGCTGTGTCCTGGGCTGTGAATGCTGTAAGTGCCTCTCAGTTTTTTCTTTCCCTTAGGTGGGACATGATGGCTACAGGGGGCTAGAGTTGGCTATTTCCCCTTCCCCAGGGCATTTAAGGCTCCTATCAAACCCCAGCTGATTAGACTCTGGTAAAATAGTTTCTCTTAAAGGCAGGTCTTGCCCAGAATAGAATTCACTGGCATCTTTCAAAGTGGTTTCTTTTCCCCTTCCCCTGCAGGAAGGATGAGCTGATTTTTACTGGGTATTACTATAGGAACCTGGTAGTGCTCCAGAAGCTAAGAGTCACAAACATGTCCCCCTACCCCCAGAAGTAATCCATTCCCCTGAGTGTTTAACTCTGGATCTTGTTCACACTGACCCTCCAGCAATTCATTAGTGACAGTTCAGGTTTTTCTGACCCCAGTACTGGTTCCCACTGAGGTTTCTGTGCCAGGGGTTTCTGCTCAGGTAAAGTGTGTTGTCTGTCTTTGCCTGTTGGTCTCTTCAATATATGGGTCAGTTAGCATTGAGACCTCACTTCTCTGTGGGATCTAAAAGAGTTGTTGATTTTTGAGTTTGTTCAGCTTTTTACTTGTTGTTAGAACTGAGTGACAAATTTCAAGCTTGCTATAGGCCTGACAGGAAACCAGAAGTCTCTAGGAAATGACTGGAGGATGTGAGCCTCACAGCTAGCAGGATGAGGATGGAGTCATAAGTGAAATGGATGAAAGGAGCCCGTGGGCTTTGGGGACTGCAGACCTGTACCCCTGCCTCTGACCCCCCTGCTGAGTCAATGTAGAGAGTGAAATCACCTTTGCAAAGATTAGGACAGTGGGAGCAAGCTAGCATGGCTGACTCCATCTGGCCTCTATCCTGACTGGATGTGTTTGCTCATTCCTGGAAATAAGCCAGGCTAACACTGGAAGGAATTTAGTTTATAGGTTAACATTGAAGCAAGGATGATAATAGTCCCTTTCTAAAACTAACTCCCTCCTTGCTCAGGGACTGGCTTTCTAAAACTAATGAAAGACCATGAGATTAGGATTACAGGAGCAGCCCAAATTCTGCTAAACTGTAGGCAGTTTCTGCAATCCCTTACTGCTCAGGACTCATGTGTACAGAGGTCACAAGATTTGTGACTCCCCTAATTGCTCCTATAGAAAACATCACTATCGTAGAAACTGAGATTTATCTTTTGAGATGTTTCTCAGACTTTTGCATCCTGGAAACCAGCTGACCTCATCCAGACCCATGACTAATGGCTCAACCAGTCATGTGGCCTCCACTCAGAGGTGGATTCAGAAAATACAGGCCATTTTCCCCATCCTCATGATTTCATACCTGAGCAATCAGCAGTACCCATTCCTTAGACCTCTGCCACTGAAACTATGCTTGAAAAACTATAACCTCTGAGCAACTGGGGAGGCTGATTTGAGTCATAATAACCTCTGTCCTCCTGCTTGGCAAACAGAGTAATTAAAATCTTCCTTTTCTACAAATCACCATCTCAATAAATTGGTTTTGTCTGTGCAGTCGGGCAAGAAGAACTTGTCAGGTGATTATAAGAGTCGATAGAGGAGCTGTTCATCCCTGTCTAGTGGCCTGTTCCACATGTTGGCCTCATAAACGGAAAGAGCCCTGGATGGGGACTCAATGGAAGCTCATTCTCCTGGTGACCTGGGGACACTGGTTCATGATGGAGCCTAGCAGGGCCTGCAGATCCAGCTGAATTTATGTGCCTTTCCTATTTCCTGGGAGCTGAGCCAGGCCACGGTGTAAGCAGGAAGGGAAACAGAACAATCAGCCTTTTTAGAGGGAATGTCGGGGGGAGTCCCAAGGGTAGAGGAGGCTGTGCAGGACAGGGCATGGCAGCTAAAATTAAGGAGAAAGAAGATGAGAGACACAGAGGAGCAGAGAGAGCCAGAAACACCCATGTCAGTGAGCAGTGGGGGTTACAATGACCTTAGTGACTCCAGGGACCAGGTGCACCTAGTGCTCCAGACCAGGACCAGGGAGCCCTGAAAACCCTCCCATGGCCAAGGAACTCCAGAGTCACAGGAGGTGGGATGGCTTTAGGGGCAGGGGTTCAGAGGGATGGAACATGGGTCTCAGCCCCTGAGAAACAGGGAATGGGTACGGCCAGCAATTTCTATTATATTAGGATTCTGCATCCAGGATCCAGTCTCTAAAGAGGTTATGGATACTTCATTCAATCCCTCTATCCTTCATACAAGAACTAGAGTGTGTGTCTCACGTTGGGCCTGTGCTGGCACAGGGTGTGAATGGGGAGAGAAAGCAAAGTCTTCTCCTTTAGCCTCCCATGAGAGTGACACTGACACTCTGAAAAACACAGGATTTCAGGTGCAGTAAGGGAGATTAGGATCTGAGGAGGAAGTCTGGACATTCCTCGCACTGACTCTGATAGCTGAAGCAGGTGATTTAGTTCTGGAGTACAGACTAATCGGTTGTCCATTTACTCTCACTCCTCTGAGGTTTGGATGCCAAAGAAGAAAGGATGTGAGCCAATGGATGACGGTGGGGGTTCCTGGAAACCAATAAGCCCCCACTTCTGCTGGAGGAGAGGGTCATGTGACTCTGATCTGCCCCTCATGTTTGTGTGACTCTGGTTCGGTGACTGTGTCTCCCTGTGGCTTAGTTTTCTCTCAGTCAAATAAGCTAAATGGCAAGTGGTGTATGGCTTGCTATGTTGTTGGTGAATGAACTTTAAATCATTCACAGTCATCTGACCTAATGCTTGGCACAGAAGAAGTGTTCATACAAACAGCATTTGTTATTATTTGCCTCCATGAGAGGCTACCCATAGGCCTGATCCCTGTGAACAAGGGATGCTAGGAACATCTTCTCTCTTCTGTTTCTGTCCCTGGGGACACTGAACTTTCTATGGAGTCTACTAAGCTTCCCAGGGCAGCTGGCTGATGGACTAAGAAGCTTGTCCCTCTGTCCTCTGTACTCTGAGTCTCAGGTGGAGAAGGCTCTGTCCTTGCCCAGATGAGGCTCTGGAGCTAAACCATAGCTGGTAAGCAGCTCTAGGAGCCACAGCCTGTGGACAGCTGGTAAATATTTGCTTCCAGTAAGCCTTGCCCAGGAAGCTACAACCCAGGCCTGGCACAGGCTCCCCAGGGTCACGTGGAGTCAGGATCCTGAGACACAAGTCTGGAGCTGGGGCCTTCAGGGCTGAGCTTCTCTAAGAGAATCCCAGGGTGTCCCTCAGGCCAGGCCTTGGCCCAGCTCCAGGGTCTTTCTCAGAGTCAGGTCCATGGGGGAGGCATGAGGTGCTTGGCTGAGACTGATCTCCGGCTGAGTCCCCACATCAGACTGTCCTTTCTGTACAGTGAATGTCTCCAGGATCTGGATGCAGGAAAGGAATTCTGATCTGCTGAAGTCTGTCTCCCCTCTGTGTGTCCTGCACTAATGTCCAAACCCTAAAATGAGACATAATGCAGAGGGAAATAAGGCACAGCTCAGGCCTGACAATCCTGTGTGTGTGAGGTAGAACTGAACCCCAACACCCAGAGGACATAAGGAATCACTCACGGCGTAAGCTGAATTGTATGGTTATTTCTTCATTCATAAGATTTAGCTTTATAACTTCAAGGGTGTAGAATCCTGTGTCATTTTGGGTCACGTTATGGATCAGCAGGCATGCATAGAAGTTTATCGTCTCCTGATCACTGTATGCAGGCCCTGGGGTAGTTACTTAAGTGTCGATTACATATCCTATAATTTGGTGGTTGGCAGCCACTTGGTCCCCTTTGTACCAGTTGTAGCCAAGACAATCCTGGGGCAGATGATAAACAAGTAGAACAACTTCCTGCCCCTCTGCAGCATCAGACAGCAGGGCTTCAACAGTGACATGGGCAGTGGTAGGCAGGTTTCAGAAAATTCAAAGTAAGGCTAGGAAGGGGAGAGAGCATCAGACAATTTGGGGACCTATCTATTGGTATCAAAAGATGGGACCCTGGGTGTTGAGAAGGTCTCTTCAACCCTCCACCTTAGAGTGTGTGTGTATCCTACTGGGTCAAGGTCAGAAGCATGACCCTGATTTTTTCAACACCTCTGACCTTGGCATTTCCCTGTGTGGAATCCTCTTCCCCAGGAGTCTGCATGGCTCCCTCCCCACTGCCCTCAGGTCCTGCTCACATCAGGATGTCCTTGGGAGACTTCTTCCCTGAAGCCTCTTCTAGAGACCCTGGGTCTTCCCTTTCTGACCTTTCCCTGCTCTGCTCCCTCCAGAGCTCTTGTCAACACCTAACCTCACATTCTAGATCTCTTTGTATGTCTGTCTTCCTCCCCAGGAGAGTGTGAGCTCTGTGAGGACAGGGGCTTGTGTGATCTTGGTTGCATCCCAGTGCCTGGGACAGTCTGTAGACTCCTGTGGATGAGTTCATGAGCGTTCCCAGTGCTATACACATCCCGGGGTTTACGCTCCAATTTCTGGGGTTGGTGGCTGAGGACAATGTTTCATGCCCTGGTTATGTTTTTATGTGAAGTGTCATCTGACATAGTTATTAATATCATTTTTCAAAATATAGTGGCCAGTGAAGATTAACCAGGAAAATAAAACACTTGAGATTTTCCTGCTTCTTACCTATTCCAGATCAATGTGATTTTTTTTGTTTTGACCCCTGTCCCTCTTCTGTATCTTCTTACCTATTCAGACTCCAACAGAAGCCCTCTGTCCCCTCTCAGAGCCCCATCCTTCCAGGAGACCCCAGCCAGTCACTGTGCTTCCTCCTCCCGTCCTCTCCCAGGAAGGCCTTCCTTCACCTACCTGTGAGCAGGAGCCTCTGCCAGGAAACATGCCATCTGCAGGGAGGAGCTGAGGAAATCACCATGGTCTCTGCTGCCTGCTTGTCCTCCTTTGTGGAGATGAGCATGGGATCCAGAAACTTTCTGAACACAGCTGTCAGCTGTGCTGTTTTCCTTCTTCTGCACTGAGCCTCTTCCCAGGGCAGGAGCATTTCTCAGGCTCATGGGCGGGGTCTGTGCCCAGGACACCTCCCTGTCCCCTCCCCTCTCAGTCCTGCCCCCTTTTTCCTCCCTCCCCTTCCCCTTCTGTCTGTGTTTCAAGCCTCTCAGAATTGCTGAGTCCTCTGCCTCTTTCACCAGTGATTCTCTCACCCAACCTCTACACACATTATGTGCAGACACACACACACACACAAAGACACACACACACACACACAGAGACACAGACACTCACAGTCACACACACTTTGTAGGCTGGGTGAGCCCAGCCCTGGACCCTCAGCATTCAGCCATTTTCATGGCTCCAAGTTGGGGTGCACAGTCACTCCCCCTGCCCTCTCCCATCCCCATCTGTCTCTTCCCTTCAGAGCAGGAGGACAGGCTGCACCAGGACCCTGTCACGAGGACACCCCTACTGTGCTTTGGGTGAGCTGAGTGCTGGCTAGCGAGAAGGACCCTCCCTTTCTCTAATTGTGTCAAGCTTCCTGCAGCTTCCAAGGATAAACTTTCAGGACCCTAGTGTTCCAGAGGGAACTGTCCTTCCTGGAGGTGTACAGGGTTAATCTCTTATGTCTCCTGGGAGGAGAGGCCTGTGCTGGTTATTCACTGGGGGCTGTGAACCTCGTGGTCACCAGGGACAAGTCTCAGCCACTCTCTTGCTCCCTGGAGTCTGGTGGCTGAGCTGGGGTTCAGGCTCCTCCATGTCCTCCCTGACCATCTTGGGTGTCCTCTGTCCTCTGCATGGCTGATTGTCCTGTGGTCACCCCACCTTCCCCATGGCTGGCAGAGCAAGGAGTGGGGAGCTGCCCAGGGACCCTGTAGGACACAGCTCTCTGAGACCTAGGAGAGGTAGCTTGGGACATAGCAGGGGCTCTGAGCTGGAGACACTAGTCCCGACTTACTCTGAAGCCAGGATGTGCTCAGCCCTTTTCATGTTGACATCTCCTGGGGTCTGTCCTGAGGATTTGGACCTGGTCAAGCCCCTTTGTGTAGAGGAAGCACAGGTAGTGGTCAGATAGCCCATCTGGGAGGACGGTGCTCACACCTAAGAGGGCGGGTGAAGGTGGGTTGTGTTCTAACCCAGGGAGCTCATGCTTACTCCCCACCCCATACACACCGGAGAGCTCTGTCCTCCCTCCTGACTTCATGAGGGACAGCAGGGGACAGGTGGACAAATCCCAGATGGTGCCTGTGTGTGACCGTCACATGTGCTCTGAGCCTCCTAGGGTGCAGAGGGCAGGTTACAGGGTGTCTGGTTGATTCCCATTGGTACTGTGGGCACTCAGGCAGATGCTGTTCTGGAAGCCTGGAATGCCCCAGAGAACAGGAAAGATGGAGCAGGGGCAGGCATTTAGGGAGCAGTCACAGAAGGAGTTGATGAGGATGGAAGGAGGTCACGATGGGAAAGTGCCCAGTGTGGCATCACATGCACCAGCACTGCCCCAGGAAAAATGGGGTGTGGGGGCAGGAGCTGCCTGCAGAGAGAGTGGCCTCAGGTGGGTGGCCGCTGGGCTGCAGGGAAAAGCTGACAGACTTGGGTGGGGAGCTTGGAGGAGCAAGGAGGACATGGGCCAAGTGACCCTGGTGAGGGCGGACCCTGCTGGCCTGTGGGCCCTGCCAAGGGAGGTCAGCAGTCTCTAGGGAGGTTCCAGGCTGGGAGGGACCCTGCTGACTTCTGTTGGAAGATGAGGGAAATGTGGACGGCAGCAGCCACAGGCTAGGCTGTGTTTTATTCCACATGGATCTGCACATTTCACACAAAGTCACACGTCTGTTATGTCAGAGCTCCATCACGTTCCAGCCCCGTTCCATCACGTTCCAGTTTCAGTCTCTGTGGCTGCAAGTACGCTGTCCTCCCTCTTTCACAATCAGACGTCCCAAACACAAATTGTCATCACCTTCTGTGAGTTTGTAGTTTGTGTGCAATGGGCTGCACTGTGCATGCCCTGCAGGCAGTGATGTCTGCGACTGAGCACTGGGTGGGGGTTTGGGAGCAGAAGAGGGAGGTACAGGGTGGGAAGATCAGTGTCAGGGGAGGAGAGAGGGAGCAGGGAAAAGTTATCTTTATTTCTCACTTCCCTGGGTAAGAACCCAGGACCCTGACTCTGGGGCACAGCACCATACCCTGTTGGTGTCCCTGGGTCTTGTTTATGTTGTCTTGGCATCCATTTTTTAAGGTGTAAATTTAACTGCGTCACATCAGAGTGATTCCCATGTTTGTCACCATCACAGAGTTTCCACTGCTGTACCCGGTCCAAATGGCTCCAGTCGGTGGCCACAGATAAAATCTTAGAGGCATCTCTCTTGCATAGTGTGCTGGGCTCCCCTCTCGCCAGCTGCTTCCTTTAAACTGAAACAGTTGTGACATTCGCCCTCCAATTTAAAGTGACCACCTCTCAGTCACAGTGTGATCTTCTTGCCCCAGTGTTTGCCTGCTTTAAACACACCCATTAAAGCTCCCTTCTGGAAACCTGTCAATAACACCCTAGACCCAATAAAGCCATTGGCCTACAGTTCCCTTCTCTCCTCCCTGCCTGGGCTCTCTGACCCCAGTGTCTGTGGTCTCCAGGTGTGCCCTGTGCTTTCCAGTATCTATAAGTAGTTAAAAACTCTTACACTTTCACATTGTGGTTGTGTCACTGGAGCCTCACCTGCCATCCAGGCTCTGACACTGAGGCTGCCGCATGGGACCCATGCAGGCTGAGCCCCTGCTGGAGCTCTTTTCATGGGGCCTCTGATGCTGCTGGGGACAGGAGCTGCCAGCTAAGTTGATGGAGAAACTGAAGAGTTTGATTCAAAATAGTGAGTCAGATGATGTATTCCTGGGCTTGGGCTGCTATTAAAAACACCGTAGCCTTGGTGACTTAAACAATAAAAATCTATACCTCACAGTTCGGGAAGCTGGGTAGTCCAAGGTTGAGGTGTCAGCTGATTTGGTCCTGGTGAGGGCTTTCTTGCAGATGCTGCTTTCTTGCTGTATCTGCACATGGTGGAGGGTTGGGAGGGGGTGGAGGGACAGAAAAAAGGAGAGAGAGAGATCATTTTCCTGTGTCTTCCACTTTTTATAGGGGCATTAATTCCATCATGAAGCTCCTACCTTTATGACTGACTCTTATTCTAATTATCTCCCAAAGGCCCCACCTCCAAATTTTTTTTTTTTTTTTGAGATGGAATCTCACTGTGTCACCCAGGCTGGAGCGTAGTAGCGTAATCTCGGCTCACTGCAACATCAGCCTCCCAGGTTCAAGCATTTCTCCTGCCTCAGCCTCCCAAGTAGCTGGAATTACAGGCACCCGCCACCACACTCAGCTAATTTTTGTATTTTTAGTAGAGATGGGGTTTTGCCATGTTGGCCAGGCTGGTCTTGAACTCCTGACCTCAGGTGATCTGCCTGCCTCGACCTCCCAAAGTGCTGGGATTACAGGCGTGAGCCACCATGCCTGGCACCACCTCCACCACCTTCACATTAAAAATGAAACCTTCAAAATTTGGGAGTGTACACATTCAGTTCCTAGCAGGGGAGGTGGGAGTTGCTTCTCCTCCTGTTCACACCACCTGGCCTTCCCTGCTGAGATAGCCTCACAAAGGCTCACACTGGGCTATAGCCCCACAGAGCCTGTCTCCTCCTCTCCTCTCCTCTCCTGCCCATTCCTTCCTGTGCCACCTTCTCCTGTGGCCCCACCTGCTCCTGTTCCAGGCAGCTGTCCCTAGGTCCCTACCCCATTCACCATGTCTCCTCTCACTGCCCTCTGCCATTTCTGCTGAGCCCTGAGCCCCAGGGCGCAGATGTTATGGGCACTATCCAAGTTGCTTTTCTTTCTGGACAGCTTGACAGTGAGAAACCTTGATGTGTTACCAAGGAGGAGGTCCTTGGAAAAAGCTGCTTTTCAGAGGTTCCTGGATCATGGCAGGAGTGGGAGTGGGGCTGGGAACTTAAGACTAGGCTAGACCTGTGAACAACAGGGACCCTGCTCTGCGTTAGCAACCAGCTCCTCCAACTCTATGTTTCTCTCTGTAGATGATTCTCATGCATGATTCCTAATCCCTTGCTAGAGTCCCCCTAAAAATGCCTGATGACCAGAGCTGTGTGTGGAGATGTAATGGGTGTTGCCCGTGTACTCACACAGAGTGTCCAGGTGACAGGCTTCATGACCTCCCCTCCCCAAACCTAGCCATTCCAAGTGCCAGGTTACCTCCATTCTGATCTCTAGCACTACAGATAGGTTTTGCCTCTTGGGAACTTTATAGAGGTGGAATCAGTCTTCATTTTCCCCTCTGCACTGGCTCTTCTCTTGCAACTCTTTGTGTGAGATCATCCATGATTTATGCAGCAGGAATCCATTTATTTTTCATGTTGTAAATATCCGTTAGTTTGAATGCACCACAGTTTTATCCCCTGTAGTGTTACACATTCAAACTGCAACACTATTTGTGTCTTCTGAATCATGTTAATGTGGACATATCTACACATGTATTTTGGTGGTCTCATTTATTTCCTTGGGTGTAGAGACCATTGTATATGCTGGGACATCTTCTAAGATAGCTACAAATTATAGATTCTCTTGTTAGAGAGCTGAACACATCTAAATTCCCACCAGCAACATCTCTCTGTAGAGTTGTTCCAACTCTTGGGATTGTCAGCCCATTGAATTTTAGCCTTTCTTCTGTGGTTGGGATGAGATTTCAAAATGGTTTTAATATGCTTTTCCTAAGTAAACAATAGTGCAAATGCATCTTTTCATGTACTCACAGGCCATTACACATGTTCTACCATCTGGTGCCTCTTAAGAGTTTTCCGCCATTTAAAAACATTGTGTTATCAATCTTCCTCTTACTGTTTCTGTTGGATTTTCATATGTACCTTGGCTATGGCTTCTTTGTTGTATAGTAGATACACAGATCTGTCTCTGTATGTCTTGTGTATGTAGAAGAAACGAAGAAAATTAGGAGCCTTTTGAAGAATATTCTCAATAATTTTATTGTGAAAAGATTATCGGCTGGGCACGGCGGCTCATGCCTGTAATCCCAGCACTTTGGGAGGCCGAGGCGGGTGAATCACGAGGTCAGGAGATCGAGACCATCCTGGCTAATACAGTGAAACCCTGTCTCTGCTAAAAATACAAAAAACAGTAGCTGGGCATGGTAGCGGGCACCTGTAGTCCCAGCTACTCAGGAGGCTGAGGCAGGAGAATGGTGTGAACCTGGGAGGCAGAGCTTGCAGTGAGCCGAGATCACACCACTGCACTCCAGACTGGGTGACAGAGCAAGACTCCATCTCAAAAAAAAAAAAGATTAGCATGTGGTGTGAATTACAGATGTAGATTTATTTTTTTCCACTGTAGAAATATTCATCATCATCCCAAAGTCATCTGCTTTTTCTGAGTATCCACATGTATGTATGTGTGTTTGTGTATGTTTGTGAATATTTAAAATATTAAGTAAAATTTCAAGATTGGGGCCGGGTATGGTGGCTCACACCTGTAATCTCAGGACTTTCAAAGGCCAAGGAAGAACTTGAGCCTAAGAGGTCCAGACAAGCCTGGGCAGTATGATGAATCCCTGTCTCTACTAAAAATAGAAAAAAATAGCCAGCCATGGTGGCATGCACCTGTGGTCCCAGCTCCTTATGAGGCTGAGGTGGTAGGATCACTTGAGCCTGGGAGG
Organism: Homo sapiens; assembly: GCF_000001405.40. Lineage (NCBI taxonomy): Eukaryota > Metazoa > Chordata > Mammalia > Primates > Hominidae > Homo > Homo sapiens. Next base: position 42,648,402 of record NC_000019.10, on the reverse strand, counting down.
TTGAGGTTGCAGTGATCCATGATTGCACCACTACACTCCAACTGGAGAAACAGGAATGAGGCCCTGTCACACACACAAAAGAAATTTTTTTAAACATAGTTATAGGACAGGTCAGAATTTCCATTTATTCCTGTGCTACTTTTTATTATACCTAATTTTCTAGGAACTTGTCAATTTTGTTTAAATTATCAATTAACTTAGTGTTGTGAAATTTTGAAAAGAAACTTTCAACTTCTGCCGCAGATGAGATTACATCCACTCTCTCTCACTGCTAAATCTGTTTCTTTTTTCTTTCTTTATTGTTTTGTTAATGAATTAGTCCAGAAGTTTAAATAACTTATCTTTTTCAACAACATTATTTTTGGGTCTATTCATGTTCTTGTTTTTTTTTAATTTGTCTTCTAGCTTATTGTTTTCTACTTTTAGGTTTCTTATAAGTTTTATTCTCCTTGCTTTGTTTTTCTCTCCCTTCTTAAGGTGAGGATTAACTCATCTTTAATCAATCTTTTCTAGTATAAGCCTTTTGGGTCATGAATTCCCTGGGGCTCCACTGTGGCTGCATCTTACGAGTTTTGGCAAATGAACTGTCAGTCAAGTACCAAGTATTTGAATGTTCATCACTGTGTCTTGATTGACATGTGCTTTTAAAATCTCCAAATGCCTAATATTTAAAATTCATGTTTTAGAGAATAGTACCCACATTGCACAGTATACTAAATAGGTGATTGGGTAAAAATGATTCAATGCTATTAATATTTATATTAATATTAATATTTGCTAATATATGACTTAGTTCAGTCTTCATAAATGTTCCATGTGGACTTGAAGAGAACATCTATGGTGCAGGGCATATGGACGTAGTGTGCTATTCTTGCTGCCTGTTGATTGTGTGGTTCAAATGCATATTCTTGTAGAGATTATGAATTTTTGCTAGAGTACTGACAAAGTCTTTTAAGTGACTTATTGTGAACAACATGGACATTCACAGTGTTAGATGGATAACTGGTAACCATCTTGAACAGGACAACATATTACTGGACATGTTCCAAATGGATAAAAATTGAAGCCAAATCAAAGCCACTAAACCACCCCAAGGTGAAGAAAGACTTTCTCATTGTGTAGCCAAGAAAGAAATATTGATATACCTGAACCTTTCAAAAAGAGTGTTCATGTGGAAAAATTCTCTGTAAGAAAAGCAAATAATATCTTGCAATTATAATAAACAGATAATAAGCTCATATATAAAGAACACATAAAATTAATATAACCAAAATGTAGCAGAAAAGAGGGTAAATATATAATAGTTCACAGAAAAAAATGTTCATTCTCATTTTTTTCAGTGATAACTTTTATTTAACACTGTATTGGAGTTCCTACCCAAAAGCAGTAAGAAATAAATGACAAATAAGAGGTACAAAGGTCGGAAAAGTAGAAATAAAACTGTCATTATTTTCAGAGAATAGCATTGTTTATATAGAAAAATCCTAAAGACTAATAAAAAAGTAGAAATAAGAGAGTTTAGGGAGCTGAGTACTATAAGAATAGACTAAAATATATTAATTTCTGTATAGAAAAAACAGGCAGCTAGATAGTGTAAAGGGAATACAATAGTGTCAGAAAATATAAAATATTTAGGACTCAATCCAACCAAAGACCAAAATCACTGCAATCTCTTCAGACAAAATTATAACAATCAACAGACATTAAAGAAGGCCTAAATAGAGAAATATACCATACTCATGGATCCGAAAAAATAAGTATTCTAAAGATATCAATTCCATCCAAGTAGATCTTTTGAATAAATATAAGTAGTTTCACAGCATTGATTACAAAGTTCTTGAGACTGTAAACTTGTAAAACTTTTCTCTTTATTCTTCAACTTTTATTTTAGATTCAGAGGTTACATGTGCACACCTATCCCCTGGGTATACTGCATAATGCTGAGGTTAGGGGTATGAATAATCCTCTCACCCAGATATTGCGCATAGCACTCAACACTTAGTTTTTCATTTCTTACTCCCTTCCTTGCTTCTCCCCTCTAGTAGTTCCTAGCTTCTCTTTTTGCCATTTTTATGTCCCTCAATATCCAATATTTGTTCTCACTTACTAGGTTATGGTTTATGGTTTTCTCTTCCTTTGTTATTTGCTTAGGATAATGGCCTCCAGCTGCAAACATAGTACTGGGAAGGAAATGATTTTTTTTCTTTTTTTATGGCTGCCTAGTATTCCATGGAGCATAGGTATGGATTTCATCATCTAATCCACTGTTGATGGACAGCTGGGTTGATTTAATAGCTCTGAGACTTGTGAACAAAACACCCTCCTATACAGAAGAGAAACGGAAGTTGATGTCCTGGGACAGCAAATGTTAAAGTAAAATTCTGTGGCCTCAAATGTCCCCATATCCACATTTTTGATAACACAAAACATGGGAGCAAAACTCCACTCAGAGTATCCCTTAATGGTCACCAGAATGTTAACCATAATGAGTGACTGAGGCAAGTGTCTGAATCAATTGAGGTTTCTTAAGCCAGAGCTTGAGGGCACACCCTGGAAAAACACAAATCATAGAAACCCTCCATGTCTTAAGTTCTCTCTGAAAAAGGTTTTTAGGAGGCCTGGTATTTATACATCTCCTTAAAGGGGGCAAGGCAGGTAGGAAGGGACAAGTATAGTAAAGAATAATTGGTCTCATCTTGTCTTTCTTCTGTACTTAGAAAGATAAGCATTATCAGTGTGAAATCTAACAGGCTTTCATTTTAGAAGCTGGACTTAGATTGCACACCTAAAGTTACAATTGATGTGTCTTTGTTTTATGGATGGATATACATCTTGAAAGGCTTCAAGGTCACCAAAGGACAATTTGAGGACAGTCATCCAGAGATGCCTGAGGTCTTCTTGTAGGGGTCTGGCTATTGAACACTGCTTTCACACAAGATTGTAAATTAACAGTTGTTCACTGGGTAAAAAGATGGTAGCATTGCATGACTCAGTCTCCAGGCTGAACTATCCCTTTGGTGTAATGAGTTTGAAAGTCCTGAGATTTTTGTCTTCTCTTACATAATTTTAAAAGTTGTACTTCCTTAACGCTGTCTGACTGAGAGCAAAGGAATGGGTGCAGAAAGCATCACAGCTATCTCTCATTTAGAATCCCATTGACCTTCCCTTTTTCCTCCATTGGGTTACATTCCTGTCCATAGATCACTTATTTAGTTTGTTGTGTTCTTGGAAAAACAAATCTCAATTGAACTCCTTAAAGCCCTAAGCACTCAGTTCAGTTCAAGGTCATCTTAGTGATGGCCAGGTACAAATATTTTTTAAAAGCTCTACAAAAAAAATTTGATAAGAGTCTTCACAGCACCCACAACACATTTGGGGACCACTGGGCTACAAAAATGATGAGGAAGGAAGCTACTATGTGCTGGGAACCTTTATGTTTGCACCTCATCCAATGTTCACAATGACCCTTTCAGTAGGCACTATTATCCTTCTATCCAAAGACATCAATAAATTGTCCCTTATATCAGACCTGATAAAAATTGGAAACAAAACTCAGACTCACTTATTTCTGAATCTAAAACTTCTGCTTTTAGCAAAAGAAACTATCAACAGAATAAACAATGTACAGAATGGGAGAAACTATTTGCAAACTGCATCTGATAAAGGTCTAATATCTATCAGCTATGAGGAACTTACACAAATTAAAAAGAATAAAACAACCAGTAGAAAGTAGACAAAAGATATGAACAGACACTTCTCAAAAAAGACACACATGTGGCCAACAGCATATGAAAAAAAGCCCAATATCACTGATCAGTAGAGAAATGCACATCAAAACCACAATGAGATACAATCTCACACCAGTCAGAATGTCTATTATAAAAAATGCAAAAGATAACATGCTGTCAAGGTTGTGGAGAAAAGGGAACGTTTATACACTGTTGGTGGGAATTTCAACTAGTTCAACCACTGTGGGAAGCAGTGTGGCAATTCTTCAAATAGTTAAAAACAGAACTACCATTTGACCCAGCAATCTCATTACTTGGTATATACCCAGAGGAATATAAATTATTCTACCATAAAGACACATGCACACAAATGTTCACTGCAACACTATTCACAATAGAAAAGGTATGGAATCAACCTAAATGCCCAACAATGAAAGACTGTACTTTTATATGTGGTACATATACACCATGGAATACTATGCAGCCATAAAAAAGAATAAGATCATGTCCTTTGCAGGAACATGGATAGAGCTACAGGATATTAACCTTAGCAAACTAATGTGGGAAAAGAAGCCGAATAGTACATGCTCACTTATATGTCTGAGCTAAATGATGAGAATACATGAACACAAAGGGAAACAACAGACACTGGAGGCTACCAGAGGGTGGAGGGTGAAAGGAGGGAGAGGAGCAGAAAAAAATTACTATTGGTTACTAGGCTTAGTACCTGAGTGATGAAATAATCTGTATATCAAATCCCTGTGACATGGGTTTACCTACATAACAAACCTGCACATGTAACCCTGAACCTAAAATAAAAATTTTTTTAATCCCTATGAAATTCAAACATCAATTTAATCTCTAATCCTTCTCCAATTAAAATTTAAAAATTTTTTTTACAAAGGAAACCTTTTTTCCTTTTTTTTTTTTTGTGAGATGGAGTCTCACCCACTGTGTCACCCAGGCTGAAGTGTAGTGGCACGATCTTGGCTCCCTACAACCTCTGTCTTCCGGGTTCAAGCAATTCTCCTACCTCAGCCTCCAGAGTAGCTAGGATTACAGGTGTGGACCACCATGCCCAGCTAATTTTTATACTTTTTTGTGGAGGCAGGGTACCACCATGTGGGCTAGGCTTGTCTCAAACACCTGACCTCAAGTCATCCACCCACCTCGGCCTCCCAAAGTGCTGGGATTACAGGCGTGAGCCATCATGCCTGCCCTAAAAAAGGAAAACTTTTAATAAGCATACTAAATTGGCTTTTTTTCTAAAATATAATAATAATAAAATAAAACTCACGTTTCACTCCACACCATTATATCTACCAGAATTCAAAGTGTGGAAAGTTAGCTGCTTCTAATAGAAATGACCATACAGGATTCAATGAAGAGACAGAGTCTGAAGTGGGCCTTGGGACAAAGAACAACTCAAGAGACTGAGAAGACAGGCAAGGGTGCTATATTAACAAGGAAAAGAATTGGAAAATGTTTAGACATGATAAAGTAAAATGTGGTCCTTCAATGCAGATCAAAGAAGTAGATTGATCAAGGGGCCATTCTATGAGGGCTTTGAATGGCAGGATAAGGAATGGGAACTTCATCCTGTAGATAAGAGAAGTCACTGGAAATCTTTGAAAAGGACACAAATATGATAAACAACATTCCCAGGAAGATTATTCTGACAATTAGGCAAGATAACTTGGGAAATGGTCTTAAACTCTGGCAACTTGATGAAAATATCTGGAAGATTTCTTCTCCTTTTTTTCCTTTTTCTATTTTGAAATACATTCAAACTTTCAAAAATATCCCAAAAATAGTCAGAGTCCTCAAATGCTTTTCATTCAACTTCCCCAAATATTAACATTATAGATATCTACCCAATCATCAAAATAATAAATGATCTCTGACACTGCACAATTAATGAATCTATAGACCTTATTCAAATCTTCCCTATCTTCCCACTGATGTCCTTTTTCTGGACCATGATCCAATTTAGGATCACAAATTGCATCTCTTTGTTCTGTCCTCTCAGTCTCCTTTAATCTGGGATAGTGCCGAAAATTTCTTTAGAGTTCATGACCTTAACATTTTTGAAGAGTATTGGCGAGTTATTTTGTAGAATAACCCTCAGTTTAGGCTTTTCTAATTTTTTCTCATAATTAAACTCAGGTTATGCACTTTGGGCAAGAATACCACAGAGGTGATGCTGCGCGTTATTCATCCATCATATTAGGATGCCCTAAGATGTCCATGTCACTGATTACTGGGGATGTTAATTTTGAGCACTGGGCTAAGATTGCTCCACTGCAAAATTACCATTTTTCTTGGAAGCATTTTTTAAAAACCAGTGCCCAGGACATACCACACACCAATCAAATCAGACATTCTTAGGGGAAGTCACATGCATGGGTAGGTTTTAGATGCCTTATGGTGACTCTAACCAGTATCCATGTTTGGAAACCTACAGCTTAGACCATGAAGATTAGAATCCTGGAAATCAGCTAGGAGGCCATTCCTTCGACCGCTCTTTTTACAAGAACATCCAATTCTAGACAAATAAATACATCTGGACATTGGCATGGACCCACAGTAGAGAAATGGAAAGGTTAAAAATCCCCTGATGAGGCTGGGCACAGTGGCTCACACCTGTAATCCCAGCACTTTGGGAGGCTGAGACAGGCGGATCACGAGGTCAGGAGATCGAGACCATCCTGGCTAACGCCGTGAAACCCCGTCTCTACTAAAAATACAAAAAATTAGCTGGGCATGGCGGTGTGCACCTGTAGTCCCAGCTGCTGGGGAGGCTGAGGCAGGAGAATGGTGTGAACCTGGGAGGCAGAGTTTGCAGTGAGCCGAGATTGCGCCACTACACACCAGCCTGGGCGACAGAGCAAAACTCCGTCTCAACAAAAAAAAAAAAAAAAAAAAAAAAAAATTCCCCTGATAGGGAAAGTAATGAGTGAGTAGACTGCTGTCCCATAAAAAAAAGAATGCAGGGCCAGATGTAGTGGCTCAAGCTTGTAATTCCAGCATTTTGGGAGGCCAACGCTGGTGGATCACTTGAGCCCAGGAGTTCAAGACGAGCCTGGGCAATATGGTGAAACCCTATCTCTACAAAAACAAACAAAACACAAAATTATATGGGCATAATAGCACATACTGTGGTCCCAGCTACTCAGAAGGGGGAGTTGGGAGGATCACTTCAGCCTAGGAAATCAAAGCCACAGTAAGCTATAATCACACCACTGCAAATTCAGCCTGGGTGGGAGAGCAAGACCCTGTCTGAAAAAATAAATAAAGATAACATTTTAAGATAAGATCTAGTTCAAAAAATGCATCACATTTTAGGTTGTTTATATGCTACAATCAGAACAGAACATGGAGGTGTTTCCATATGAATAGCCAAAAGATTTTCTACTTTTTATACAGCCGTATCATATTCCATTGTGTAGATATAAAATAACCTGTTTAATTAGCATTATACTGGTGTAAAATCTAGGTTCTTCTCAATATTTTGCTGTGAAACCATCACTACAGTGAATAACTATGATTAGGTGTCATTTTTCATTACTGCAAATGTAATAAATTCTTCCCAGTGAAGTTTGGGAGGCAAAGAGAAATATATTTTAAATTTTGACATGCATTTAGAAATTTTACTCCACAAGGTGTGTACCAATGTTTATGTTTCCAAGAAAAGTAGGGGATGGTGCTATCACCTCAGTTGCTCCCACACATTATGTGATCAAACATGTGTATTTGGGGACATTTGAGGCTGAGGTTGTATTTTAACATTTGCTGTCCCTGGACCTCAAATTTCATTTCTCCTGTGTATAGGAGGCTGAGTTGTGTTCATATGTCTAAGAGTCATTAAATCAATCTAGGTGTCCATCAAGAGTAGATTAGATAAGGAATCCCTACCTACACACCATGGAATACTAGGCACCCATTAAAAAAGAAAAAAAAATCATTCCTTTGCAGCAATATGTTCACAGCTGGAGACCATTATCCTAAGCAAATTAACACCGGAAGAAAAATCTAAAAACCATAACCTGATAAGAGGGAGCTAAACATAGGGTATTCAATGACATAAAAAATGGCAACACCCCCTCTGCCTCTCCACCTCCCCACGGTCTCCCTCTCCCTCTCTTTCCACGGTCTCCCTCTGATGCCCAGCCGAAGCTGGACTGTACTGCTGCCATCTCGGCTCACTGCAACCTCCCTGCCTGATTCTCCTGCCTCAGCCTGCCAAGTGCCTGCGATTGCAGGCGCGCGCCACCACGCCTGACTGGTTTTCGTATTTTTTTGGTGGAGACGGGGTTTCTCTGTGTTGGCCGGGCTGGTCTCCAGCTCCTAGCCGCGAGTGATCCGCCAGCCTCGGCCTCCCGAGGTGCCAGGATTGCAGACGGAGTCTCGTTCACTCAGTGCTCAATGGTGATCTCGGCTTGCTACAACCTCCACCTCCCAGCCGCCTGCCTTGGCCTCCCAAAGTGCCGAGATTGCAGCCTCTGCCCGGCCGCCACCCCGTCTGGGAAGTGAGGAGCGTCTCTGCCTGGCCGCCCATCGTCTAGGATGTGAGGAGCCCCTCTGCCTGGCTGCCCAGTCTGGGAAGTGAGGAGCGCCTCTTCCTGGCCGCCATCCCATCTAGGAAGTGAGAAGCATCTCTGCCCTGCCGCCCATCGTCTGAGATGTGGGGAGCGCCTCTGCCCCGCCGCCCCATCTGGGATGTGAGGAGTGCCTCTGCCCGGCTGCGACCCCGTCTGGGAGGTGAGGAGCGTCTCTGCCCGGCCACCCTGTCTGAGAAGTGAGGAGCCCCTCCGCCCGGCAGCCGCCCCGTCTGAGAAGTAAGGAGCCCCTCCGCCTGGCAGCCGCCCCGTCTGAGAAGTGAGGAGCCCCTCCGCCCAGCAGCCGCCCCATCTGAGAAGTGAGGAGACCCTCTGCCTGGCAGCCGCCCCGTCTGAGAAGTGAGGAGCCCCTCCACCCGGCAGCCGCCCCGTCTGGGAAGTGAGGAGCGTCTCCGCCCGGCAGCCACCCCGTCCGGGAGGGAGGTGGGGGGCAGCCCCCGCCCGGCCAGCCGCCCCGTCCGCAAGGGAGGTGGGGGGTCAGCCCCCGCCCGGCCAGCTGCCCCGTCCGGGAGGGAGGTGGGGGAGTCAGCCCCCCGCGCGGCCAGCCGCCCCATCCGGGAGGGAGGTGGGGGGTCAGCCCCTGCCCGGCCAGCCGCCCCGTCCGGGAGGGAGGTGGGGGGTCAGCCCCCGCCCGGCCAGCCGCCCCGTCCGGGAGGTGGGGGGCGCCTCTGCCTGGCCGCCCCTTCTGGGAAGTGAGGAGCCCCTCTGCCCGGCCACCACCCCGTCTGGGAGGTGTACCCAACAGCTCATTGAGAACAGGCCATGATGACGATGGCGGTTTTGTGGAGTAGAAAAGGGGGAAAGGTGGGGAAAAGATAGAGAAATCAGGTTGTTGCTGTGTCTGTGTAGAAAGAAGTAGACATGGGAGACTTCATTTTATTCTGTACTAAGAAAAGTTCTTCTGCCTTGGGATGCTGTTGATCTATGACCTTACCCCCAACCCTGTGCTCTCTGAAACATGTGCTGTGTCCACTCAGGATTGAATGGATTAAGGGCGGTGCAAGATGTGCTTTGTTAAACAGATGCTTGAAGTCAGCATGCTCTTTAAGAGTCATCACCACTCCCTAATCTCAAGTACCCAGGGACACAAACACTGCGGAAGGCCGCAGGGTCCTCTGCCTAAGAAAACCAGAGACCTTTGTTCACTTATTTATCTGCTGACCTTCCCTCCACTGTTGTCCTATGGCCCTGCCAAATCCCCCTCTGCGAGAAACACCCAAGAATGATCAATAAATAAATAAATAAATAAATAATTTTTTTTTAAAAATGGCAACAGGAGAAGCTAGGAACTACTAAAGGGGGAGGGAAGAAAGCAGGCAAGAAATGAAAAACGAAATGTTCAGTGCTATGCACAATACCTGGATGAGAGCACCATTTGTACCCCAAACCTCAGCATCACACAATATACCCAGGGAACAAACCTGCACATGCACCCTCTGAATCTAAAATAAATGTTGAGACAAAAGGAAAGTTTTACAACTTTTTGGCCTCAGAGATTTGTAATCAATGTGGTGAACCTATTTATATGTAATCAATACATCAATTCAAACAGAATTGATATCTTTAGAAAATTTATTTTTCTGATGCATAAATATGGTATAGTTCTCCATTTAGTAAGGCCTGCTTTAGTGTTTCTTGATTGCTATAATTTTGTCTGAAGAGATTGTGTGCATTTTGGTTTTGGTTGAATTGATTCCTAAATATTTTATATTCTCTGGCACTATTATGTTCTCTTTAATTACACTATCTAGTTGTTTGTTGTTAAATTAACATATTTTAGTCTATTCTTATACTACTCAGCTCCCTAAACTCTCTTATTATTTCTAATTATTTCCATTAGACTATTTTGAATCTTTCTATATAAACAATGTTATTCTTTGAAATTAATGATGGTTTTATTTCTAGTTTTTTAATCCTCATACCACTGATTTATCTTTCATTTCTTATTGCTTCAGGCTAGGAACTCTAATATGTTAAATAAACATCATGATCTTGAAAACAGTGAGCATTAACATTTCTTCTGTGAACTGATTTTCATATATTTGCCTTCTGCTATTCTTTAGTCTTGTTAATTTTGAGTATCCTTTATATAATAGCACATTACCTGTTTATTATAATGGCAAATAGTTTAAGATAGTATTTGTTTTCCTTAAAGAGAATTTTTTGACGTGAAGACTCTTTTCGAAATTTTCATGGGTATCAATCTTTTCTTCCTTGGCTATACAATAACAAAGTCCTTCCCCACTTTGAGGTGCTTTGGTGGCTTTGATTTGACATTTAAGTTTTATTCATTTGGAACATGTCCAGGAATATGTTGTTCTGTTCAAGACAGTTGCTAGTTATCCACCTAACACTGTGAATGTCCATGTTGTCCACAATAAGTCACTTTAAAGACTTTGTCAGTACTCAAGGAACATGCCTAATCTCTACAAATGATACACATTTCAACCACACAATCAACAGGCAATGACGATGGCACACTACAGCCAAATACCCTGCACCATAGACGTTCTCTTCAAGTCCACAAGGAACATTTATGAAGACTGGGCTTACTCATATATTAGCAGATATTATTGAATAATTTTTACTCAAGCACATATTTTGTATACAGTTCGATCTAGATGTAATCGCTATAACATAAATTTTAGAAATTAGAAAAATTAGACATCTGGGGATTTTCAAAGCACGGGTCAATCAAGACACAGTGATGAACATATTAAGTACCTGGTACTTGACTAACAGCTACATCTACCAAAAGTCGTAAGATGCAGCCACAGTGATGCCCCAGGGAATTCACAACCCAAAATGCTTCCACTGAAAACATTGATTAAAAATGAGTTAATCATCCAAATAAGAAGTGAGTGAAAAACAAAGCAAGTAGAATAAAAGTGTAAGAAACTTAAAGGTAGAAAATAATAAACTAGAAGACAAATTTAAAAACCCAAAGCATTCAAAAGGTTATTTAAACTTCTGGACTAATTCATCAACAAAGCAATAGAAGAAGAAGAAATAAACTGCGTTAGCAGTGAGAAAGAATGGGTATAAACGCAGCTGTGGCAGGGTTGAAAGCTCCTATTTAATAAATGGTATTGGGAAAACTGGCTGGCCATATGCAGAAAACTGAAACTGGACCCCTCCCTTACATCTTATACAAAAATTAACTCAAGCTGGATTAAAGACTTAAACGTAAGACCTAAAACCGTAAAAACCCAAGAAGAAAACCTAGGCAATACCATTCAGGACATAGGCATGGGCAAAGACTTCATGACTAAATCACCAAAAGCAATGGCAACAAAAGCCAAAATTGACCAATTGGATCTAATTAAACTAAAGAGCTTCTGCACAGCAAAAGAAACTATCATCAGAGTGAAGAGGCAACCTACAGAATAGGAGAAAAGTTTTGCAATCTATCCATCTGACAAAGGGCTAATATCCAGAATCTACACAGAACTTAAACAAATTACAAGAAAAAAATCAAACAACCCCATCAAAAAGTGGGCAAAGGATACGAACAGACACTTCTAAAAAGAAGACATTTATGCAGCCAGCAAACATATGAAAAAAATCCCATCATCACTGGTCATTAAAGGAATGTAAATCAAAACCACAATGAGATACCATTTCACACCAGTTAGAATGGTAATCATTAAAAAGTCAGGAAACAAGAGATGCTGGAGAGGATGTGGAGAAATAGGAATGCTTTTACACTGTTGGTGGGAGTGTAAATTAGCTCAACCATTGTGGAAGATGGTGTGGCGATTCCTCAAGGATCTAGAACCAGAAATACCATTTGACCCAGCAGTCCCATTACTGGGTATATACCCAAAGGATTATAAATCATTCTACTATAAAGACACATGCACACATATGTTTATTGCTGCACTACTCTCAATAGCAAAGACTTGAAACCAACCCAAATGCCCAAATGCCCATCAATGATAGACTGGATAAAGAAAATGTGGCACATATACACCATGAAATACTACGCATCCATAAAAAAAGATGAGTTCATGTCCTTTGAAGAGACATGGATGAAGCTGGAAACCATCATTCTCAGCAAACTAACACAGGAACAGAAAACGAATCACCGCATGTTCTCACTCATAAGTGGGAGTTGAACAATGAGAACACATGGACACAGGGAGGTGAATATCATGCAATGAAAAAGTAAAACTGCATGCCCTACTTGGGAACAGAGAGGGAAAATCCACAAATGAAATATGACCCCAAAAAAGTCAGGATTTACCACATTGAGTTTGTTCCCCAAAAATGAAAGGTGAGTTTAACACCCAAAAGTCAACAATTGCCTTTACTTCAAAAGATTAACTAGAAAAAAAATTATTAGCAGAACAGAAGCAAAATGACCTTGCATGAAATTCCACATCATTCCATCCTGATGCAGACAGTGCAGACATGAGTGGCAAATGATGAAAAGAGGTCCCTTTTTTCAGGCCCTGAGAGGAGCCTGCACCTGGTGGCTGCCACATTCCTTCTGATTCTTCCAGGCAACGGCCCTCCTTGAAATCCCTGGGAGGACTCGTGCTCCACTGGGAAAGGCCCCATGTGGAAAGCTCCACAGCAGCTCTGTCAAAGCCCTCAGGCACAGATCCTGAGTGACAGGACCTTTAGGGACACAGACAAATGGACATGTCCCCAGTGCCCACACTAGGCAGGGGCATCTGGACCAAGTGTGAAGCTCCCTCACCTGGACCCAGCCTCTCCCCAGTGACTTGGGCCTTGGGGTGGCTTCAGGTCTCCAGTCCATGCCACCAAAATCTCCAGAGTGACAGTCCTCCCTGGGGTCCATGATGCCTGTCCAGGTGCTGCTGCCTGAGTAAAGCTAAAGAATGCGGAGGGCTGGAGTTGTGACAGTAAAAGCAGCCATATTTGTCTCAAAATTGAAAGGGAGGGCATGAGCTCCAGGAATGGTGAGGGTGCCCTCTAGTGGTTCCCTCCTGCTAAGGAGCAAAAAGGGGCCAAGAGAGTTGAGAGATCAGGGCTGGCCTTGGACTAAGTGTGAGTTCAGATGGAGGGAACTAAGGTGCAAGGAGGGAGCTGAGATGGGAAAGCAGTCCAGAAAGATGAAAGGATCAGGTCTGGGGAAGACCCAGGGAAGCTAAAGAAGGGCACAGCAGGGTTCTGCACTCCTCAGCATTGACACAGGGGTGGTCATGCTAATGGGGCTCTGTGAGCAGCAGGGTGTTCAGCACCCTCTGGGAACTCTACCCACTCAATGCCACAGGACTCCCTCCCCCAGTTCTGTCAACCAACAATTTCTCCAGACTTTGCCAAATGCCCACTCAGAGGGCAAAAGTGGCCCTGACAGAATCAGATCTACACTAACCTCTCAAAGCAACTCACCAGTAAAATCCTTCATCTCTTGGTGAAAGAATTGTGAGTATGTGAGGGGTACAACTGACATCTTCAGTATCTGTTGAAATGACTTTTACTTAATCAGCAATTTGATGTCACGGGAGAAAGCATGTTTAGAGCTGATGCCACATTGCTGCCTGTACCTCGCAGCAGAGAGGGTACGGGTTTTCCAATGGTCTGTAACCACAAACCAGAATGACACCCACTGAGTTACATTACAAAACGGAATATGGAGAATTCTGTAGATATGGGGTGGGAGAAATAAAGCATGAAACCACACCACAAGACACCAAACAGTCCACTCTGATGTTCTCACCATTTTAGGCCATATTAGCTATCTATGAATGAAAAGTCAATTATCTTATTAAGAAAAAATACCTTATGCAGAATAAACTTATAGCATAGGAATTTCTGTACATTTTCAAAATTGTCTACTGTTGGATCATTCCTTAAATATGAATCCATCCCAAAATTCCACCCCATCTGCCCTCTCAGGTGTGAGCAGTGACCCCCACATGGGGTCTGCTGCCACTGCCTGTTCTTCCTCTACACTGAGGGCCTTGACAAGGTCAAAACCCTCAGGACAGACCCCAGGGAATGTCAGCACAGGGAGGGCTGAGCCCATCCTGGCCACAGAGTAAGTCAGATTGAATGTCTTCAGCTCTGAGCCCCTGCTCTGTCCCAGGTTCTCTGTCCTGGGTCTCAGAGAGCCATGTCCTGTGAAGTCCCTGGGCAGCCCCCTACTCCCTGCTGCATCAGCCTTGGGGAAGGTGGAGTGACCACAGGACAGTCAGCTGGGCAGATGACGGGACACCAAAGATAGTCAGAGAAAACATGAATGGGCCTCAGCCCCAGCTCAGCAACCAGAACCCAGGGTGCAAGAGAGTGGCTGAGACCAGTTCCTGGGACCACAGCCCCCACTGACCAACCAGCAGAGGCCTCTCTTCCCAGAAGGCATGAGAGATTCATCCTGCACACCTCCAGGAAGGACAGTCTCTTCTGGGACACCCGGGTCATTGAATGTCCATCCTTGGAAACTGTAGCCAATATTGACACAATGAGAAAAAGGGTCCCTCTCACCAGCCAGCACTCAGCTCACCCAAAGCACAGTGAGGGTAGATCCCTGTGACAGGGCCCTGGTGCAGTCCAAGCCTCCTGCTCTGAACGGAAGAGCCAGGTGGGGATGGAAGAGGGCAGAAGGGGTAACTGTGCAGGCTGACCTGGAGCCATAAACATGGCTGGATGCTGAGGACCCAGAACTGGGCTCACCCAAACTACAGGGTTTCTGTGTGACTATGTGTATCTGTGTGTCTCTTTGTGTGTGTGTCTGTGTGTCTGCACATAGCATGTGTAGAGGTTGGGTGAGAGAATCACTGCTGAAGGAGGCAGAGGCCTCAGCAATTCCCAGGGGCCTGAAACACAGACAGAAGAGAAAGGTAGAAAAGAGACAGGGAGGCAGGACTGAGAGGGGAGGGGACAGAGAGGTGTCCTGGGCACAGACCCCAACCATGAGCCTGAGAGGCGCTCCTGCCCTGGGAAGAGGCTCAGCGCAGAAGGAGGAAGCACAGCACAGCTGACAACCATGCTCAGAAAGTTTCCGGATCCCAGGCTCACCTCCACAGAAGAGAACACACAGGCAGCACAAGCCATGAGGCCCCTCTCAGCCCCTCCCTGCACACAGCGCATCCCCTGACAGGGGCTCCTGCTCACAGGTGAAGAGAGAACTTTCTGGGAGTGAACACAAGGAGGAAGCAGAGTGACTGGCTGGGGTCTCCTGGGGAGGACAGAGCTCTGAGCGGGGACTGAGGGCTTCTGTTGGAGCCTGGATACGGGAGAGGACACCAGAGAGGAACAGGGGTCACAACAGGAAAATCATATAAAACTGGAACTGGTAAGAGGTAGGAAAATCTTAAGTATTCTGTTTTCCTGGTTAATCATCACTGGCCACTAAATTTTGAAAAATGATAATAATAACTATATCAGATGACACTTCAAATAAAAACATAACCAGGGCATGAAACATTATCCTCAGCCTCCAACCTCAGAAATTGGTCCAGGACATGGAAGACCTTGGGAACGCTCATGAGCTCATCCACAGGAGTCTGCAGCCTGTCCCAGGAACTGAGGTGCAACCAAGATCACACAAGACCCTGCTCTCACAGAGCTCATGCTTTCATGGGAAGGAAGACAGACATGCAAAGAGATCTAGAATGTGAGGTCAGGTGTTGACAGGAGTTGTGGAGTAAACAGAACAGGGAAAGGTCAGCAAGGGAAGACCCAGGGTCTCTAGAGGAGGTGTCAGGGGAAGAGTCTCCCAAGGATGCCTGATGTGAGCAGGACCTGAGGGCAGTGGGGAGGGGGCCGAGCAGACCCCTGGGGAAGAGGATTCCAAACAGGAAAATGCCAAGGTCAGAGATGTTGAAGGAATGGGGATCATGCTGCTAACCTTGACTCAGTAGGACACACACACACATACATACTCAAAGGCTGAGGGGTGAAGAGACCTTCTCAGGACACAGGGCCCCATCTTTCCCCCCCAATACATAGGTCCCAATGTTGACTGATGCTCTCTCTCTCTCTCCTAGCCTCACTTTTCACCTTCTGGAACCCACCCACCACTGCCCAAGTTACAGTTGAAGTTCTGCCATCTAATGCGGTAGAGGAGAAGGAGGTTGTTCTACTTGTCTACAATCTGCCCCAGGATATACTTGGCCACAACTGGTACAAAGGGGAAACAATAGATGCCGACGACTGAATTGCAAGATATGTAATACACAATGAAGTAACTATCCCAGGGCCTGCATACAGTGGCCAAGAGACAGTATACCCCAAAGCACGCCTGGAGATCTGGAACATCGCCCTGAATGACTCAGGATCCTACACCGTGCAAATTTTAAAGGCAGATCTTATGACTGAAAAAGTAACTGCACAGATCAGCGTACACCGTGAGTGATTCCTCATGACTTCTGGGTGTCGGGGGTCAGTTCTACTTCAAACACACAGGACTGTTAGACCTGGACTGTGCCTGTGTAGCCCTCTGCATTATGTCCCATTTTAGGGTTTGAGCATTTAGTGCAGGACACACACAGGGGAGACAAACATCTGCAGATCAAAATTGTTTCCCCAAATCCAGACCCTGCAGACATTCACTGCAGAGGAAGGACAGTCTGATGGGAGGGACACAGCAGGTGGAGAACAGTCTCAGCCAAGCACTCCGTGCCTTCCCCATGGACATGACCCTGAGAAATTCCTTGGAGAACTGGGTCAGGGCCTGGCCTGGGGGGCCCTCGGGGATTCTCTTAGAGAAGTTCAACCCTGGAAGCCTCAGCCCCAGAACCCGGTCCCAGAATCCTGACTTCATGTGACCCTCGGGAATGTGTGCCAGGGTTAGGTTGTGGCCTCCTGGGCAGGGCTGACTGGGAGCAAAGGTTTACCAGCTGTACAAGGGCCATGGTTCCTGGAGCTGTTTAACAGCCAGGGCTCAGCACCCAGAGCCTCATCTGGGCATGGACAGAGCCTAGTCCTTCACCTGAGACTCAGAGTGCAGAGGACAGATGGACAAGCTTCTTAGGCCATCAGCCAACTGCCCTGGGAGACTTAAGAGACTCCGTAGATAATTCAATGTCTTCAGGGGCAGAAACAGAAGAGAGAAGATGTTCCTGGTAGCATCTTGTTCATCATGGATCAGGCCTAGATATGCTCTTTCATGCAGGCAAATAATAATAAACATTGTTTGTGTGAACACGTCCTCTGTGCCAAGCATTAGGTCAGGTGACTGTGAATAATTTAAACTTCATTCACAGACAACATGACAAGCCACAGACCATTTGCCATTTAGCTTATCTGACTGGGAGAAAACTGAGACACAGGGAGGCATAGTCACTGAACCAGGGTCACACAAACACAAGTGGCAGATCAGAGTCACTAGAGGTCTGGCTGCAGCCACAGCCCCATCCTCTCCTCCACCAGAAGTGGGGATTTGGGGGTCCTGGGGACCCCACAGTCATCCATTGGCTCAAATCCTTTCTTCATGCTTATCTAGACCTCAGAGGAGTGAGAGCAAATGGACAACTGATAAGTTTTTACTCCAGAACTAAATTGCCTGCCTCAATGATCAAAGTCAGTGCAAGGAATATCCAGTCCTCCCCCTCAGATCCTAATGCCCCTCACTGGACCTGAAATCTTGTATCCCAATGTGTTGGTGTCACTCCCATGGGAGGATAAAAGAGAGGTCATAGCTTTCTCTCCCCACTGGCACCCTGCAGCAGCACAGGCCCAATGTAACATACACACTCAGAAGCTTTCTCGTGAAGGAGGGAGGGAATGAATGAAGGAATGAATAATCTATAACCTCTTTAGATACCTGATTCTGGATACAGAATCCTAGGAGTTTCTGTCCACACTGGTTTTCTGTCCTTCAGGGCCTGAGACCCATGTTCTATCCCTATGAACCCCTACTCCTAAAGCCACCCCATCTCATGTGACACTGAGGCTCCCTGGGCATAGAAGGGTTTCCAGGGCTCCCTGGTCCTGGACTAAGGAAGTGGGGGCCCCTGGACCTTGAGGTCTTTTAGGTCACTGTAGCCCCCACTGCTCACTGCCATGGGTGTCTCTGCTCCTCCATGTCCCTCATTTTCCTCCCCCTTCATTCCAGCTACGATACTGCACCCTGCACAGCTTCCCCCACACGTAGGCCTTCCCCAGACACTCCCTCTAACAAGGCTGACTGTTCTGTTCCCTTCCTATTCACACTGTAGCCTGGCCCACCTCCTGGACAATAGGAAAGGCACAGAAATCAGCCAGAGCAGTCACCCCTGCCAGGCTCCATCATGAGCCAATATCCCCAGATCACCAGGAGAACAAGCTTCCACTGTGTCCCCATCCAGGGTTCTCTTCCTCCGTGAGCCAAAACATGAAACAAGCCACTGGAAAGAAATGAGCAACTCCTCAGTCCACTCTTATAATCACCTGATGGGTTCCTCTTGCACCCTGCACAGACAAAACCAATTTACTGAGATGGTGACTTGCAGTTACAAAAGATTTTAGTTAGGCAAAGACTGTCAAACAGGAGGACAGAAGTTTATTATTGTACAAATTAGCCTCTCTAGTGGCTCAGAAATTAGAGGTTTTCAAGGATAGTTTCAGCTGCAGAGGTCTAAGGAATGAGTACTGCTGACTGGTTGGGGATGAAATCATGCAGGTGGGGAAAATGATCTGTTTGTGTTAAATCTGCCTCTGGATGGAAGCCACATGAATGGATGAATCATTAATCATGGGTCTGGATGAGTTATGCTGGTTGCCAAAATGCAAAAGTCTGAGGAACATCTTAAAAGACCAATCTCAGGTTCTACAATAGTGATGTTATCTATAGAAGCAATTAAGGAAGTCATAAATCTTGTGACCTCTGTACACATGAGTCCTGAGCAGTAAGGAATTGCAGAAACTATGCCTACATTTTAGCAAAATTTGGGACCCTCCAATAATCTTAATCTCATGGTCTTTCATTAGTTTTACAAAGGCAGTCCCTGAGCAAGGAGGGGGTAAATTTTAAGGGGGACTATTATCATCATTGCTTCAAAGTTAAACTACAAATTCTTCCCATGGTTAGCCTGGCCTATGCCTGGGAATTAATGAGGATGGCCAGCCTGAAGCTAGAGGCTAGATGGAGTCAGCCATGCTAGCTTGCTCTCACTGTCATAATCTTTACAAAGGTGGTTTCAGTTTCTACACTGACTCACCACGGAGTTAGAGTCAGAAGCACAGGTCTGCAGTCCCCAAAGCTCATGGGCTCAATTTGTAACCACCCAGTGGGTTCACCTTGCCCACTGCCTAGACAGAGACAATTTATCAAGACAATGGATTGGCAGTAGAGAAAGAGTAATTCATATAGAACTGGCTGTGCAGGAGACCAGAGTTTTATTAGTACTCAAATAAGTCTCTGAGCATTCGGGCATCAGAGATTTTAAAGATAATTTGGTGAGTGGGAGAAGGCAAGTGAGTCAAGAGTGCTGATTGGTTGGGTCAGAGGTGAAATCATGGAAAGTTGAAGCTGTCCTCTTGTGCTGAGTCAGTTCCTGCATGGGGGCCACAAGGTCAGATGAGCCAGTTTATTGATCTGGTTGGTGCCAGCTGATCCACCAAGGGCAGGGTCTGCAAAATACCTCAAGCACTGACATGAGGGTCAAAATCTTGTAGCCTCCAGCTGTGTGACTCCTAAACCATAATTTCTAATCTTGTGGTTGTTAGTCCTACAAAGGCATTCTAGTCCCTAGGCAAGAGGGAGGTTTGTTTGGGGAAAGAGCTGTTATCATCTTGTTTTAAACTATAAACCAAGTTCCTCCCAAAGTGGTTCTGCCTATACCCAGGAAGGAACACGAACAGCTTAAAGGTCAGAAGCAAGATGGGGTTGATTCAGTTAGATCTCTTTCACTGTTTCAGTCATAACTTTGCAAAGGCATCTTCAATCCCTTCCTCTGAGTTTTAAGACACTTTAAGATTAAGGTGTAGGCTATGAAGATAGAAAAAGGTCATCAATTGCTCTGGCTTCCTGCTGACAGGGGACATAGTGGGAATGGGAGTTGATCCCAAGGTGAGAGGAGTGAAACCACTTTGCAGCTGTCTAAGCATACTCATGTGAGCCACGCTAAAGCTCCAAGGCTTGCATGACCAAGGCATTAGTACTCTCATTTACAGTTTCAGTATTTAAGTTAACAGCATAGTATAAGGTAAATAATGACTACTAGGATGAAGAGTACAATTCCCAATTTTAAAGGTAAAGTTTTGAAAGCTTTAGTTTGGGAACCTGAAGCCCACTAAGAATCTATGATTTGGTCCAAACTGCAGAATAAAACTCAAGAACAACCAACAACAGATGTACTATAGAATTTCTTTTAAAGCATAATTTTTCTCTCTCCAGACCCCATTTATTAAAAACAAATCATAATAGAAGTGTACTCTGGAATCCACTTATATGAGGTCCCTAGGGTAGTCAAACTCATGGAATCAGAGAGTAGAATGTCCAATCAGAGAAAACATTTGCAAAACTTCTTCCCAAATTTCTGTCTCATATCCACCAAATAAACATGATCTATGAGGGCCAGATTTCCAGCATTTTATGCTCCCCTTTTCCTCCAGTCAATTCTGCATTTGCGAATGTCTACATATATTTCTAGAAAGATCCACATGGTCCTCACCTGCAGGGGGAGAGAAAGCATCAAGGACCCAGGACAGGGAACGTGATTCTGATCCAAAGCTACCAGCTCTTTTCTGTTCTCTTCACTTTTTCTAGATCATTCCTTAGACTCTCCTCTATCTTTAGGGGTCACTGGCTCAAGTCAGTCACTATGAAACATCTCAGGAAAACTGCCCTGACTTGTGGCTCCACTGCCTGAAGACCAAACTGATCTTCAGGCTTGCCCCTGGTCTCCCCTGTGTTATTTCTGCTGAAAACATCTAGTTCCAGGCCAGGCTACCCAGTATCCACAGGGTTTAAGGACAATGGAAAGTCTATCAACACCCATCTCTAGGATGTTCTTGAAAGAGAAGTCACAGAGAAAACACACCTAGGAGGGCAAAGTAGAACTGAAGCTGGAAGGGGCCCAGCAGCTGCACGTTCCAGGTGAGGACCCTAAGTTGGGCCAGCCAGTCAGCTGGACAGGGAGAAACCAGGAGAGACACCAGGGGCTGTGACTGTTGGTCATGTGTCAGTCCATGACCCAACACTGCTGCTCAATTTACACTTCAGAAAGTCTATGCTTCTCTAAGACAGAACAGGTGGCCTCATGGTCTCTGAGCCCTCAGATTGCCATGCATCTGTTTTCTGACATACACACCTGCCATGGGCTTTCAAGGACTCAATTGGGCTGAGAGACAGGAAATTCCAACTCTGATCAAAAAGTGTCCATGGAGCGATAAAAGTTGCCACACAGGGCAATCTTCTGTTTTCTGCACAGCGAAACTATCCAAGCCCTTCGTCACCATCAGCAACTCCAACCCCGTGGAGAATGAGGATACTGCGGCCTTAACCTGTGAAACTGAGATTCAGAACACAACTTACCTGTGGTGGGTAAATGGTCAGAGCCTCCCGGTCAGTCCCAGGCTGAAGCTGTCCAATGACAACAGGACCCTCACTCTACCCAGAGTCACAAGGAAGGACGCAGGAACATATGAATGTGAAATCCGGAATCTAGTGAGTGCCAACCACAGTGACCCAGTCACCCTGAATGTCCTCTGTAGTATCTTCTGTTCCTCTGTAGCCCAGGCTGCCAGCCCAAATCCACATGGCCAGAGGCCAGGCCTCTCAGTCCCTCTCAGGTCCAAGTACAGAGACCTTTACTCCTGGGCACCCAGGCTGGCCATGACTTCCTGCCCCAGGCAAACCTGGGTAGGTCCAGCCTTGACCATGAATCCAAGGGGAGGGGCTGCTCCTGTCATGGGAGACCTCAGGGTCCACAGCTTGTAATGGGAGAAACAGGTGAATTCTCAGACTCTGGCTCAGTGACCACAGCGGGGGTTTGGCTGGGACTTCAGGGTTGTGACTTGGCTCAGAGGGACACTGTGGCTCTTCCACAGACCAGGAGCTTTTCCTTCCCTCTGATGACATGACTTTTGGCTCTATTTTCTTTGCTCCAGATGGCCCAGACGACCCCAACATTTCCCCCTCTTACTCCTATTACCATCCAGGGGAAAACCTCAACCTCTCCTGCAACACAGCCTCTAACCCACCCCCACAGTATTCTTGGCAGATTAATGGGAAGTTCCAAAAATCAGCACAAGAGCTCTTTATCTCCAAAATCACTAAAAAGAATAGTGGAATCTACATCTGTTTCGTTCGCAACTCAGCCACTGACAGCAGGTGTTTCACGATCAAGAAGATCACAGTCACTGGTAAGGGGAGCACTGGCAACAGGTTTTCAGGTGAAGTCTATTTGGCTTTCTGAGAAGAACCAGGAAAACATTTTTATTCCCAGCCTGTGTCCCATGGGCACAAGCAAATCCCAAATTTTTCTCCTGACCCCTCCCAATTCATCTCTACAGACTCTTCCTTTTGTTTTACTGATTTCTCACGGATGAACTCAGGTCCAGCCTGAGAAACGTAGGAAGGAGGCTTCATCAGCCCCAAGCCCAATGTAGTGGAAGGAGCTTTACAGAGAGGGAAGAAGGAGGGTCCTCAAGGTCAAGTTTCTTCTCTATTTTACCAACACATCCTTTTCTGTGCACCCCTTCGTTTACTTTTACCCACACTTGAGCTGCAGGGAACATCCAAGGCTTGAAACAAGCTCACATTTTTCCCTCAAATGAGAGAAGAAAGCCCCTCAGATGAGGAAGGAGTAGCTGAGACTCTGCTCCCAGCTGTGACTGGCCTTGCCCTGACTCTACCTGGGGTGGGGCTGGGGTGTGTCAAGAAGGTGCCCAGGTGGCCTGTCTGGAATCTGGCTAAACTGAGCTGCCAGTGGAAGCAAAGTTTTCCCCTAGGTGAGGATGTAGAAAAATGGGAAGAAAAGGAGCCTTGGGGCAGACTCCTGAGCTGTGTCCTGGTTCTGAAGTCACTGGCTGTATGAGGCTGTGAGCACAGCACATGGGACAAAGCACAGAGGACAGTGAGTGATGCACACTTGGAGACACACAGAGATGCATGGGAGGGAAAGGGCAGTACCAAAAAGTGTGTATTTATAGAGGGTAAGACTACCAGCCACTGTATACCCGATGTAAGACTTACCATTAACTATTTCTAAGTGTGCAATTTAGTGTTGTGTAACCATCACACTATCCATTTCCAGAACTTTTTCATCTCACCATACTAAACCTCTGTACCCAATAAACAGAAACTCTCACTCCTTCTCCCCCTAACCCTTGGTAACCATCATTCTACTTTCTGTCTCAATGTAATTGGCTATTCTATCTTTTTCTTTTCTTTTCTTTTGAAGACAGACCCTTAAGAGTAAGGGTCTGTCGCCCAGGCTTGAGTGCAGTGGCATAATCTTGGCTCACCACAACCTCTGCTTCCCAGGTTCAAGCGATTCTCGTGCTTAAGCCTCCTGAGTAGCTGGGATTATAGGCACACACCACCATGCCTGGCTAATTTTTGTATTTTTAGTAGAGACTGGGTTTCAACATGCGGGCCAGGCTGTTCTTGAACTCCTAACCTCAAGTGATCCGCCTGCCTTAGCCTCCCAAAGTGTTGGGATTACAGGCGTCAGCCACCTACAAATGAAATTATCTAATAATTGTCCTTTTGTGTCTGGCTTATTTCACTTAGCATAAATGTCTTCAAGGTTCCTTCATTTTGCACAACGTATCTGAATTGTATTCCTTGTTAAGATTGAATAACATTCCAGTGTATGGATATACCTCAGTTTTCTATGCACTTATCTTTCAATTAACTTTTCAGTTCAGTTCATCACAACAACCTGTTGGCTGTTGTCAGTGATGCTGCTGTGAACATCAGTGTACAAATATCTGTTCAAATTCCTTTCAGTTCTTTGGGTATATGTCCAGAAGCAGAACTGCTGGATCAAATGGTAATTCTTTAATTTTTTGAGAAACAGCCATACCATTTTCCACAGCAGTATAACATTTTACATTGCCATCAGCAATGCAATAGAGCTTCAATTTTTGCACCTACTTGAAAACACTTGTTTTGTGGTGGTGGTGTTGTTGCTGTTGTTTTATCAAAGCTATCCTAATGTGTGTGAGGTGGTGCATCCTTGTGGTTTTAATTTGCATATCCCTAAGTATTAGTGATGTTGAGCATCTTCGCATGTGCTTATTGGCCATTTGTATATCTTCCTTGGAGAAATCTCTATTTTAGTCCTTTGTCCATTTTTTAATCGGGTTTTTGGATTTTTGCTGTTGTTCATTTGTAGTAGTTCTTCATATATTCTGGAAATTAATTCCTTATCAGATATATGATTTACAAATATTTTTCCCACTTCATGGGTTGCCTTTTCATTTCACTTTCTTGATAATGTTCTTTGATATATAAAAGTTTTTAATTTTCATGAAGTCCAATTTACCCATTTTTTTAGTTGCCTATGCTTTTGTTGTTATAACCAAAAAATCATTGTGAAATCCAATGTCATGTAGCTTTTCCCCTATGTTTTCTTCTAAGAGTTTTATTTTTGCTATGACATTTAGGTCTTTGATCCACTGTGGGTTAATTTTTGTACATGGTGTTAGATAAAGGTTCCACTCATTCTTGCCCATTGCTATCCAGCTTGTCCAATATCATTTGTTGAAAAGACTGTCCTTTTTCCATTGAATGGTCTTGGCAGCCTTGTTGATAATCATTTGGCCATATATGCAAGCATTTCTTTCTGGGATCTCTATTCTATGCCATTGGTTTCTATGTCCTCCTTTATGCCAGCAGCACACTGTATTGATTACTGTGGCTTTGTAGTAAATGCTGAAATCAGAAAGTATGAGTACTTTGCCTTTGCTCTTCATTTTCAGAATTGTTTGGCTATTTAGAGCCCTGAGACTCCATATGAATTTTAGGATAGATTTTTCTGTTTCTACAAATAATGTTACTGGGATTCTGATATAAATTTCTTTGAATCTGACGTTTTTGGATAGTATTGTCCTCCTAACAATGTTGAGTCTTCTAGTCCATGAAAACAAAGTGTCTTTCCATTTACTGATGTCATTTTTAATTTCTTTCAGCAATATTTTGTAGTTTTCAGGGTAGAATTCTTTCACCTCCTTGCTTAAACTTATAAATATTTTATTCTTTTTGATGTTAATGTGAATTGAAATTTTTTTTAATTTCCTTTCAGATGGTTTATTGTTAGTTTATAGAAATATAACTAATGTTTTCACGTTGATTTTGAATCCCGCAATATTGTTGAATTGATTTATTAATTCTAATGGTTTTTTCTATCTTCAGAGTTTTCTAGATGTACATTCAAGTTATCTGCAAACAGAGATAATTCTACTCCTTTCCAATGTGAATGTCTTTTTTCTTCCTTGTCTAATTTTTCTGACTAGGACTTTCAATACTATGTTTAATGAAAGTAGATAAAGCAGGAATCATTGCCTTGTTTCTGATAATACAGAAAAAACTTACACTCTTTCTCCCTTAAGTATGATGTTAGCATTGGGCTTTTCACATATTACCTTTACTATGTTGAGGTGGTTTCCTTCCATTTATAGTTAGAATGTTTTTATTATGAAAGAATATTGAATTTTGTCAAATGCTTTTATTGGTTCAATCTTATTACTAATTGTATGTCTACTCGGGTTTTCTTGTGTGTTTCCAGAAATTTGTCCATTTCATCTAGGTTATATAATTTATTGGCATACATTATTCACAGTACTTTTGTAATCATTATTTCTTTAGAATTGGTAGTAATGTCTCCTAAGAGAGACAGGGTCTCACTCTATAGGCCAGCCCAGGCTGGAATGCAGAGGCACAATCATGGGTCACTACAGCCTCAACCTCTTGGGCTCATGCAATCTTTTTTCTTCAGCCTCCCAAGTAGCTGGGACTAGAGGTGCATGCCACTATGCCCTGCAAATTATGTTTTGAATTTTTTATACAGACTGGATATTCATGTGTTTCCCAGCCTGGTCATGAACTCCTGGCCTTAAGTGATCCTCCCACACACCTCTGAAAGTGCTAGAATTAAAATATGAGCCACCATGCCCAGACTCCATTTTCATTTCCGATTTTAGTAATTTAAATCTTCTCTCTTTTTTCTCAGTCAATCAAGTTAATGGTTGTCAGTTTTGTTGATCTTATTTTGAAGAACCAATTTTGGTTTCATTAATCTCTTCCATTTTTTTATTCTCCATTTTATTTATATTCACTCTAATCCTTATTATTTTTTTCATTCACTATGGCTGGGTTTAGTTTGTTCTTCTCCTATATCCTGAAGTTGTAAATTATGTTGTTGATTTGAGATCTTTCTTCTTTTCTAATGTAAGAGTTTACAGTTATAAATTTCTTGTACAAGATTTTTAACTTCTCTGAGCCTCTGATTCCTCAACTGAAATTTGCAATGAAAGTGCTTGCTTCATAGTATTGTTCTAAAGGTTTAATGTAATTATCAATGAAACCTTCCATAAAATGCAGAGGAAATGTCTTATAAATGTTACCTGCTTTATTACTACTATTAATATTAGCCTTGAAGTGAGGCCTAGAGTCAAATCTCAGATTCGCCTTTCACTAGCCATATGACATCAGGAAAGTTTCTTCACCACTCTAAGCCTCCAGCTTTTCGTCTGTAAAATGGAAACAATGTCTACCTGACAGGTTTATTGTACAAATCAAATAATATACAGGTAAAGTATTTACCACAGGGCCTGGCATATAGGAGGTGCCCCTCAACCGTAACTAACATAGCATTAATCACCAGCCTGAGTTGACTAGTGAGGGCTAAAAGTAAATGCTTGCAACAGAAATAAAGAAACAGATGCAAAAGGTATTGCGTGTGTGTATGTGTTTGTGTGTGTGTGTGTGTAGACAAGGTATTTTATGTAAATACACACACACACACACACACACATATATATACGTATATGGAAGCACAGGTAACACAGAAAACACTAGAACATGGTTACTGACTACATGTGGGAGAGAAAGAACAAAAGCTAAGTGCAAACAATCAAGCCTGGTATGTTCATTTTTACCCACTGAGATGCAGCCAAGATGGGATTAGATATGCAAGATAATTTATTAGGAAAAATGCAGGTGAGGGAAAGTGGGGCAGGCATGGAAGGAGCCTGGGAAAGCCCTCAGACCATGATGCAGACCTGATTCCTGTGAAGGAGAAAGACAAAGAAGTTTTAGGTATCAAGGCAGTTCTAAGAGAGTTTCAGCAAGGCTGATGGGGAGTCCTCCAACCAGTCACACATGAGAATAAAACAAAGTCTCACAGAACTGGGCTTGCTTTCATACCCCTGCTGGGAGTCCCTGAGAAGCAAGGTCTCTGTGCAAAGGAGTGGGTGAATTTGGAATGCGCTGACCTGAACCTTCTGTCAATCAAGTCCCTGCCATAGAGATCTGACAGGGTCTAATTCATGCCTGCCCAAACTGAGACACTGAGAAAAAAAGATGCAATCATGAAAAGGTGGAAAGTTCTAATGATGTAGAAAATAGCAATCAGCTTTTCTCATATCCCAAAGCCTTCAAAAATATCTGAGTGCAGAAAGGCCAGGACAGAATTGACAGAAGACTGATGGCCAACATAGAAACAGTGAGAAGAAGACAAATTTCAAGGATATAGTTGGCTAACCACCTCCCAGCAACTTTCCCACAAAAATAATGTATTCCTTGAAGAAACAAGTAGAAATTACTTCATCCTGAGAGTTGGCTCCTGGGGCACTCCACTGTAAAATAACATCACCTTCATTTATTCTCTTCTTTTCTTTCCATGACAGCTGCTTCAGGATAAGGAAGTTCTCCTGGCCTCTCAGCTGGGATCACTGTCGGCATCATGACTGGAGTACTGGCTGGGGTGGCTCTAATATAGCAACCCAGGTGTAGTTTCTGCATTTCACTAAGACTGGCAAGTATGATGGCCTTTCCTCTTGTCCTGTTTACTCCAAGGATGACTGCCATGCTTGGGAGAGGGAGAGAACTTCTTTGCCTGTATCTGGGAGTGGATCTACTCCTCCTTCCACCAATCTTGTTTCTCAGCACTAATTCCTGTAGGTCTTCTCCCTGGTCTTTATGCTCCCTGTACCCCCACTGTCTTTTAAATGTAATTATCCCCAGCCTCCACTCATTCATTTCTCAGATTCAGTACATTGCCAAAGACTCTTGATCCTTTTTTAACATCTCTCACTTGTGTCATTCTCTCCATTCCCATAAACCTCAACAACTGCTCGAAGTCCTGCTTGACTTCTTGTCTCCAGACTTTGAAATCTTCCTTGCATATGACTGTCTCATTACCTTCCTAAAATCTAGTTAATTCACCTAATCAAGAATCTACAGGGGTCTACTCTGGCCAATTTGATAAGTTCTCATTTCTTCTCTTTACTAATACTTCTTACTTCCTTTACTTCATCTATTCCCTAGTATAATTCCCTAGTATAATTCCTCCATCCTAATTAGAACTGTCTTCCTACACATCCCTGACTCTCCACCCCATATATAAATAATATTCTTAGTTCCAATGCTATATACAAAAACAGGGTATCTCTCCTCCACCATCTGCACTGCAGACTTACCCACAACCTTCATCACAAGCAACCTCTGATCTCATGGAGAACAATGACGCTAGCACTAATGTGTAAAGCTGAGACTCAGAACACAACCAACATGTGGTTGAGAACCTTTTCCTGATGACCAATTCATGTGTTCATGAAAGATACAGAAATGAAGAAGGCAAGGTCCCTACCCCAGGGAACATAAAACCCAAGAGAGGAGATAAGACCTGAAAAATAATTATAATACCAAAAAAGAAAGGAGCGAATGCCACAAAAATTCAGATAAATCTGATGGGAAATATAGCTACACATTGGAATCACTCAGAAACATTTTTCAAAATGAACGCTCGAGCCCCACCTATGAAGTCAAGTTTGATTACTTAAAGGAATCTACCATTCCAGTCAAAGCCTTGGTAAAAATAACCAGTTTTTCCAATTGTGTCCTGTTACAAAAGAAGACAGATTCTTATTGCACTTATGCAAATAACTATATTGCCATAACTTAAGAATACTCAGAGATAGTTTCCAAATTATTGAGAAAATCAGGTAGAGAGAAACAAATATGCTCCAAATTTTATTCATGGGAGTATGCTAAATTGTTAAAAACTGTCAATAGCTTAAAAGAGAAGTTTCTTTGACTCTGAACAGCAAAACAAAGGATTAGCAATGTTTTCAGCAAAACATTAAAAAGATCACTCCAGTCTGCTATTATTTCAGTTCACGCAGTTAATTCCTGTCCTGCTTGATATTAATGAACATTTTAGCTCTTCAAGAGTTCTGAACGTTTTTCCTCTATTCTGATGTCACCATCTTATCTCCAAACTTATCAGAAACCTGCATTCAAGAGCACCTGTTAGACCTTTATAGCTGATTATAAAATCACCTTTTAAAGAGGACCAAAACAAGACAACTGTTTGTGGATGACAAAAAGTTTTAGGGTAGCCATAGTTAAAGACACAACTGACAAGGAAATCTGTTAACTCTGTGTCACACAATAATTTAACATAACAATAATAATTATTACTTATAATGTACACTAAGATATATCAGAATTATAGGAGTCTTCCATAACTTTAGAACACATACCAATAACATATTTATACAAATATAGCCCAAAGAAAGCAAAACACCATTTCATATGTGACAATGCTTCCTGTGTGATTTTATGAAATATTATGATATTCATAATACTTGATTAATAAGATTTTATGAAATATTCATTATGTTATTATGAAATAGAATTCCAGATTACTATGTTATTTATTTTGCCAAAAATGATGACTCATAAATTTTAAAGAAGCAAAAGCCTTTTATAACCCTTTAGAAATTTTGCCAAAGAACAGATTAGCACCTCAGGAAAACCTTGTTAAGCTTTTATTTCAAGAATAAGTATTTCTTTTTCTTTTTTTCTTTTTTTTTTTTTGTTTTTTGAGATGGAGTCTCGCTCTGTCACCCAGGCTGGAGTGCAGTGGCGCGATCTCGACTCACTGCAACCTCCGCCTCCTGGGTTCAAGCGATTCACCTGCCTCAGCCTCCTGAGCAGCTGGGACTACAGGCGCATGCCACTATGCCCAGCTAATTTTTTGTATTTTTAGTAGAGACAGTGTTTCACCGTGTTAGCCAGGATGGTCTTGATCTCCTGACCTCATGATCCACACGCCTTGGCCTCCCAAAGTGCTGGGATTACAGGCGTGAGCCACTGTACCTGGCCAAGAATAATTATTTCTACATAGGCCTTTTGGATTGATTTTGATGGAACTCTGTTCCCCAAGGAATCTCAGATGAGACTTTTTTTTTTTTTTTTTTTTGAGACAGAGTTGTGCTCTGTCGCCCAGGCTGGAGTGCAGTGGCGCGATCTCGGCTCACTGCAAGCTCCGCCTCCCGGGTTCATGCCATTCTCCTGCCTCAGCCTCCTGCAGATAAGACCTTTTAAAGCTAAGCCCAGCCATAGGTTTGCATCCTTAAATAACCCCGAGTTGGGTGATCCTCTCCTCTTAAAGTCACATAATAAACTTGGAACTCCTGGACCTGTTAGAAAGTGACATTCTTTACTGACCATAAGTCATGAACCCTGTACAGGGACCGTGTAAACAAGGGTATGAGGCCAGTCTCCTCCTGGGGCTTTTATTGGTTCTCCAAGTGAAGACTGACTCCTTCAAGGGAAGCATAGCCTTCCAGTCAAAGCCTTGGTAAAATAATCACTTTCTCCAATTGTGTCCTGTTGCAAAAGAAAAATGAATTCTTATTGCACTGATTCAAACAACTGTATTGCCATAGGAATACTCACAGATAGTTTCCAAATTTTAGAGGAACCAGGCAGAGAGAAACAAACAGGCTCCAAATCTTGATCACAGAAGTGTATACCTTACTTAATTGTTAAAAGCTGTAAATAATTCCAAATAAGTTTTCTTGACTCTGAAAAGCAAAACAAGAATCAGCAAAATATTCCAAACAAATGTTGCTTCAGCTTTCTGAGTTCAGTTCATTTAGTTAACTCTTGTTTTGCTTGATATTCTTGAACATTTAAGCTCTTTATGAGTCCTGTACATTTTCCTTTATTCCAATGTTATGATCTCCAAAGTTATCAGAAGCTTGTATTTGAGAGTGCCTGTTAAAGTTCTATAGCTCATTATAAACCATCTTTGAAAAGGATTAAAACAAGATAACAATTGTCTGTGAATAGCAAAATGTCCAGGGTAGTTACAGTTAGAAACACAATCACGCAGTGGCTCATGAATGTAATCCCAGCACTTTGGGAGGCAGAGGTGAGTGGATCATGAGGTCAGGAGATCAACATCCTGGCTAACACAGTGAAACCCCGTCTCTATTAAAAATACAAAAAATTAGCCGGGCGTGGTGGTACGTGCCTGTAGTTCCAGCTACTCAGGAGGTAGAGGCAGGAGAATTACTTAAACCAGGAGGCAGAGGTTGCAGTGAGCCAAGATCATGCCACTGCACTCCAGCCTGGGCAACAGAGCAAGACTCCGTCTAAAAAGAAAAAAAAAAAACCTTAATTATTATTGATAGCATATACTCAGACATTAGAATTTTAGAAATCCCATACAATGTTGGAACATATATTAGCATTATTCACCAAGATATAATCTAAAAAAGATTGAGCATCATTTTGGCAATCCCATGTACCTAAACATCTCAAATAATCCTATTTACCTCTCTTTCCTGGACACTTCAGGGGCCATCTGAAATATTTGAAAAGCCAGGTGCCATGGAAGACAATTTTGAAACTGAAGTTTGATTTTGGGAAGGTTGTTAAATGTTCAAGGTGTTTTAAGACATTTCTACTTCATTCTACCAATAATTTTAAAACTATATTTATAAAAGATTACTATAATTACATGTATTGAAAAAAGCATTTGAGCTTATTTACTTAATTTATGAGTACTCATTTATCTTTACATTAATTTGATACCATGTGTAAATAATAAACATATGTATAGACATATACACATATGTGATACAACATATATACATGTCCACATAAACATAGAGGGAGACAGATGTTAGTGTTTTGATTTTAGGAGTTTAAACATGGGACCAGTAAAACTCACTATTTTTAAAAAGACAGTTGAATTCAAATTGTGCCTTTGTAAATGGAAAAGGTTAACATTTATCTGAGGAAGGCTTTACTGAGTTTTAGAAAATGGGTAGCAAATGTATACCTCAAAGCACAGAGAGATTGAGAATTTAAGGTTTTACAAGAAGGAATTTGGGTGTGTTCAAGGAAGATTAAAAATAGATGCCAAGGTAACACCAAAATGATAAAAATTTACCATAGGATTTTATAAGGAGATAAATTTTATTTAGATATGTAGATTTTAATTTGGTCTCCGTTTTCCAACTGGTCCAGGGAGCTTGGAGAGGAGCGCATTAAAGAAGAGGGCCAACGAAGTATTTGTAATTTTTAGATCTTAATAATTTCAATGTGTAAAGGGAGACCCAGTTGTAAGGGACAGCATCTAGACTTTTAAAACTCAAGGATTTCACTGAATCCCGCGTCCCTAAGAAGAGGAATATGCCATGGGGATCATACTGTGAAACACTTCCATAGTGTACTTTGCCAAAATGGACTTTTTCTAGTTGTTTAAACCATGTCTTTCTTATCTAAACATGCAAAGAGATGAGTAGCCCTCTGAAGTAATAATCACTGACTAACCACTGTTAGTTACCTCAAAAACCATAGCTCTTACCACTGACCCAGCAGCCATTACACAAGGAAGGTCGAGTCTTTTTACAGTACAAAGTAAACTCTGAGCCGGGCACAGTGGCTCAAGTCTGTAATCCCAGCACTTTGGGAGGCTGAGTTGGGCGGATCATGAGGTCAGAAGTTTGAGACCAGCCTGACCAACATGGTGAAACCCTGTCTCTACTAAAAATACACTAAAAACACAAAAATTAGCCGGGTGTGGTGGCATGTGCCTGTAGTCCCAGCTACTTGGGAGGCTGAGGCAGGAGAATCGCTTGAACCTGAGAGGCAGAGGTCTCAGTGAGCTGAGATCGTGCCATTGCACTCCAGCCTGGGCGACAGAGAGAGACTCCATCTCATTAAAAAAAAAAAAAAAGGAAAACAAAAAGTAAACTCTGATCCCCCAGAAGCCAAAAAGGTCAGTCAACACAGTTGAAAAGAGAGCAGAGTTTTAGACCTGAGAGGAATCCATTCACTTACAACTCTTGGGATTCCATGAGGAAAAACTGTGGTTCTTTCCAAACAGGGGAGTCTGTGGCATCTTTTCTGTTTTCTTTAAGGGGTACCAGGCTGTTAGAAATTCTTTAGGTCCCCTCATGTAGCATCAAGGGTAGCAAAAGAAAGGAGGAACAGAAAGGAACTGAAAAAGAATCCTTGAGAAAGAAACAGAGAGACTAAGTATATGATTTTGAAAGATTTCAGTCAACTGGAAAAAAACTTTTAAAGATACAAAAAAGAAAAGCAGAAAGGCCTTGAGGCCTTCAAGCCCTTTCTGAATGTATATACAATATGAATATATATATCCTATATATTCTATAGGAATATCTATATCCTATACATACATTCTATAGGAATATCTATATATCCTATACATACATTCTATAGGAATATCTACATATCCTATATATATTCTATAGGAATATATATTCTATATGAAGATATATATTTAATATAAAATAAATATATGGCTTGAAAATCAGCTTTTAATTAAGCTGACTTTTAACAATAGAGCTCTTTTTAAAAATTCTTTGCTTAGCAGCCAAATGTAGCTGAGTCATGGCACCAAAGAATATTAGCAGCAGCAAATCTGTACAAGCCTATAGCAACCTCAATTCTTGCCTCTTCAGAAGAAAGAATTTGACTAAGGGGCATAAGGCAGAAGCAGAGACTGAGGCAACTTTTATAGCAGGAGTGAAGTTTTATTAAAAAGGTTTAGAGCAGAAATTAAAGGAAGTAAAGTACGCTTAAAAGAGGGCTAAGCAGGTGACAAGAGATCAAGTATGAGGTTTGACATTTGACTTAGGCTTTTGTATGTTGGACTAATTCTGGGGTCTGCATCTCTCCTCCCCTGATTCTTTCCTTGGAGTGGGCTGTCGGCACGCACAGTGGCCTGCCAGCACTTCGGAGAGGAGCATGTGCAGTGTGTTTACTGGAGCTGTGCGCATGATCACTTGAGGCTTTCTTCCCTTACCAGTCAAAGGTCCCTGGAAGGTCATATACCAATTAAACTCTGCAATTTTGCCTCTTAATGCACATGCTTGAGCCCACTCACCCAACTTCTGAGAACTTATCGGGAAGCTGCTAATCACCAGTTTCAGGTGTTTCCTATGTATTGGGAGACTGCCTTTTTCTGGCACTGGCTGTGGCCAATTATTATTTTAGAAAGACAGTTAACAACTGCCTGACCATCACCTAATAGTCACCTGATAGTCCTGATGCGGGGGACGGGAGGCTCTCTCCTGCCCTGCTCATGTCTGACTAAATACATGTAACACTTTCAGATTTCTTACTATCAGATTTTAGCTAGGACAAACAGGTGAAACTTCTGGTTTTTGAAACTTTTTTACCAAAAGTATCCTCCCATCTGAAACTAATAAGCCTTAATCAAGATTACGACTTAGCCAAGACTTAGCCAAGGATGTATGAGGCATCTCCAAAGAGGTAAATGAGTACCTTAAAAAGTCAAAAATCACATAAATATCAAAACAAAAGAGGCTGGTTCCTTGACTTGAAACAAAATCCAGGTCAGGAGTGAAAGCATGGAATTTTAACTATTCCATGAAATGGAATATTGGAGTGGCTTTTATTCTTACTCCCTCAGGGGATCTAAAGCAAGCAGTTTGAGCTTACAAAAAAATTTAACTTTGTTTTAGGTCAGATTTTTGCTCTGAAATTTAGTCAAGAGAATTTTTAAGGCTAGCCAGAACACGATTACGTGTCTTTCTTTGAAATTTGATCCTCCTACCAACTGTTTAGAATAAGAGATCTCTAAAATACTTTTAACATAGGAGTCTGATTTCAGGAATCCATCTTCTGGCCATAGACAATTAGAATTTCCAGTGGTATATTGATTCTAAATAGCCCTCAAGTCAATAGCCCTCTTCAATGAAGAAGCAATTGTAGAGGTCTTTCCCCCAACCCCAACAAAATAAAATATTCACTCCCAGCAATAGGCTAGGATAGCAAAAGACTCTTGTTGCCACAGCCCTATCCAGACAACAGAAGTTGGAATGACAAAAGCCCCTTATGGATGGGACTTCTTATGACAAGCCCTCCTGGGAGCTTGACACATTTGGAACAAACAAAACAAAACAAAAAATCTCGGGTTCCCAACCATTTTAAGGCTGGTCACCTAATGTGACTCAAAAATCACACACTGCTGATAATGGAGACCAAGAATGAGTGCTCCCACTTGGTCACAAATCAAGCCCTCAAGGGCATATGACAAGATGAGACAAGGAATATGACAAGGAAACTTTATCCAGTACCCCACTTCATGAACAACACAGAAGAAAAGAGATGAAGGAAAAGACTGTCGACGAAAAGAGCCAAACTCTGTAAAGTATTTGAGGAGATTTAGTCTGAGCCAAATATGAGTGACCATGGCCCGTGACCCAGCCCTCAGTAGGTCCTGAGAACCTGTGCCCAAGGTGGTCGGGGTGCGGCTTGGTTCTATACATTTTAGGGAGGCATGAGACATCAATCAAATACATTTAAGAAATATATTGGTTTGGTTCAGAAAGGTGGGACAATTCAAAGTGGGGACTTCCAGGCTACAAGTAAATTTAAACATTTTCTGATGGACAGTTGGTTGAGTTTGTCTAAATACCTTGGATCAATAGAAAGGAAATGTTCAGGTTGAGATAAAAAATTGTGGAGACCAAGGTTCTTTTGAAGTCTTATAGTGGCTGCCCTTAGAGACAGCAGATGACAAATGTTTCCTATTCAGACCTTCAAAAAGGTGGTAGGCTCTTACCGAATTTCTTCAGGATTGGGAGGGCCTGGAAGAAGAAGACCTAGCTATGTTAACAGAGATTCTTTACAGATGCACATTTTCCTCCACAAAGGACAGCTTTGCAGGACCATTTCAAAACATGGCAAAGAAACATGTTTTGGGGTAAAATATTTTGATCTTCTTTGTCACATAATGTTATGCCAGAGTCAGACTGGAAAGTAAGTCATGATATTTAGGGTTAAATGAAACCCATCTGCTGAGAATTTATGGTTTGTAGGGTATGACTTCCCAGACCACTTAGATAGGAATTTGGGCAAGATAAAAAGATCAGAGCTTAGTTAGCAAGACTACCTCTGGGAAAAAAGGGATTAAACAATATGAATATTCACACCCAAAAATTACTAAAAAGTATACCAGAGTCACTACATGAAGACTAGTCATAAACAAATCTTCCATTCCCATTAATCAAAATGTAGTGGAAGAAACGCTGATTTTTACCATCTGATTAAAAAGATTGCACGGACAGAAGCCAGCAGCCTTGAGTGTAATAAATTCTTACTGTTTTGCTGGCTGATTATTTTCTTGCATTCCTGCATGGCCAAAAACAGGTTATGATGGTAAATCAGGTTTCAGTGGCAAGACAAGTTATAGATGAAAGAAAAACTGTTTTTTTCTAGCAAAGCTGGTCTTGTTATGTAAATGAAACCTTGTAGGTGGCAGCCCTCCTAGAGAATGGATGGTAAATATTTCTTTTTGATATATAAGTTAGAAGATTCAGTTGGCCTCTCCCTCTCCCTCTCCCTCTCCCCATGGTCTCCCTCTCCCTCTCTTTCCACGGTCTCCCTCTGATGCCCAGCCGAAGCTGGACTGTACTGCTGCCATCTCGGCTCACTGCAACCTCCCTGCCTGATTCTCCTGCCTCAGCCTGCCGAGTGCCTGCGATTACAGGCACGCACCGCCAGGCCTGACTGGTTTTCGTACTTTTTTGGTGGAGACGGGGTTTCGCTGTGTTGGCCGGGCTGGTCTCCAGCTCCTAACCGCGAGTGATCCGCCAGCCTCGGCCTCCCGAGGTGCCGGGATTGCAGAAGGAGTCTGGTTCACTCAGTGCTCAATGGTGCCCAGGCTGGAGTGCAGTGGCGTGATCGCGGCTCGCTACAACCTCCACCTCCCAGCCGCCTGCCTTGGCCTCCCAAAGTGCCGAGAATGCAGCCTCTGCCCGGCCGCCACCCCGTCTGGGAAGTGAAGAGCGTCTCTGCCCAGCCGCCCATCGTCTGGGACGTGAGGAGCCCCTCTGCCTGGCTGCCCAGTCTGGAAAGTGAGGAGCGTCTCTGCCCGGCCGCCATCCCATCTAGGAAGTGAGGAGCGCCTCTGCCTGGCCGCCCATCATCTGAGATGTGGGGAGCACCTCTGCCCCGCCACCCCGTCTGGGATGTGAGGAGCGCCTCTGCCCCACCGCGACCCCGTCTGGGACGTGAGGAGCATCTCTGCCCGGCCACCCCGTCTGAGAAGTGAGGAGCCCCTCCGCCCAGCAGCCGCCCCGTCTGGGAAGTGAGGAGCATCTCCGCCCGGCAGCCACCCCATCCGGGAGGGAGGTGGGGGTCAGCCCCCGCCAGGCCAGCCACCCCATCTGGGAGGGAGGTGGGGGGGTCAGCCCCCCGCCCGGCCAGCCGCCCCGTCCAGGAGGGAGGTGGGGGGGTCAGCCCCCCGCCCGGCCAGCCACCCCGTCCGGGAGGGAGGTGGGGGGTCAGCCCCCCGCCCGGCCAGCCGCCCCGTCCGGGAGGGAGGTGAGGGGGGTCAGCCCCCCGCCCGGCCAGCCGCCCCATCCGGGAGGTGAGGGGCGCCTCTGCCCGGCCGCCCCTACTGGGAAGTGAGGGGCCCCTCTGCCCGGCCAGCCACCCCGTCTGGGAGGTGTACCCAACAGCTCATTGAGAACGGGCCGGGATGACAATGGCGGTTTTGTGGAATAGAAAGGGGGGAAAGGTGGGGAAAAGATTGAGAAATCGGATGGTTGCCGTGTCTGTGTAGAAAGAAGTAGACATGGGAGACTTTTCATTTTGTTCTGTACTAAGAAAAATTCTTCTGCCTTGGGATCCTGTTGATCGGTAACCTTACCCCCAACCCTGTGCTCTCTGAAACATGTGCTGTGTCCACTCAGGGTTAAATGGATTAAGGGCGGTGCAAGATGTGCTTTGTTAAACAGATGCTTGAAGGCGGCTTGCTCGTTAAGAATCATCACCACTCCCTAATCTCAAGTACCCAGGGACACAAACACTGCGGAAGGCTGCAGGGTCCTCTGCCTAGGAAAACCAGAGACCTTTGTTCACTTGTTTATCTGCTGACCTTCCCTCCACTATTGTCCTATGACCCTGCCAAATCCCCCTCTGCGAGAAACACCCAAGAATGATCAATAAAAAAAAAAAAAAAAGAATTTTCCCAGATCCAGATAAAGGAAGACCTGCCTGCATTAATAAAGATTCTCTACAGATGTAAATTTTCCCATGAGAGACAGCTCTGCAGGGCCACTTCTGTTTGCTGACCCTCTATCAGCCACCTCAAAATTTGTCAAGGAACTATACTACTATACTTTGGGTTAAAATATTTTTATTTCCTTCAACCAGCAGGTGTTTCTAGAGCTAAAATTTGATGTTATGCAGTTGGGGTTTTTCCATTTTAGAGGCCTGGTTCATCATAATGTGGAGCTCCTGTTGGATTTGACCAACTTGGAAGGTGTTTTAAACTCTAGACACGGTGAAGGGTTGGTTAAATCCAAAAGAAGAATGATAAAAACCAAAATCACAAAAAGCAATTGCACAAATTACATACTGTTGAACACTCTAGGCATAAGGAGAGGTTAGAGCCAAGTATCAAGAAACCTTAACCCTTAACCTACAACTACCAAATTCTAAAACAAAACCCCAAACCAGCTCCTTAGCTGAGAGGAAACCAAGCTGAAGGCTGTTCTCCATTGTCACAGGAACAGGAAACTCATCTTCCTTATAAGAAGTGAGCAAAGCTGGGTGGGACTACAGGGGCATGCCATCATGCCTGGCTAATTTTTTATATTTTTAATAGAGACAGGGATTCATCATGTTGCCCAGGCTGGTCTGCACCACCTAGGCTCAAATCCTGCCTCAGCCTCCCAAAGTGCTGGGATTACAGGGATGAGCCACAATGCCCAGCCACCCATCTTAAAATCTTACTTAATAATTACAATATTTGCACACATGCAAACATATGCACACGTGTGCATACTCACAAAAAGCAGATGATTTGAGATGACCATGAATATCTCTACAGAGAAAAAAAGATAAATCTACATCTCTAATTCACATGACATGACAATCTTTTAACAACAGATAAAATTCATTGACATTGAGAATGTCTGTTCTTCAAAAGGCTCCCAATTTTCCCTCTCTCCTACATACACAAGACGTATACAGACATGTGTATCTATCTAAATGACAAAGAAGCCACACCCAAGGTACATAACAAAATAACAATAAGAGAAAGACTGACAACACAATGTTTTTAAATGGCAGAAAACTCTAAGAGGCACCAGATGGTAGAACATGTGTAATGGCCCATGACGACATGAAAAGATGCATTTACACTGTTGTTTATTTAGGAAAGGCATATTAAAACCATTATGAAATCTCATCCCAACAACATAAGAAAGGCTAAAATTCAATCGACTGCCAATAACAAGAGTTGGAACAACTGGACACGGAGATGTTGCTGGTGGGAATTTAGATGTGATCAACTCTCTAACAGGAAAATCTACAATCTTAGAAGTTCCAGCATATGCAATGGTCTCTACACCCAAGGAAATGAGTAAGGCCACCAAAATATGTGTGTAGAAACGTCCACATCAGCATGATTCAGAAGACCCAAATAGTGTCGCAGTCCAAATGTGCAACAATACAGGGGATAAAACTGTGGTGTATTCAAACTAATGGATAATTTACAACATGAAAATAAATGGATTCCTGCTACATAAAACATGCATGATCTCACACAACTAGTTGCAAGAAAGGAGCCAATGCAGAAGGGAAAATGAAGCCTGATTCTACAGCTATAAAGTTCCCAAGAGGCAAAACTCATCTCTGGTGATAGAGATCAGAATGACAGTGACCTGGTGCTTGCAGTGGCTGGGAGGGGCGCAGGAGTGTCGCTTGGTGCAGACAATGTGCTCTGTCTTGATCTGGACAGGGCTGTCATTGGCACACACAAACATGCAGACATTATGCTATGTCCATGTTACTTCACCAAACAAGAAGTATAAAATCTCTTCAGTTTAAATTTTTAAAATCTACAAAACAATCAAAGACCAGCTCCTATCAACCTTACACAACACTTCCAGAGAAAAAGAAAATAAACAATACTCATTAACTCATTTTTGTGGAAGTAGAACCTTCTTATCAAAGGCCAACCAGGAAACAATGAAAAAGTAAAATTGCAGGCCCTACTCAGAAACAAAGACGGAAAATCCACAAATGAAGTACGACCAAAATGAGTCAGAATTTA
Source organism: Homo sapiens (assembly GCF_000001405.40). Classification (NCBI taxonomy): domain Eukaryota; kingdom Metazoa; phylum Chordata; class Mammalia; order Primates; family Hominidae; genus Homo; species Homo sapiens. Next base: position 42,607,569 of record NC_000019.10, on the reverse strand, counting down.
CCACCTTGAGTTGCTTCCCCAGAAATGCAAGGTTTAACATAGTGTTTTAACATCATGTTAAAATGCCACACTTTAACATAGCAACGTTAACAATTGTTTTTACTACATCAACAGATTAGCTAGAAACAAAATTATTATTAGCAGAACAGAAGCAAAATGGCATCATTCCATCATGATGGAGACAGTACAAATACTCTGGGCAAATGATGAAGAGAGGTGCCTCTTTTCAGGCCCTGGAGGGAAACTACACCCTGGTGGCTGTCACATTCCTCCTGATTCTTCCTGGTGAAGGCCCTCCTTGAAATCTCTGGGAGGACTCGTGCCCCACTGGGAAAGGCTCCATCTGGAAGTTTACACAGCAGCCCAGCCAAGGTCCTCAGGCACAAATCCTGAGTGACAGAGGCTTTAGGGACACAGGCGCATGGCCATGTCCCCAGCACCCACACAGGGCAGGAGTGTCTGGACCCTGAGTGTGCGGCCCCGTGCACGGACCCAGCCCCTCCCCAGTGACTTGGGCCCTGGGGTGGCTCCGGGTCCCCAGTCCATGCACAAAAATCTCCAGAGTCAGGCTCCTCCCTGGGGTTCCTGATGCCTGTCCAAGAGCTGCCCCGTGAGCAAACCTAAAGACTGTTGAGGGCTGGGATTGTGCCAGCCACGCTTGTCTTAGAAAGGAAAGGTAGAGCCTGAGTGCCGGGAAGGGCGAGTGCGCCCTCTAGTGGGCACCTCCTGCTAAGGAGCAAAAGGAAGCCAGGAGAGTTGAGAGATCAGGGCTGGCCTTGGACTAAGAGCAAGTTCAGGTGGAGAGGACTGTTGGGCAACGATGGAACTGAGGTGAAGGAGTGGTCGGGAGAGATGGGAGAAGCAGGTGAGAGGAAGCCCCAGGGAAGCTGAGGAAGGGCACCGCAGGGCTCTCCACTCCTCAGCAATGACATTTGGGGTGGTCATGCTGGTGGGGCTGTCTGTGAGCTCTAGGATGTTCAGCACCATTTGTGGGCTCTCCCCCAGCTCTGACAACCAACAATGTCTCCGGACATTGCCAGATGCCCCCTGGAGGGCAAAATTTCCCGTCCAAATCACTGATCTATCTTAATATCTACAAACAAGTCACCAGTAAAATCTTTCATCTCTTGGTAGAAGAATTGTGAGTGTGAGAGTAAAACTGACATCTTCAATATCTGTTGAAATGATTTTGACTTAATCAGAAACTTGATGTCTCAGGAGAAGACACGTTTAGAGGTGATGCCACATGACTACCTGTACCTCACAGCAGGAAGCGTGAGGCTTTTCCAAGGGTCTGTAACCACAAATCGAAAGGGTCTACAGTCCACCTCACTCATGCCTGTAATCCCAGCACTTTGAGAGGCCAAGGCAGGCGGATCACGAGGTCAGAAGTTCGAGATCAGCCTGATCACCATGGTGAAACCCTGTCTTTACTAAAAATACAAAAATTAGCCTGGCTTGGTGGTGTATGCCTATAATCCCAGCTACTCAGGAGGCTGAGGCAGGAGAATCGCTTGAACTCAGGAGGTGGAGGTTACAATGAGTCGAGATCATGCCACTGTACTCCAGCCTGGGTGACAGATTGCGACTCCATCTCAAAAAAAAATCAATTCTCTCATTAAGAAGAAATATCTTATGAAGAAGAAATTCATAGCAAAGGAATTTCTATATATTTTCAAAATTGTATACTGTTAGATTATTCCTTAAATATGAATCCATCCCAAAATAGACGTAGTAGCTAGACTGTGCTAAAGTCTCATGCCAGCCCTGTGAGCTCACAGCATTCTGCTGCCCCTGCTCTGGACACTGTCTCAACCTCAGGGGCTCAATATGGGGTAGGAAGGTGTTTTGAACATCTTCACCATTCATCCGTCCACCTCTCACACCCATTCCAATCTCAAACCTGTTGCCCACTCTTGAATTTGATCTTTAAATTACTGACCTCTATTTCTGTCCCTCATTCATCCCAACATGAGGTGGGCCAAGGTTGTTCCTTCTGCACATTATTTTGAGAAAAAGTACTCAACATTAGTTTCCCTCACCTCTCTTGAACTGACCTCCACCTGCAGCCCTATAATCATTACCAGCAGCTTTTAGACACTTTTTCTGGTAGTCAAATGCTTTCCATCTTTTATGGGGAAATGTAACTCGCTCCACCCTGAATACAGAGTTCCAAGTAGAAATGAACACAGGGATATTACCTTTGTGTTCACAGAGAAAATAGTTTCTATAAGAATGTATAAAAGTTGAAATTATAGGAGAGTCCACTTAAAACACACATTGTGTTCACGGTTCTCACCATTTCCCTAAGAGACATGTTGTAAAACATGACATTAATAATGATTCTAGAAAAATAAACATTGATCACATTTGCTGATATTGTTTTCTTAAAATAATTTTAAAAGAATAAGGTGGTCCCTTACATGTGCCCAGGCCAGGCATCTGAACAGAATTCTCCATCTGCAGTGACAATGCCTGACAAGATGACATAGACTGTGGCCTGATATGCAGCCATCCCTGTCTACCCGCTGCCTGCTACAGGACACAACCAGCCCAGGCCCCAAATCTTCAGTTAGGGAGCTAAGAGAGGACATAGGATACCCAGTGTCTCTTACCTTCTTCCAGTCCACTGCAATGGGTACCACTGTGATCCATTTGCCCCTGAGGACACCCACTTCCTGGCCCCTAGTTTCTAAGAGTCAGACCTTTCTGGCTTCTCTGGGTCCCAGCTGCTTTCACCCTGCTGAGCCCTGCTCCTCCCCTGCCTTGCCAGGTATCACTTCTAGCTCCTGCTGACAGGTCAGCCAAGATCCGTGCACCAGAGGATAAACAATGATTTTAATATCTACTGTGTCTGGTGGAGATGTGGGTTGTACAGAGAAATAAAGAAGTAGAGATGCATACAGCTCCTCCAACAACACTGTGTTCCAAACGATGTCGTCTCTGCCCATCATCATGGAACTTGCTGTCCCTCACCACATGGCCAAGTGCTTCCAGGATCTCTCAATTTTTCCACAGGAGGCAATGCACACTTTAACACAACACCTCAGCAAGGGAAGTGGGGATAATTTATCTATTTAGATTAGGTTCCTAAAAAGGTCTCTAGACAGCCAAATTCCCTCCAGGAGGAAAGAGAAAAGCCTTCCCCAATTGTGAACCATTGACCTAGTTGTTTTTCAAAAAAAAAAAAAAAAGTACCCCTAAATAGCCAAAACAATCTTGCCAAAATAAATTGGAGGACTTGTACTTTCTTATTTGAAATCTCATGAACAGTACAATTATTAAAAGGGTGTGCTACTGGCATAAGGATACACACAGAGACCAATGGGATAGAACTCAGAGTCCGGAAATAAACCCTCATACTTATGGTCAATTGCTCCTTAACAAGAGTGTCAAGATAATTTAATGGGGTATGAATAGTCTTCTCAAATAATGGTTTAGGGACAACTGGATAACCACATGAAAAACAACTTATGGAACTCTTCATCCCACCATATCATACAATTACCTCAAAATTGATCAGTGACTTAAATATAAAAGCTAAAACCATAAAAATGTCTTAGAAAAGATGTAGGGGTGAATCGTGATGACCTCAAATGTGACAATAAATTCTTAGATATGACATGAATGCAGGAGACACAAAAATGAAAAATAGATAAATTGGGCTTTATCAAGATGCAAGTATTTTTTATATCAATGGACATTATCCAGAAAGTGAAAAGACCAGACACAGAATGGGAGAAAAAAATTGCAAATCTTATAGACAAGGGTTTCATGTCCAGAATATATAAATAACTGCTACAACTCAATAACAAAAAGACAAACCTCCCAATTTATAAATGGGAAAAGGACTCAAATAGACATTTATTCAAAGAAGATATACAAATAGTTGAGGACATGAAAAGACCCTCAACTTCATTAGTCATTAGGGGAATAGTTACCATTCTTTTAAAATGTTAAATAACAAGTGGGAGACTTATGTAGAATTTAGAATCCTTATACATTGCTGGTGAGAATACAAAAAGGTACAGCCACTATGAGAAACAGTTGTGCTCTTCCTCAAAGAGCTAATCATAGACTTCCCATATAAAACAACATCCTTTCCTAGGTATATACCCAAAAAATTGAATCCAGAGACTCAAAGAAGTACTTGAATGGGAATGTTGATTGCAGCACTATTCACAATAGATAAAATATAGAAACAACCCAAGTGTCCATCAACACATGAATAGATAAACAAATATGGCGATACATACAACAGCAAGTTAATCAGCTATAAAGAAGAACAAAACTCTGACGCACACTGGAACATGGATGGACCTCGGAAACATTATGCTATTGAAATATGCCAGAAACAAAATGACATATGTGTATGACACCACTTATATGAAACATCAAGAATAGGCAAATTCATAGAGACAGAAAGCAGACTAGAGATTACCGAGGTCTAGGGTGGACAAAATCGGAAGTTATTGTTTAAAAGATACACGGTTGGCCGGGCGCGGTGGCTCAAGCCTGTAATCCCAGAACTTTGGGAGGCCGAAGCAGGCAGACTACAAGGTCAGGAGTTTGAGACCAGCCTGGCCAAAACAGTTCAAACCCCATCTCTACTAAAAATACAAAAAAATTAGCTGGGCGTGGTGGCACACGCCTGTAATCCCAGCTACTCTGGAGGCTGAGGCAGGAGAATCGCTTGAACCCAGGAGGCAGAGGTAGTAGTGAGCCGAGATCGCGCCACTGCACTCCAGCCTGGGCAATAGAGAGAGACTTTGTTTCAAAACAAAACAAAAAAAAAAAGATAAAGCGTTTCAGTTTGGAATGATGAGAAATTTCTAGGAAAGATAGTGGTGATGGTGGTTAATTCCATTTGATTGCACATTTTAAAGTGGTTAAAATGGCATAATACATAATAAATGTATTATGCATATTTGTAAATATGTATCATATATGTATATGTAAAACCCACCCTGATCAGATAGCCCTCATATACTTATATGCAAACCCTTCATGACTTTATCCAGAGGGAGATCCAAGAATTTGGAGACATGAGGCTGCCCAGCCAACTGCAGATGCACAACTTAAATGTATTTGCAAAGAGACTGAGAATTAAGCTGGGGGCACAGACCTCAGCACTGCCAGGACAACACCCTCCCCATGGATTCTGACTTTATCTGACCTGGCCCACTATCCAGACCTTGATGTGGGGGTGGGGCAGGGGAGGTCATGAAGCCTGTTCTCTGGACACTCTGTGTAAGCACACAAGACCCCCCATTAGGTCTCCAAACACAGCTCTGACTCTCTGGACATTGTGGGAAGGAATCTATCTTGGGCTCAGGGAGCACACAAGGCAGTCAGTTACAGAGAATAACATGGAGCTTGAGGAGCTGGTCGCTGACACAGAACAGGTTCCCTGCAGTCCATGGTCCAGCCCACTCTAATGTACCCACCCCACTACAATCCAGGCACCCCTGAGAAACAGCTTTTGGGCCTCCTCTGGGGTGACACATCAGGTTCCCTCACTGTCAAACTGTCCACAGAGAGCAGCACCTTGGACAGCACCCATTCCAGCTTCACACTTCCTCCCTGCCAGGGATCAGTGTTCAGGGCTCAGAAGAAATGGCAGAGGCCAGTGAGCCCAAAGATGGTGAGAGGGGCAGCAACCCAGGGGCAGCTCCCTGGAACGAGAGCAGGTGGGGCCACACGGAGAACGTGGTGCAGGAAGGAATACCCAGGAATGGGCAGGAGAGGAGTCGAGGACACAGGCTCTGTGGGTCTGCAGCCTAGGGTGAGATTATGAGTGTGAAGCCATCTCAGCAGAAAAGGCCAGGTCCCATGAACAGGAGGGAAAGCAGCTCTCACCTCCCCTGCTAGAAACTGAATAAGTCAGCCTGTAATCCCAGCACTTTGGGAGACCAAGGCAAGTGGCTCATTTGAGGTCAGAAGTTTGAGACCAACCTGGCCAACATGGGGAGACCCCATCTCTACTAAAAATACAAAAATTAGCCAAGGCGTGGTAGTGCATGCCTGTAATCCTAGCTACTGGGGATGCTGAGGGAGGAGAATCACTTGAACCTGGGAGACAGAGGTGGCAGTGAGCCAAGATCATGCCGCTGTACTTTAGCCTGGATGACAGAGTGAGGCTCCATCTCAAAAAAAAGAAAAAAGAAACTTAATGTGTCCCCCACAAAATTGTTGAAACTCTCATCCTTAATGAAATGGAATTTGGAGGTGGGGTCTTTAGGAGGTAATTAGAGAATGACTAGGTCATAAAGCTGGGGGCTTCATGATGGAATTAATCCCCTTATAATAAAAGGAAAATACAAGAGAATGGCATCTCTCCTTCTCCCTCGCTCTGTCTCTCCACCCCTTCAAAAACCCGCACCATGTGCAGATACACAAAGAAAGTAGGCATCTGCAAGGAAGCCCTCACCAGGGCTGAGTCACCTGTCTCCTTGACCTTGGATTTCCCAGCCTCCATAACGATGAGAAATAGATCTCTATTGTTTAAGTCACCCAGGCTATGGTGTTTGTTATAGCAGCCCAAGCCCAGAAATACATCATCTAGCCCAGGGTTTTGAGTGAAACTCTTCAGGTTCTCTATCAAATTAGCTGGCAGCTCCTGTCCCCAGCAGCACCAAGGCCTCAAGAAAAGCACTCCAGCAGGGGCTCAACCTGCATGGGTCCCTTGGGTCAGCCTCGATGTCAGGCCCCAGATGGCAGGTGAGGCTTCAGTGAGTGACACAACCACAATGTAAAAGTGTAAGAGTTCTGGACAGGTGTACTGGCTCATGTCTGTAATCCCAACACTTTAAGAGGCAGGTGGATTACCTGAGGTCAGTAGTTTGAAACCCGCCTGGCCACCACAATGAAACTCCATCTCCACTAAAAATACAAAAAATTAGCCAGACATGGTGGCACAAGCCTGTAATCCCAGCTACTCGCGAGGCTGAGGCAAAAATGAACCCAGGAGGCAGAGGTTGCCATGAGCAGAGATTGTACCGCTGCATTCCAGCCTGGGTGACAGAAAGAGACTCTGTCTCAAAAAATTAGAAATAATAATAATAAAATAAAGTGTAAGAGTTTTACTACTTACAGACATGGGGGAGCACACAGCACACCTGGAGACCACAGACACAGAGGTCAGGGAGCCCAGGGAGGGAGGAGAGAAGAGTCCTGTAAGCCAGTGGCTTTACTGGGTCCACAGAGTTATCCGACAGGTTTACAACAGGGAGCTTTAATGGACAGGTTTAAAACAAGTGAACACTGGGTCAAGGAGATCATACTGTGACTGAGAGGTGGTCACTTTAAATTTGAGGACAAATGTCAGAATGATCAGTTTAAAGGAAGCAGCTGGAGGGAGGGGAGCCCAGGAGAGATGCCTCTAAGATTTTATCTCTGGCCACCAACTGGAGCCTTTTTGACCGGGTACAGTATTGGAAACTGTCATGGTGACCAAGTCCTGCCTCTGATATGAGGCAGTTAAGCTTACACCTTAAGAAATGGATGCCAAGGACACATGAAATTATGAGCACTCACAACACCCAGGAACACAAACAGTGGGTTGCTGTGCCCCAGAACCAGGTGCTGTGCCCCAGAATTTGTCCCTGACAACAAGAAATGAAGATGATTTGTCCCTGCTCCCCCTGCTCCCCTAACATTGATATTCCCGCCCTGCACCTCCCTCTTCTGCTCCCAAACCCCTGCCCAGTGCTCAGCTCAAGGCATCATTGCACCCCGGGCATACACAGTACAACCTACTGCACACAAACACAAACTCACAGAAGGTGACACAAAATCTGCATTTGGAACATCTGACTGTGAAAGAGGCAGGGCAGTGAACTTGCAATCACAGAGACGGACTCATGGGTCTGGAATGTGATGGAGTTCTCCTATACACCAACAGTGACCAGGCTGAGAATCAAATCAAGAACTCAACTCCTTTTACAATACTGGAAAAAAATACTTAGCAATATACCTAACCAAGGTGGTAAAAGATCTCTACAAGGAAAACTACAAAACACTCCTGAAATAAATCAGAGATGACACAAACAAATGGAAATACATCCCATGCTCATGGATGGGTAGAATCAATATTGTGAAAATGACCATACTGCCAAAAGCAATCTACAAATCCAATGCAATTCCCATCAAAATACCACCATTATTCTTCACAGAACTAGAAAAAAAAATTCTAAAATTCACATAGAACCAAAAAGAGCCCACACAGCCAAAGCAAGACTAAGCAAAAAGAACAAATCTGGAGGCATCACATTACCTGATTCCAAACTATACTATAAAGCCATAGTCACCAAAACAGCATGGTACTAGTATAAAAATAGGCAGATGAAACAATAGAACAGAACAGAGAACCCAGAAACAAACCCAAATACTTACAGTCAACTGATCTTTGACAAAGCAAACAAAAACATAGTGTGGAAAAATGACACCCTATTCAACAAATGGTGCTGGAATAATTGACAAGCCACATGTAGAAGAATGAAAGTGGATCCTCATCTCTCACCTTATACAAAAATCAACTCAAGATTGATAAGGACTTAAATCTAAGACCTGAAACTATAAAAATTATAGAAGATAACATCAGAAAAACCCTTCTAGACATTGGCTTAGGAAAGAGTTCATGACAACCCAAAAGCAAATGCAATAAAAACAAAGATAAATAGCTGGGACTTAATTAAACTAAAGAGCATTTGCACGACAAAAGGAACAGTCAGCAGAGTAAACAGACACCCCACAGAGTGGGAGAAAATCTTCACAATCTATACATCTGACAAAGGACTAATATCTAGAATCTATAATGAACTCAATCAAATTAGCAAGGAAAAAACAAACAAACAATCCCATCAAAAAGTGGGCAAAGGACATGCATAGACAATTCTTGAAGAAAGATATATAAATGGCCAATAAACATATAAAAATACTCAACATCACTAATAATCAGGGAATGCAAATCAAAACCACAATGCAATACCACCTTTCTCCTGCAACGATGGCCATAATAAAAAATAATAGATGTTGGTATGAATGTTGTGAAAAGGGAACACTTCTACACTGCTGGTGGGAATGTAAACTAGTGCAACCATTATGGAAACCAGTGTGGAGATTCCTTAAAGAACTAAAAGTAGAACTACCATTTGATCCAGCAATCCCACTTTTGGTATCTACCCAGAAGAAAAGAAGTCATTATACAAAAAGATACTTGCACATGCATGTTTATAGCAGCACAATTTGCAATTGCAAAAATGTGGAACCAACAAAAATGTCCATCAATCAATGAGTGGATAAAGAAACTTGGTATGTATATATATGTGTGTGTGTGTGTGTGTGTGTGTGTGTGTGTGTGTGTGTGTATGATGGAATACTACTCAGCCATAAAAAGGAATGAATTAATGGCATCCTCAGCAACCTGGATGGGATTGAAGACTATTATTCTAAGTGAAGTGACTCAGGAATGGAAAACCAAACATCGTATGTTCTCATTCATAAGTGGGAGCTAAGTGATGAGGATGTAAAGGCATAAGAATTACAAAATGGATTTTGGGGACTCAGGTAAAAAGGGTGGGAAGGGAGTGAGGGAAAAAATACTACAAATTGGGTTCAGTGTATACTGCTTGGGTGATGGGTGCACCAAAATCTCAAAAATCACCACTAAAGAACTTACTCATGTAACCAAATACCAATCGGTTCCCCAAAAAACCTATGTAAATAAAATATATATTTTTTAAAAAAAGAAAAAGAGGGGTAGATCTTGATGACTTCGAATGTGGTAATGGATTGTTAGATATGACACAAAAGCATGAGCAACAACAAGGAAAAAGAGATAAATTAAGCCTTATGAAGATGCAAGCCTTTTGTGCATCAAAGGACATTATGAAGAAAGTGAAAAGACCAGGCACAGAATGGGAGAAAAAATTTGCAAATTACATATAGAAGAGCTTCCTGTCCAGAATATATAAAGAACTGCTACAACTCAATAACAAAAAGACAAACCACCCCGTTTATAAATGGGCAAAAACTCAAATAGACATTTCTTCAAAGAAGATATACAGGCCGGGTGCAGTGGCTCATGCCTGTAATCCCAGCACTTTGGGAGGCTGAGGCAGGTAGATCACAAGTTCAGGAGTTTGAGACCAGCCTGGCCAGCATGGTGAAACCCCACCTCTACTAAAAATACAAAAATTAGCCCGGCATGGTGGTGCACGCTTGTAGTCCCAGCTACTTGGGAGGCTGAGGCAGGAGAATCGCTTGAACTCAGGAAGTGGAGGTGATATATGAATGTACATATATACACTCTACCACAATTTTTTGAAAAGTCTTTGGTGAAGAAAACCTACTACGTAAAACATACCCACCCTAATCAGATAGCCCTCATACACTTACATGCAGTCCCTACATGACCTTATCCACAGAGAGATTCAAGGATTCAGAGACATGAAACTGCCCAGCCAACTGCAGATGCACAACATAAATGTATTTGCAAAGAGACTGAGAGTTAAGCTGGAGACACAGACCTCAGCACTGCCAGGACTCTCACCCTCCCCCATGGATTCTGACTTTATCTTACTTGGCGCATTATTCAGATCTTGTTGTGGAGTTGGGGCAGGGTAGGTCATAAAGCCTGACCCCAGGACACTCTGTGTGAGCACATGAGCCACACACACCCCATTAGATCTCCACACACAGCTGTGACCATTGTGAGGAGGACTAACACAGGCTCAGAGATCACACCAGAGAATCAGCCACAGAGAAAAACACGGATGTGGAATGTGATGGAGCTCGACATAACATGTGGGTGACCTCGTGTGAAATGTGCAGATCCATGTGGAATAAAACACGCAGCCGGACCTGGGACTGCGGCCACCCACACTTCCCTTCCAGTCCACCAGAGGGCGACAGAGTCCCTCCAGCCTGGAGCCTTCCCAGGGGCTGCTGACCTCCCTCAGCGGAACCCACAGCCCAGCAGGGTCCACCCTCACCAGGGCACCTCGGCCCACGTCCTCCTTACCCTCCAAGCTCCCCATACGGACTCTGTCAGCTCCTCCCTGCAGCCAGGCAGCCGGCAACATGAGGCCGCCCCCTCTGCAGGCAGCTCCTGCCCCACACACCCAATCCTTCCCTGGGCCTAGTTAAGGCATCTCCCAGGGCAGCGCTGGTGCACGGGATGCCACACTGGGCGCTTTCCCCTCGTGACCTCCCTCCATCCTCATCAACTCTTTCTGTGACTGCTCCCTAAATACCCGCCCCTGCTCCGTGTGTCCTGTTCTCTACGGCATGGCAGGCTGAGCCCAGCGCTGACAGAACCACAGCTGCCTGAGGGCCCACAGTGCCTCTGGGGAATCAGCCAGGCACCCTATGACCTTCCCTCTGCACCCCAGGAGGCTCGGAGAGTATGTGATGGTCACGCCCAGGCACTGTCTGGGATGTAGCCACCTGCCCCCTGCTGTCCTTCGTGAAGCCAGGAGGGAGGACAGCGCTCTCTCATGTACACAAGCTGGGGGGCAAGGAATGAGCTCCCTTTGTTCCCAGAACATGGCCCACCCCTACCTGCCCTCTCAGGTGTGAGCAACGTCCCCCCAGACGGGCTCCCCGGCCGCTGCCCATCCTTTCTCTACACAGAGGGGCCTGACCAGGTCCAAACCCTTAGGACAGACCCCAGGGGATATCAGCATGGGGAGGGCTGAGCCCATCCTGGCTGCAGAGTAAGTTGGGATGAGTCTCTCCAGCTCTGAGCCCCTGCTCTGTCCCAGGCTCCCTCTCCTGGATCTCAGAGAGCACTGTCTTGTGGGGCCCCTGGGCAACTCCCCACTTCCTGCTGCACCAACCATAGGGAAGGTGGGGTGACCACAGGACAGTCAGCCGGGCGAAAACAGAGGACACCCAAGATGGTCAGAGAGAACATGGAAGGCCCGAGCCCCAGCTCAGCTGCCAGAACCCAAAGAGCAAGAGAATGGCTGATACCTGTCCCTGATGACCACTAGGCCCACAGCCCCCACTGACCAACCAGAACAGCCCTCTCTCTCAGGAGGCATAAGAGATTATTTGCCCTGCACACCACCAGTAAGGACAGTCCCCTCTGGGATATCCAGGGCATTGAATGTCCATCCTTGGAAGCTGCAACCAAGCTTGACACAATGAGAGAGGGGGAGGATCCCTCTCACCAGTGAGCACACACCTCCCCAAAGCTCAGTGGTGGTGTCCCTGTGACAGGGTCCTTGCGGAGCGCTGACCTCCTGATCTGAAGGGAAGAGCCAGATGGGGATGGGAGAGGGCAGGGGGAGCGACTGTGCACCCCGACCTGGAGACATAGGCTGCAGGATGCTGAGGGCACAGGGCTGTGCTCACCCAGTCTCCAGGGTGTATGTGTGACTGTGTGTGTCTCTTTGTGTATGTGTGTGTCTCTGTGTGTGTGTGTCTGCATAGTGTGTGCAGAGGTTGGGTGAGAGAATCACTGCTGAAGGAGTCAGAGACCTCAGCAATTCCCAGGGGCCTGAAACACAGACAGAAAATAAAGGGAAAGGAGGGACAGGGAGGCAGGACTGAGAGGGGAGGGGACAGAGAGGTGTCCTGGGCACAGACCCCGCCCATGAGCCTGAGAAGTGCTCCTGCCCCGGGAAGAGGCTCAGCACAAAAGGAGGAAGGACAGCACAGCTGACAGCCGTGCTCAGAAAGTTTCTGGATCCCAGGCTCATCTCCACAGAGGAGAACACGCAGGCAGCAGAGACCATGGGGCCCATCTCAGCCCCTTCCTGCAGATGGCGCATCCCCTGGCAGGGGCTCCTGCTCACAGGTGAGGAGAGGACTTCCTGGGAAAGGACAGGAGGAGGAAACACAGTGACTGGCTGGGGTCTCCTGGGGAGGACGGGGCTCTGAGAGGGGACAGAGGACTTCTGTTGGAGCCTTAATAGAGGAGAGGACACAAGAGAGGGGAAGGGGTCACAACAGGAAAATCACATTGAACTGGAATTGGTAAGAGGCAGGAACATCTCAAGTGTTCCATATTCCTGGTTAATCATCACTGGCCACTACATTTTGAAAAATGATAATAATAACCATACCAGATGACACTTCAAATAAAGCATAACCAGGGTATGAAACATTGTCCTCAGCCAACAATGTCAGACATTGGCAAATAAGCCTCAGGAAGCAGAGGGCCCAGGGAATGCTCAGGAACTCATCCACAGGAGTCTGAAGCCTGTCCCAGGCACTGGGGTGCAGCCAACACCACACAAGTCCCTGCCCTCACAGAGCTCACACTCTCCTGGGGAGGAAGACAGACAAAGAGATCTAGAATGTGAGGTCAGGCGCTGACAGGAGCCCTGGAAGGAACACAGCAGGGAAAGGTCAGAAAGGGAAGACCCAGTGTCTCTAGAGGAGGTGTCAGAGAAAGGGTCTCCCAAGGATGCCCTGATGTGAGCAGGATCTGAGGGCAGTGTGGAGGGAGCCGTGCAGAACCCTGAAGAAGAGGATTCCACCAGGGAAATGCCAAGGTCAGAGGTGTTGAAGAAATGGGGGCTGTGCTGCTGACATTGACTCAGTAGGACACACACACATACACACACATAAAAACACACAAACTCCAAAGCTGATGTCCCCATTTTTCTACTCCAATACATATGTTGCAATATTGCTTGATGCTCTCTCCCCCTCCTAGCCTCACTTTTCACCTTCTGGAACCCGCCCACCACTGCTCAGCTCACTATTGAAGCTGTGCCATCCAATGCTGCAGAGGGGAAGGAGGTTCTTCTACTTGTCCACAATCTGCCCCAGGACCCTCGTGGCTACAACTGGTACAAAGGGGAAACAGTGGATGCCAACCGTCGAATTATAGGATATGTAATATCAAATCAACAGATTACCCCAGGGCCTGCATACAGCAATCGAGAGACAATATACCCCAATGCATCCCTGCTGATGCGGAACGTCACCAGAAATGACACAGGATCCTACACCCTACAAGTCATAAAGCTAAATCTTATGAGTGAAGAAGTAACTGGCCAGTTCAGCGTACATCGTGAGTGATTCCCCATGACCTCTGGGTGTTGGGGGTCAGTTCTACTTCCCACACACAGGATTGTTAGGCCTGGGCTGTGCCCATGTCCCTCTCTGCATTACATCCCACTTTAGGGTTTGGACATTTAGTGCAGGACACACTCAGGGGAGACAGACTTCCACAGACCAGAATTCCTTTCCTGCATCCAGACCCTGCAGACACTCACGGCAGAGGAATGACAGTCTGATGGGGGGACTCAGCAGAAGGAGATCAGACTCAGCCAGGCACCCCGTGCCCTCCCCATGGACCTGACCCTGAGAAAAACTCTAAAGAACTGGGTCAGGGCCTGACCTGAGGGGCTCCCTGGGATCCTGGGATCCTCACAGAGAAGTTCATCCCTGGAAGCCCCTGCTCCAGACCCCTGTCCCAGGATCCTGACTCCAGGTAACCCTGGGAAACCTGTGCCAGCACTGGGTTGTAGCCTCCTGGGCAGGGCCAACTAGGAGCAAAGATTTACCAGCCATCCAAGGGCTGTGGCTCCTGGAGCTGCTCACCAGCCAGGGCTTAGACCCCAGAGCCTCATCTGGGCAAGGACAGAGTCTTGTCCTTCACCTGAGACTCAGAGTGGAGAGGACAGATGGACAAGCTTCTTAGGCCATCAGCCAACTGGCCTGGGAGGCTTAGGAGACTCCATAGAAAGTTCAGTGTCCCCAGGGACAGAAATAGAAGAAAGATGTTCCTAACAGCAACTTGTCCAGCAGGGATCATGCCAAGGGGACCCTCTCATGGAGGCAAATAATAACCCGTGCTGTTTGTGTGAGCGCCTCCTCTGTGCAAGCTTCAGGTCAGGTGACTATGGATAATTTAATGCTAATTCATAGAAAACCTGGCAGAAAATATCATTTTCCTATTGAGAAAGAAATAATAATTCTTTTTATTTCTTTTTTTTTTTTTTTTTTTTTTTGAGACGGAGTCTCTGTGGCCAGGCTGGAGTGCAGTGGTGCGATCTCAGCTCACTGCAACCTCTGCCTCCCGGGTTCAAGCGATTCTCCTGCCTCAGCCTCCCGAGTAGCTGGGACTACAGGTGCATGCCACCACCCCTAGCTAATTTTGGTATTTTTATTAGAGACAGAGTTTTACCATGTTGGCCAGGATGGTCTCGATTTCTTGACCTCATGATCCGCCTGCCTCGGCCTCCCAAAATGCTGGGATTACAGGCATGAGCCACTGCGCTCAGCCTATTATTTCTTTTAATAGAAGCTTATTATTGAGAAGAAACGGAGGCACAGGAAGACACAGTCACTGAACCAGGGTCACACAAACACGAGGGATAGATCAGGGTCACATGAGGTCTCTCTCCAGCCACAGCCCCGTCCTCTCTTCCACAAGAAGGCAGGGCTTATTGCGTTCCACGGACCCCATGGTCATCCATTGGCTCAAATCCTTTCTTCCTGAGCATCCAAAGCTCAGAGAAGTGAGAGCAAATAAGCAACTGATTCATTCGTACTCCAGAACTAAATCACCTGCCCCAACTGTCAGAGCCAGTGCGAGGAATGTCCAGGCTCCCTCTAAGATCCTAACCCCCCTCACTGAACCTGAAATCCTGTTTCCTGATGTGTTGCTGTCACTCCCATGGGAGGACAAAAGAGAGGACTTTGCTTTCTCTCCCCACTCACACCCTGCACCAGGACAGGCCCAACATGTGACACACACTCGATCGTTCTCTCATGGAGAGGGAATGAATGAGAGAATGAATGATGCAAAACCTCTTTAGAGACTAGATCCTGGATGGCCAGGCAGGTGCTGTCTGATGGGCTTACTGCCTGTTCCACACACATCTGTGTCCTCATGATGGCACCATTGTGATAAGATGGGGTCCTTCAGGTGGGGAGACGCATGAGCCACTGGCGTCTCACTTAGACTCTGTCCAATTCGCAAAAACCTAATCCAATTCTACTTGTGTCTCCCGAGGTCAAGAGAAAATGAAGAAAGCATTGCGCATACCTGTTTTGGGCTCCTCCCAATTTTGCCTAACTCTGCATAGGAATTAGGGGCAGGAAGCTTTCTAAATTTACTAACATAACACACATCGCTTCTCCTAATTTGGCATTGTTCCTCCCTTTATGGAATTGACACACCTAAGACTTCCTCTCTGACCGGTTCTGTCCTCTTAACAGGACTCACGTGCCTCCCTCTACCTGGGAGTTGCTAATTTCAAGCGAACTTCAGGATCTTCCTTTGAGCATAATGTGATCCTGCTGGAATTCACAGGACGCCTAAACCTTATTTTGTTATCAAGAGAAATACTCCTTCCACCAATTGATTTTAGATCTGTGGACAATTAATAGCAATTTCTACTTATGGAAAAAAATTCATGTTTCCTCCAATTTTGTTTTTGACTATAGTCAAAACATAATATCTAAACTCCTGACAAATTTTAAAATGCAAATTAGAGTTACACATTGACCATCAAAAATCCCAAATCTGAAATGCTCCAAAATTCCACATTTTTTGGCCACTAACGTGATTCTCAAAAGAAATGCTCACTGGAGCATTTTGGATTTGGGATTTTCAGATTTGAGATGCTAAACCAGTAAGTATACTGCAAATGTTCAAAAATTTATAAAAGTTAGAAATTCAAAACACTTTTGGCCCTAAGCCTTATGCATAAGAAATACTCACTGTATATGAGCTATAGGCACAAAGCTGTACAGCAGATCTCTAGAACCTCCTCATCCTGTGTAACTGAAACTGCAGACCCATGAACAACTCTCCATTCCCCCCACTCCCAGCCCATAGCAACCACCATTCTACTACGTGATTCCATGAGTGTGACTACCCTAGGAACCTCATGTAAGTGGAATCCTACAGTATCTGTCCTGTCAGTGGCTTATTTCACTCTGTATAATGTCCAGTAGGAGAAAATATTTGCAAAACTTCTTCCCAAATTTCTCTCTCATAACTGTCAAACACCCACGGTCCATGAGGGCCAAATTTCCAGCACTTCAGGCTCCCCCTCCCCACCCGTCAGTTTGCATTTGCAAATGTCCACATGTATTTATGGGAGGATCCACAGCTCCTCATCTGCCCCCCGCAGGGAAAGAAGGGACATTAAAAACCAAGGAAAGGAAACAAGGTTCTGCTCCAAAGCCACCTGTTCTTGCCTGTCCCCTTCACTCCTTCTAGATCATTCCTTGGACTCTGCTCTATCTTTAGAGGTCACTGACTCAAGTAAGTCACGATGAAACACCTGGGAAAAACTGCCCCACCTTGTGGCTCCACTGCCTGACGACGGAACCGACCTCCAGGCTTGCCCCGGCCTCCCCTGTGTTATTTCTGTTGAAACACCCAGTCAGGAATTAAGGATAGTGGCATGTCCCATCATCTCCCATCTCTAGAATGTTCTTGGAAACAGAACCCTCAAAAACACACCTCGAAGGGCAAAGTAGGACTGTGAAGCTGGAAGGGACCCAGCACCTACATGTTCCAGGTGAGGACCCCTAGGTAGGCCAGGCAGGCAGCCGGTCAGGGAGGGACCAGAAGAGGCACCAGGATCTGTAACTCCCAGTCCTGGGTCTGTCCACAACCCAGCGCTGCTGCCCAATTCACATTTGAGAAAGTCTGTGTTTCTCCCACACAGAGAAGGCGGCCTCATGGTCTCTGAGCCCCGATCATTGTGCATCTGTCTTGTGACACACACACCCACCGTGGGCTTTTAAGGACTCGAGTAGGCTGAGAGGTGGGAGATGCCAACTCTAATTGAAATTTGCCTGTGGAGGAATCAAAGGTGCCACACAGGGCAATCTTCTCTCTGTTTTCTGCACAGCGGAGACTCCCAAGCCCTCCATCTCCAGCAACAACTCCAACCCCGTGGAGGACAAGGATGCTGTGGCCTTCACCTGTGAACCTGAGACTCAGAACACAACCTACCTGTGGTGGGTAAATGGTCAGAGTCTCCCGGTCAGTCCCAGGCTGCAGCTGTCCAATGGCAACAGGACCCTCACTCTACTCAGTGTCACAAGGAATGACGTAGGACCCTATGAATGTGAAATACAGAACCCAGCGAGTGCAAACTTCAGTGACCCAGTCACCCTGAATGTCCTCTGTGAGTATCTTCTGTTCCTCTGTGGCCCAGGCCACCAGCCCAAATCCACGCAGCCAGAGGCCAGGCCTCTCAGTCCCTCTCAGCTCCAAAAATGCAGATTCCCCACCCACCCCTAGAAACCCAGCTCGTCATGACTTTCTGCCCCAGGCAAACATGGGTAGGCCTAGCCTTGACCAAGAATAAGAGGGGAGGGGGTGCTCCTGTCATGGGAGACTTGGAGTCCACATCTTCTGATGGGAGAAACAGGTAAATGTCTCGGACTCTGTCTCAGTAGAAACAGCGGGGGTTTGGTTGGGGTTGGTTGGGACTTGGCTCAGGTTTGTGACTTGGCTCAGAGGGACACTGTGGCTCTTCCACAGACCAGGAGCTTCCCCTTCCCTCTGATGACATCACCTGTGACTTTATTCTTTTGCTCTAGATGGCCCAGATGCCCCCACCATTTCCCCTTCAGACACCTATTACCATGCAGGGGTAAATCTCAACCTCTCCTGCCATGCGGCCTCTAATCCACCCTCACAGTATTCTTGGTCTGTCAATGGCACATTCCAGCAATACACACAAAAGCTCTTTATCCCCAACATCACTACAAAGAACAGCGGATCCTATGCCTGCCACACCACTAACTCAGCCACTGGCCGCAACAGGACCACAGTCAGGATGATCACAGTCTCTGGTAAGTGGATCCCTGGAGCACTGGCAGTATGTTTTCTGGTAGAGTCTATCTGGCTTTCAGAGATGAGCCAGAAAAAAAGTTTTATTCCCAGCCTGTGTCCAACAGCACAAGCAAATCCCCAACTTTTCTCCTAAACCCTCCCAGTTTATCTCTATAGACTCTCTTCTGCCTGTTTTTCTGATTTCTCTTGGCTGACCTCGGGGCTGACCTGAGAAACGTGGAGAGGGGCCTTCGTCAGCCCCAGAGCCCTATGTCATGGAAAGGACTTCACCAAGGGGGAAGAAGGAGGGTCCTCAAGGTCAAGTTGCTTTTCTTTGTCACCAACACATGGCACCCCTGTTTCTGTTACCCCTTTGTTTTCTTTTACCTATGCCATTAGCTGCAAGAAACATCCAAGGCTTTGAAACAAGCCCACAACGTTCCCCAAATGGGAGGAGGAGCCCCTTGGATGACGGAGGAGCAGCTCAGACTGCTCCCATCTCTGCTCCCAGCTCCCTGGTGACAGGCCCTGCCCTGACTCCACCTGGGGTGGGACCCAGGTGTATGGAAAAGGTGCTCAGGTGGCCTATCCCAAATCTGGCTAAATCAAGTTGCCAGTTGAAGCCAAGCCTCCCCCCAGTCAGGCTGCACAAAAATGGGAAGACAGGGAGCCTCCGGGAAGACTCCTGAGCAGTGTCCTAGCTCTGAAGTCACGGGCTGCATGAGGCTGTGGATACAACACAGAGGACAGTGAGTGATGCACACTTGGAGACACAGGGAGATTCAGCCACAGGGTCTCTGCATGAGAGGGAAGGGGTAGTGCCAGTTGCCCAGGCTGGAGTGCAATGGCACTATCTCGGCTCACCCTCCGCCTCCTGGGTTCAAGCAATTCTCCTGCCTCAGCCTCCCAAGTAGCTGGATTACAGGCATGTGCCAACACGCCCAGCTAATTTTGTATTTTTAGTAGAGATGGGGTTTCTCCATGTTGATCAGGCTGGTCTCGAACTCCCGAACTCAGGTGATCCACCCGCCTTGGCTTCTCAAAGTGCTGGGATTACAGGCATGAGCCACCACTCCCAGCCACCATTAACTATTTCTATGCGTGCAATTTAGTGTTATGTAACCATCACCACCATCCATTTCCAGAACTTTTTCATCTTACCATATTAAATAAACTTCTCTGCCCAATAAAGAGTAACTCTCACTCCTTCTCCCTCTAACCCCTGGCAACCTCCATTCTACTTTCTGTCTCTATGTAATTGATTATTCTAACAACCTTATATAAATGGAATTATATAATAGGTGGCCTTTTGTGTCTGGCTTGTTTCACTTAACATAATGTTTTTAAGGTTCATCCATTTTGCACCATGTATCAGAATTTTCTTCCTTGTTAAGATTGAAGAACATTCCATTGTATGGATACACCTCACTTTTCTATCCACTTATCTTTCAATGGACTTTGCAGTTGTTTCCACCTTTTGGCTATTGTGTGACTAATGCTGCTGTGAACATCAGTGTACAAATATCTGTTCAAATCCCTTCCAATTCTCTTGCATATATGTCCAGAAGTGGAATTGCTGGATCCAATGGTAATTCTTTGTTTAATTGTTTGAGAAACAGCCATACTGTTTTCCACAGTGGCTATAACATTTCACACTTCCATCAGCAATGCACTAGAGCTCCAATTTTTCCACTTCCTTAAAAACACTTGTTGTTTGTGTGTGTGTGGTTTTTTTTTAATCAAAGCCATCCTAATGTGTTTGAGGTATTCTATCATTGGGGTTCTGATTTGCATATCTCTAAGTATCAGTGATGTTGAGCATCTTTGCATGTGCTCATTGGCCATTTGTATATCTTCCTTGGAGAAATCTCTATTTCAGTCTTTTGTCCTTTTTTAGTTGGGTTTTTGGATTTTTGCTGTTGTGGATTTGTAGTAGTTCTTCATATACTCTGAAAATTGATCCCTTATCATACATGATTTACAAATATTTTTCCCACTTCAAGGTTGCCTTTTCACTTCCTCGACAATGTTCTTTGATATATAAAAGTTATTGATTTTCATGAAGTCCAACTTACCCATTTTTTCTTTTGTTGCCTATGCTTTTGTTGTTATAACCAAGAAACCACTGTGAAATCCAATGTCATGGAGTTTTTTTCCCTGTGTTTTCTTCTGAGAGTTTTATAGTTTTTACTCTTACATTTGGTCTTTGATCTACTGTGGGTTAGTTTTTTGTATATGGTGTCAGGTAAAGGTTCAGCTCATCTTTCTGCATGGATTTCCAGCTTTCCCAAAATCATTTGCTGAAAAGACTGCACTTTCCCCATTGAGTGGTATTGGCATCCTTATCAAATATCATTTGGCCATATATGCAAGCATTCCTTTCTGGGCTTTCTGTTCTATTCCGCTGGTTTCTGTCTTCCTTTACGCAAGTACTGCATTGTATTGATTACTGTGGCTTTGTAGTAAATGCTGAAATCAGGATTCAGCATTTTTTTTTCAAGGTTCCTTTTTTCATGATTGGTTGGCTATTTTGAGTCCTGAAATTCCATATGAACTTTAGGATAGATTTTTCTATTTCTGCAAAAAAATGTCATTGGAATTCTGATAGAAATTGTGTTGAATCCATAGCTCACTTTGGGTGGTATTATCCTCCTAACAATACCGTGTCTTCCAATCCATGAAAACAAAATGTCTTCCCATTTTTTGAGGTCGTATTTAATTTCCTTCAGCAATGTTTTCTAGTTTTCAGAATACAATCCTTTCACCTCCTTGGTTAAACTTATGCCTAAGTATTTTATTCTTTTTGATGTTAATGTGAATTAAAATTTTTTTCTTAATTTCCTTTTTAGATTGTTCATTGTTAGTGTATAGAAATGCAACTGATGTTTGCATGCTGATTTTGTATCCTGCAACATTACTGAATTTATTAATAAATTCTAACAGGTTTTTTTCATCCTTAGAGTTTTCTACAAAGAAGTTCAAGTTGTCTGTGAACAGACAGATAATTTTACTTCTTCTTTCCAATCTGAAAGTCTTCTTTTTTTCTTGCCTAATTTCTCTGGCTAGGACTTGTAATACTATGTTAAATAGACGTGGCAAAAGCAGGCATCCTTGTCTTGTTCCTGATCATAGGGGGAAAGCTTTCAGTCTTTCTCTATTGAGTATGATGTTAGCCTTGGGCTTTTCACATACTGCCTTTATTATATTGAGATAGTTTCCTTCCATTCATACTTAGCATGTTTTTATTAAGAAAGAATGTTGAATTTTGTCAAATGAAATTTTTATTCAATCTTCCTACTAATTATAGGTCTATTCAGATTTTTTGTGTGTGTTTCTTGGAATTTGTCCATTTCATCTAGGCTATCCAATTTATTGGCATACAATTATTCATAGTACTTTTGTAAACAATATTTCTCTAGAATTGATATATAATATCTCCATTTTCTTTTCTTTCTTTCGTTTTTTTTTTGTTTGTTTTTTTTTTTTTTTTGAGAGAGAGAGAAAGACGAGTCTCACTCCTTAGGTCAGCCCAGGCTGGAGTGCAGAGGTGCGATCAAAACTCACTGCAGCCTCAACCTCCTGGGCTCAAGCAATCCTCCCAACTCAGCTTCCCAGGTAGCTGAAACTACAGGTGCATACCATCATGCCCAGCTGAATTTTTGTTTTAATTTTGTAGAGACAGGGTCTCCCTATGTTGCCCCAGCTGGTTTCAAACTCCAGGCCTCAAGCAATCCTCCCAATTTGCCTTCCCAAAGTGCTGGGATTGAAGGTGTAAGCCACCATGCTGGGAGTCCATTTTCATTTCTGATTTTAGTAATTTCCATCTTGTCTCTTTTTTTCTTAGTCAGTCTAGTTAATGGTTGGCAATTTTGTTGATCTTATTTTGAAGAACCAACTTTTGGTTTCATTGATTTCCTCTATTGTTTGTCCATTCTCCATTTCATTTATATCCACTCTAATCCTTATTACTTCCTTCATTCAATATATTTGGGTTTAGTTTGTTTTTCTCCTGTACCATGAAGTTGCAAATTAGGTTGTTGATTTGAGATGTTTCTTCTTTTTTAATGTAAGACTTAACAGTTATAAATTTCTTGCACAAGATTCTTAACTTCTCTGAGCCTCTGATTCCTCAACTGAAAATTGCAGTAACAGTGTTTGCTTCATAGCATTGTTTTAAGAGTTTTATGTAATCATCAATGAAACCTTCAGCAAAATGCCCCACACAGAGGAAATGTTTCATAAATTTTAGCTGATATATTACTACTGTTATCATTAGCTTGAAGCTGAGTAGTCCTAGAATCAAATCTCAAGTCTACTTCTCACCAGCCATATGACATCAGGAAAGTTTTTTCACCACTCTAAGCCTCTGTCGTTTCATCTGTAAAATGGAAATAATGTTCTACCCAAGAGAGTTATTGTATAAATCAAATGAGGTAAAGTATTTAGCACAGGGCCTGGCCCATAGGAGCTGCCCCTCAACAGTAGCTAACATAGCATTAATCATCAGCCTGAGTTGACTGGTGAGGGCCAAAAGTAAATGGTTCCAATAGAAATAAAGAAACAGATGCAAAAGGTTGTGTGTGTGTGTGTGTGTGTGTGTAAAAGGTATCTTAGGTAAATACACACACATATAAAAAAAAGGCAACACAGGAAACACGAGGACATGGTTACTGGTTACACGTGAAAGAGAGAAAAAAAGCTAAGTGCAAAGAATCAAACCTGGTATGTTAGTTTTTAACCCACTGAGATGCAACCAAGATGAGATTAGACACGCAAGATAATTTACTAGGAAAAACACCTGTGAGGGAAAATGGGGCAGGTGTGAGAGGAGCCTGGGAGAGCCCTCAGACCACGATGCAGATTTGATTCCTGTGAAGGAGAAAGAAAAAGAAGTTTTAGATAGCAGTGCAGTTCTAAGTGAGTTTAGGCAAGGCTGATGGGGCGTCCTCCAACTAGTCACCCATCAGAGTTAAACAGAGTCTCACAAAACTGGGCTTGCTTCCATACCCCTGCTGGGAGCCCCTGGGAAGAGAGGTCTCTGTGCAAAGGAGGTGGTCAATTTGGAATGCACTGACCTGGGCCTTCTGTCAATCAGCTCCCTGCCATAGAGACCTGCCACAACTAAGACACTGAGAAAAAGATGCAACCATGAAAAGGTGGAAAGTTCTAATGACACATAAAATAGCAATCAGCTTTTTCACATCACAAAGCCTTCAAAATATCTGAGTAAAGAAATGCCAGGATGAAATTGACCGAAGACTGATCGTCAACCTAGAAACATGGTGAGAGGAAAAAATCCTGCAAGAATATAGTTGGCTAATCACGTCCCAGCAACCTTCCCACAAAAATAATGTATTCCTTGAAAAAACAAGTAGAGACTACTTCATGCTAGGAGCTGGTTCCTGGGGTACCCCACTGTAAAATGGCATCAACTTCATTCCTTCTCTTCTTTTCTTTCCATGACAGATGCTTTAGTACAAGGAAGTTCTCCTGGCCTCTCAGCTAGAGCCACTGTCAGCATCATGATTGGAGTACTGGCCAGGGTGGCTCTGATATAGTAGCTCTGGTGTAGTTTCTGCATTTCAAGAAGACTGGCAGGTATGATGGCCTTTCCTCTTGTCCTGTTTCCTGCAGGGCTGACCGCCATGCTTGGGAGAGAGACCTGTATCCCGGGAATGGATCTCCTCCTCCTCCCAATAAACTCCTGCTTCTCAGCACTAATTCCTGCAGGTCTCTTCTTCCCTGGTCTGCATGCTCCCTGTACCCCACTGTCTCTTAGATGTGATTATTCCCAGCCTCTGCTCATTTGTTTCCCAGATTCAATACACTATGAAAGTCTTTTGATCCTTTCTTAACATCTCTCACTTGTGTCATTTTATCCATTCCCATAGACCTCAACAACTGCTCGAAGTCCTGCTTGACTTCTTGTCTCTAGTATTTGAAATCTTCCTTGCATATGATTGTCTCATTACCTTCCTAAAATCTAGTTCACTCACTTACTCAAGAATCTTCAGAGGCCTACTCTGGCCTATTTGATAAGTTCACATTTCTTCTCTTTACTAATTCTTCTCACTTCCATTCCCTCTACTCCCTAGTATAATTCCTCCATCCTAATTAGAACTGTCTTCCTACACTTCCCTGCGCATCTACCCCATATACACATAGAATTCTTAGTTCCAATGCTATGCCTAGAAACAGGGTAATCTCCCATCCACTATCTGAACTGTGGAGTTGCCCACATACCCTTCAAAGCAAGCAACCTCTGACCTCATGGAGAACAACGACTCTAGCATTAATGTGTGAACCTGAGATTCAGGACACAGCCTACGTGTGGTTGAGAACCTTTTCCTGATGACCAATTCATGTGTTCATGAAAGATACAGAAATGAAAAAGGCAAGATCCCTACCCCAGAGAACATACAGCCTAAGACAGGAGATAAGATATGAAAAATAATCATAATACCAAAATAGAAAAAAGTGAATGCCACAAGAAATCAGAGAAATCTGATGGGAAATATAGCCACACATTGGAATCACTGAGAAATGTTTTTTTAAATGATGCTCAAGCCCCATCCATAAATTCTTACCTACTATCTGGAGTGGGACCCAGGCATTGGTAATTTTTAAGCCTTCCCAGATGCTACTAACATGTAACCAGGATGGAGAACTCCTGTTCTAATAGGTAGCACATGAGGCTAAAACAATGGTTCTTTAGCTGGGAGTATTAGAATTTCCTAGAAAACTTTTTCAACATATACAAGCCTATATTTTGCTGGCCCTGTTCATTAATGGGCTCCACCAAGAACTCAGTAATCCAGTTGAGAAACAGAAGCTAAGTGGAAAAGCCACCTTATTTTATATATATATATATATATATATATATTTTTTTTTTTTTTTTTTTTTTTTTTTTTTTTTGAGACGGAGTCTCGCTCCGTCGCCAGGCTGGAGTGCAGTGGCACAATCTCGGCTCACTGCAACCTCTGCTTCCCAGGTTCAAGCAATTCTCCTGCCTCAGCCTCCCGAGTAGCTGGGATTACAGGCACCTGCCACCACGCCCAGCTAATTTTTCTATTTTTAGTAGAGACGGGGTTTCACCATGTTGGTCAGGCTGGTCTCGATCTCATGACCTTGTGATCCACCCGCCTCGGCCTCCCAAAGTGCTGGGATTACAGGCATAAGCCACCACGCCCAGCCTTACTTGATATGTTAAATTACATGGAAAGCATTGTCAATTGATAAGTGGTGCTAAACCTTCTCTAAGTTATATTTACGGTTATGTTACCGATATGAGTGTTCCAAAAATTATGAGTTTCCTAGAAATCGAATATGTTATCAGTCATAATGTCATATGCCACAGAAGTAACTAAATTTCTATGTGGCTGTGTCTTTATCATAATGAGCTCTCCTCAGAGTTTTAACCATAGTCATTTTCAATCTTTGTCATTCACAGACAGTTGTTTTTATTCTTCCTCAAAGCATTTGCAATCAGCTACCATTCAAAATTGCTTCTTCTTCAAGATTTATGGAAAATACTCTGACGAGTACTCTTGAACACAAGTTCCTGATAACTTTAAGATCACGCCACTGGACTGTCTATGAACTTGCAAACAGGCTGATACCTTTGTGAAGTTGCCCACCAAAACACAGAAGGAAAAAAACATGAATTTCATTGAACTAAATAATAATGAGGATAATGTTTTTAAGATTTTTTTTTTTTTTTTTTTGAGATGGAATCTCGCTCTGTCGCCCAGGCTGGAGTGCAGTGGCACGATCTCAACTCACTGCAAGCTCCGCCTCCTGGGTTCACACCATTCTCCTGCCTCAGCCTCCTGAGTAGCTGGGACTACAGGCGCCTGCCACAACGCCCGGCTAATTTTTTGTATTTTTAGTAGAGACGGGGTTTCACTGTGGTCTCAATCTCCTGACTTCATGGTCCGCCTGCCTCAGCCTCCCAAAGTTCTGGGATTACAGGTGTGAGCCACCGCGCCCAGCCCGTTTTTAAGATTTTTTATTTGAAAAATTGCCAATTCTTTAAGTGTTTTCTTTTTCAGATTTATGAATTTCTTTATCTTTTAAGCTATCTATACCTTACTGCAATTTGGTAAAGCAGACTTTTGTGAACAAAAATTATAACATTTACTTTTGCTCCCTACCTGACTGCCACAGAACTGGGCAACTATTCATGAGTATTCATATGTTTATGGTAATTCAGTTATTTGCACAAGTTCAGTGAGAATCTGCTGTCTTTATAATGGGATATAGTTTAAAACATTGGTTATATTACCAAGGCTTTGATTGGGATGTTATATTTGAGAAAATACAGAGAATGATAGATTAACGGAGTGTCTAATCTATCGTGTCAACCCCAAATTTTTACGTATGAGATCCTTTAGTCCACCCAATGGCTGACAGTAACAGCATCTTTAACACAACTCTTTGTTCAAATGTACTATGGTCTCTTTTAGAGTCAGACTCCTAGACTCACTTGTTCTCACTGTCTGTTTTAATTTAACCCAGGCATGCAATGCTAGATAATAAAATTGCTCCCTATTGGCTGATCAGAGAGGAGTCTGTGTAGTTTATGATGCTTCTTGTTGCACATGGATAAATATATCGGGTATTATAGAGTCTCAGTTGCAAAAATTAACAAACATGCTACTTGGTTAAAATGGCTACACTCATCTGGTTCATTCTTTTATCTATTCTATTTCAGTTGGTTTGCATCTTACCAAAGGTGCATACTCCAAACTCTTAACATTATCTTCCTCATAGTCATACTACTGGTCTCCCTGGTGTGCTGTAATCTCTAAAAGTTTTAAGTGTTTGCGTGCTGCCATCCATCAAATATCAAATGGTCTCTATTTGGCTGGAACTACATAAACTCAAAGAAATGTGTGATCAGGAGGATATCATAACCTATAAACAATGGAAGCCAAAAATGATGATAACTGAGAGTAATGCTAATGCTTTAAGCTTTGGTCACACTCTCACTTAAGTGAGAGTCTAAAGACTCCAAATTAGAGCCACTCACACTAAATGCTGCATACTCCAACTGGAATTTTAAGGAAGCAGATCTCAAAACAGACCAATGTTTTCTGAAAACAGAAGATTCCAGTCTCCCTGAGTCAACATCATAAGGAAGTCCCCTCTGCTTTAACATTTACCCCAAAAAGAGTAACCTGAAGTACCCTGATGTTAACCAATCCATTTATTTCTATGGCTCTGTCTACTGGTTCCAATTTGACAAAACCCATTGCTCTGTTATTATGTTGCCCAGGGGGAGCTATCACTGTATGTGTAGAGTGAGAGCTGCCCCAAACCCTGAATCACAATTAAAAGCCAATCAGATCTATAACTACATTAGTTGAAATTTTGTCTTCTGATGCATGTTCACAGCCAGCAATGGTTAGTGGAGTCTCAGACTGCAGCATTTTCACCCTGACCTTCCTGCCTCACTCTTTCACTTACAAGGACCCTTCTGATTACACTGGGCCACCCTAGATTATCCAGAATAACCTCCCCATCTCAAGAGTGAAGTCTTTTTGCCAAATAAAGTAACATGCACAGGTTCCATGGATAAGGATGTGGACATTTTGGGGAGGCCATTATTCTGCCTAACACTGGTAACTTCCATAAACATCACCCACAACAAAAATTTCATTTGCCTTCTTTCTATATCTCATTGTTTTGTGTGAATCACAGGCAAGAGCACAAACTTTGAGGTGAAACACACCAGCTCTGCTATGAACTGGCTGGATGATCCTGGACCACTCACTTCACCTCCTACAGCGTTTTCTCATCTGCAGCACAAAGATGACTCTTACTGTTATCAGAAAATGACAGTCAAAGAGTAAATTAAGATGTGTAAGGTATTAGACACAGAGGCTGGTACCTGATGAGCACTTGGTAAACATTCCTTTCAGTCTGTTCTTTTCTCTATCCCATTTCTCTCATCCTCACCCATCTTCTCCTTCATCTCCTCTCTCTTCATCGACTTACATACTCTTAACTTGCCATTTAGAAAGAAGTCATGCTCCCCATTCTCTCGTGACTCTGCTAGAATGTTCTTGTGATAGAGTCTGCCATCCACTCAAGACAGCCCACATTTTTTATACAAAGAGGTCTGCTTAAAACAAGAAGTCCTCTTTATGTTCACATAAATTTATATGCACTTTCTCTTAACTTACGCATACCAGTCCCAATTCTGCCCTGTTAATTCATACATGCACTTCCGTATTTCACACTTCTTCAGTCTTTCTCTTTACAAACTATAAACAAGAATAGTACTGAGACAAAAATAATAACCAGGGCTACAAGTGGGGATTCCTTTAGCAAAATGAATGTTTTCCTTTAACAAGATGAATGTTTTCCTTTGACAAGATGAATGCTATGTGCAAGGCAGCCCTGAAGCCCTTTTCTGTACTTGGCTTACATCAACGCCATTTGAGTCTACGACACATTTTTAGACAATAATTGTGACAGAAGCCACACCCATTCTGGGTATTTCTGCTGTTAGGTAAAGGCATTTTCACAGAATCTTGTGCATGAGCTACTGCTCCCCAATCCTTCCACTCCTGAAGTTAAGCTGCTTCTGCTTAACCATCTTCATCTCCGGTTGGCCTGCTAGGACCCTGGCTAGAAAATACCCCCTCATCCTACACGTCCAGGGTGGCACCTTTTCCTATTCCCATAATCATAATAGTTTGCACTGACTTAAAACTCAGTATGTGCCAGGAACTATCCTAAGATCTTTCCATGTAGTTAACATCTTCACAAAAATTCCTGGATGTTATCCCCATTTTTACAGATTAAAAAAATGAGGCAGGCTGGGCACGGTGGCTCACAACTGTAATCCCAGAACTCTGGGAGGCTGAGGCAGGTGGATCACAAGGTCAGAAGTTCAAGACTATCCTGGCCAACATCGTAAAACCCCATCTCTACTAAAAATACAAAAAAAATAGCCGGGCGTGGTGGCAGGCACCTATAGTCCCAGCTATTCGGGAGGCTGAGGCAGGAGAATGGCGTGAACCCTGGAGGCAGAGCTTGCAGTGAGCCAAGATCGTGCCACTGCACTCCAGCCTGGGCAACAGAGTGAGACTCCATCAAAAAAAACAAAAAAACAACAAAAAAAAAACGAGGCAGAGAAGTAATGTACCCAGTATCACACACCCAACTCCATAATTTAACCTCATCCTCCACTTCATCTGGGAAGAGGATACCCTGAGATTTCCAAGGTCTCCTGAATGACATACACCTTCCAGAATGATTTTTGCCCCCTCTACTTTCAGGATTTGACAAAGAGCCAGCATTTTGTTTTCTGTCTCACCCTTCACTTATGTACCTGTTCCCTAATGCTACACTCACAACTGCACAGCCCTGCATAAAAGCTAGCTTTGAGGAATCTCAGTCTCTTTTGGAAAAAAACAGAGCCAGGTTCCCAGTCATTATAAAGTCAGTTTTACTCAATTGTCAACTATTTTTACAGCCTTTCTCTGGTCATAAAAGGAGTTCCCTATGAATAGAAAGTGTAATGGGAAGGAAGTAGGAGAAGGGTGAGTTCCCATTATGGCCACAAAGAGGAAAAGATTCCAAATCCAGTAGCAGTCATAAAACACACCCAGAGTGGGTGGCTCTGAGAAATGACAGTCCCATCTGCCTCTTTTCATGCCTGTTGGCCTCTGATTTCCTTCTCAGCCTGTTCATCCTGGCCTTGCCTTCTTAGGCTAATACTAATGGCCTGGAGCTGGGGCCAGACCAGGGCACACGGCACTGAATGAGGAGAGGGAGGTAGAGGAGGCAGAAAGGGAGAAGAGTGTTTGACTCGTGGGGACCTGATTCACCTAGGTACACATCACCTGGGCAGCAAAGGGATCAGTGAAGGCCTGTGCAAGACTCATGGTGGTCATCCAGAATGATTGACTGAGGCAAGGGTCTTGACCAGTTAAGGTTTATTGAGCCAGAGCTTGAGGGTGCACCCTGGGAAAACATGAATCACAGAAAACCTCTGTGGGTGTGTTCTCTCTGAAGAGGTTGCAGAAGGCTTAGTATTTATATATTTCCTTACAGGGGGGAAGACAGGTAGAAAGAGATGGGATAGGTGGAAGAATAATTGATCTCATTTTGCCTTTGTTCTGTGCCTGGGAAGATAAATATTATCAGAATAAAACTTAACAGGCTTTAGTTTTAGGAGCTAGATTTTGATTGCACACCTGAAGTTATAATTGACATGCCTTGTTTTATGAAACGCTATACATCTTGAAAGATTTTGAGGCCAGCAAAGAACTATTTAGAGGGCAGTCATCTGGAGATCCCTGAGGCTTTTTGCCTTCCTGTTGCCCCAACCCCGCCTCCCACTTTTTTTTTAAGAAGCAAGGTCTTGCTCTGTCACCCAGGCTAGGGTATAGTGACATGATTGTAGCTCACTGCAGCCTGGAACTCCTGGGCTCAGGAGGTCCTCCCACATCAGCCTCCTGAATAGCTGAGACTACAGGCATGCACCACTGCACCCAGCTAATTTATTTTAGTTTATTTTTTGTAGAGATGTGGTCTCATTTTGTTGCTCAGGCTAGTCTTGAACTCCTGGCTTCAAGCGATCCTTCCACCTTGGCCTTTCAAAATGTGAAATTACAGGCCTGTGCCACCACACCTGCCCACCTCCAACATTCTTCTATATCTTTCAGAGAAATTACTGTTAAATACATGACTTTGTGGCTATGTTTCATCTGATCTTACATCACTATGAAGGCTCATTCCTAGGAAGTCATCTCCCATGGAAAAGGGGGTGAAGTCAAATCAGAAAAGGACCAAGGACTAATTACAGCAACAACAACAACAACAAAGTATAATCCTGGAATCCAACTGAGGATACACAACTGCCTCCTCAATTAGAGCAATTCTTTGGGCCATGATCACTAACACTTTCAGTTGCATGTTGGCTCACCTCTAATGTCTACAGCAGTCTATAGACTCATTTTTCTTTTTCTTTTTTTTTTTTTTTTTTTTTTTTTTGAGACAGAGTCTGGCTCTGTTGCCCAGGCTGGAGTGCAGTGGCGCGATCTCAGCTCACTGCAAGTTCCGCCTCCCAGGTTCACGCCATTCTCCTGCCTCAACCTCCCGAGTAGCTGGGACTACAGGCTCCCGCCACCACACCCAGCTAATTTTTTGTATTTTTTAATAGAGACGGGGTTTCACCGTGTTAGCCAGGATGGTCTCGATCTCCTGACCTCGTGATCCACCCACTTCAGCCTCCCAAAGTGCTGGGATTACAGGCGTGAGCCACCACGCCCAGCCTATAGACTCATTTTTCTAGAGTCTCTGAATCATCTAACTGCAGTGACAATCTCACAGATTTCTCTGAATTTCAGTACAAATCCAGTATTCGTGTGACCCTTTCGTGTAGTCCATGCATCAACGGGCACAAAAGTTGTTTATATATAAGTTGCTGTGACTTCTCCAAAAGTTCACTTAACTTGTCTAGTTTCAGTTTGCAGGGCTTGAAGAAAAGCACAGTTTTAATTTCTAACATTCCAAAATGGAAGAAAATCTTGAAATCATTACTTTTGATATTTATAGCCAGGAAAGAATTTAGGATTCAGTCCAAATTATAGGCAAATAATAAAACTCAAAAATAATGAACAAGCCTAGAATTTAATAACAGTTGTATTGAAGTTTTCTTTTGAAACACAAATTTTTCTCTCTCCAGGCTCCCATTTTTATGAAAGACAAATCATAGCAGGACAAATGTATTTGCTAAATAAGTTTTAGTCTTATACCTGGCCTGATTATTTGCATAAAGTATGGCAAGAATAGTGGTTGGCCATAGAGAGTCTTTTTAAATTGGCTTTGCTGAGACTTTTTTTCATAAGGAATCTCAGATTAGACTTCCAAAAGCATCTCAAGGCTATGCAAGCCAGTAATTTATCTGTGCCTGTAGATACCTGCATGAATTTGGTGAATTCCTCTTTTCTTGAGGTCTCAAAATAACTTGGGGGTTCCTGGGCCTATCAGAAAGTGACATTCTTTACTTACCACAGATCATTAACTTTTTATAGAAACTGCATAGACAAGGTAACCAGGTCAGTCTGTCCAAGAGGCTTTTTGTCAGTTCTATAAAGTCAATCTCAATTCCTCAAAGCATTCTGGTCATATCTGAAAATATACCATTTCACTCAAAGCCTCTATAAAATAACCAATGTCTCCAATTGTGTCCTGTTATAAAAGAAAACAAATTCTTATGGAATTTATGCAAATATCTATATTGCCATAAATTAAGAATATGCACAAATAGTTTATTTTTGTAGAAATTGGGTAGAGAGAAAGATAAATCTTTCAAATTTAGCTCACAAAATTATACTTTACCCAATTTGTTGTAAGCTAAAAAGCTCAAAAGAAAAAAAAAAAAAGCTTTTTTGACTCTGGAGAACAAAACATAAAAAAAGTCAGCAATGTTTTTTTTTAAAAAAAAGGTCATGAAAAAATCATTTTAGTCCTGTATCAATTTATCCTCATGTAATTAACTCTTGTTCTGCTTGATGTTGGGTTAGCAATCATCATGAATGCATTTTTTTTAACTAAAGTCCTGGGTTTTTTTTCCTAGTCCAGTGACATGAGCTCCACAGTTATGAGAAGCCAACATTTAAGAGTACTTGTAAGAGTCTGTTCCACAAATATACTTCAAATGTGGTTCGAGGACAGCAAAAAAACAATTTGTGAGGGAGGTCATCCAGATATGCCTAGGGCCTTTTCATCTTCTCCTGGGGCTCTGGCTAATGTACAATGCTTTGACACAAGGTTGTAAAGTAACAGTTGTTCATTTGGGGAAAAAATGGTGGTCTTGCATGACTCAATCTCCAGGCTGAAGTATCCCTTTGGTGTAATGAGTTTGGCAGTCCTGAGGTGTTTATTTTCCTTTACATAATTTTAGAAGTTGTACTTCCTTGATATTGTCTGACTGAGAACAAAGGGATGGGTGTGGAAGGCATCACAGCTTTCTCCCATTTACAATCCCATTGTCATTCCCTTCTTCCTCTGTTGGGTTACATTCCTCTATTGATAGATAACTTATTTACTGAGTTGTTTTCACAAAAATCCAAACGTCAGTTGAACTTCTTAAAGTCCTAAGCATTCAGTTCAGTTCAAGGCTATCTTAGTTGAAGGATCTATAGAAAATTTTGATAAGAAAGTTCACACCACCCGCAATACCTTTGGAACCACTGAGCTACAGGAATGAAGAGGAAGTAATCTGCTACCTGCTGGGGACCTTTATGTTTGTACCTCATCCAATGCTCACAATGACCCTTTAAATAGGCACTATTATCCCTCTATTCCAAGACATCAATTAACTTGTCCCTTATCTCACCTGATAAAAGGTGGAACTAGGACTCAGACTCATATTTCTGAATCCAAAACTCATGCTTCCAGCAAAAGACACTATCAACAGAGTAAACAGACAACTTACAGAGTGGGAAAACATATTTGCAAACTATGCATCTGACTAAAATGTAATATCCAGCATCTACAGGGAACTTAAACAAATTTACAAGAAAAAAAAATTCCCACTAAAAAGTGGGCAAAGGACATGAACACATTTTTTTTTTTTTAGTGCAGTGGTGCAATCTCGGCTCACTGCAACCTCCGCCTCCCGAGTTCAAGAAATTCTCCTGCTTCAGCCTCCCAAGTAGCTGGGATTACAGGTGCCCACCACCACACCCAACTAATTTTTTTGTATTTTTAGTAGAGAAAGAGTTTCACCATATTGACCAGGCTGGTTTTGAACTCCTGACCTCAAGTGATCCACCCACGTCAGCCTCCCAAAGTGCTAGGATTACAGGTGTGAGCCACTCTGCCTGGCGAACAGACACTTTTCAAAAGAAGACATACATGTGGCCAACAGCATAGGAAAGAAAGCTCACTATCACTGATCATTAGAGAAATGCAAATCAAAACTACAGTGAGATACCATCTCATACCCGTCAGAATGGCTATTATCAAAAATGTCAAAAAAAAGTAACATGCTGGCAAGGTTGTGGAGAAAAGGGGGTGCTTATACACTGTTGGTGGGAGTGTCAATTATTAGTTCAATCATTGTGGAAAGCAGTATGGCAATTCCTCAAAGAGCTAAAAACAGAACTACCATTTGACCCAGCAATCTCATTACTGGGTATATACCCAGAGGAATATAAATCATTCTATCATAAAGACACATGCACATGAATGTTCACTGCAGCACTGTTCACAATAGAGAAGACATAGAATCAACCGAAATGCCTCTCAATGGAAAACTGCATTTTTAAAATGTGGTACATATACACCACAGAATACTATGCAGCCATAAAAAATAATGTGATCATCTCTTTTGCAGGAACATTGGTGGAGCTAGAGGACATTATGCTCAGCAAACTAACGCAGAAACAGAAAAACAAATACTGCATGTTCTCACTTATAAGTGGGGCTAAGGCCGGGCGCAGTGGCTCACGCCTGTAATCCCAACACTTTGGGAGGCTGAGGTGGGTGGATCATGAGGTCAAGAGATTGAGACCATCCTGGCTAACACAGTGAAACCCCGTCTCTACTAAAAATACAAAAAAATTAGCTGGGCATGGTGGCAGGCACCTGTAGTCCCAGCTATTCAGGAGGCTGAGGCAGGAGAACGGCGTGAACCTGGGAGGCAGAGCTTGCAGTGAGCGGAGATCGCACCACTGCACTCCAGCCTGGGTGACAGAGAGAGACTCCGTCTCAAAAAAAAAAAAAATTAAATTAAATTAAAATTAAAAAATAAGTGGGAGCTAAATGATGAGAACACATGGACATAAAAAGGGGAACAACAGACATTGGGGCCTACAAGAGGGTGGAGAGTGGGAGGAAGAAGAGGAGCAGGAAACATAACTACTGAGTATTAGGCCTAGTAGCTGGGTGATGAAATAATTTGTACATCAAACCCCTGTGACACAGGTTCACCTACATAACAAAGTTGCACATGTACCCTGAACCTAAAATAAAAGTTTTTTTAAACCACAACGAAATTCAAACATCAACAATTTAATCTCTAATCCTTCTCCAATGAAAATTTTAAGATTTTTTTAAAAGAAAAACTTTTAATGAGCAGAATAAATTGATTTTTTTCTAAAATATAATATAATGAAATAAAACTCATGTTTCACTCCACACCATTGTACCTGCAAGAATTCAAAGAAAGGAAAGATGACTGCTTCTAACAGAAATAAATATACAGGCTTCAATGAAGAGACAGGGTCTGAAATGGGCCTTTAGGACAAAGAACAACTCAGGAGGCTGAGAAGACAGGCAAGGGTGTGATATGAAGAGGGAAAAGACTTAGAAAATGTTTGGAAATGAGAAAGTAAAATGTGGGTCAGGTCCTTCAATGTAAATCAAGGGAGTAGATTGGGGCCGGGCTATGAGGGCTCTGAGTGGCATCCTAAGGAATGGGAACTTCATCCTACAGATAAGAGAAGTCACTGGAAAGCTCTGAGAAGCTCACAAACGTGACAAACAGCATTTCCAGGAAGATTACTCTACAATATTAGGCAAGATAACTTGGGAAATGGTCTTCAAGTCTGGCAACTTAATAGAAATATCTAGATTTCTTCTCCTTTTTTTTTTCAAACTTTTCATTTTGAAATAATTTCAGACTTTCAAAAATGTTCCAAAAATACAGTCCCCATATACTTTTCACTCAACTTCCCCAAACATTGTTTTAGATAACCACAGTGCAAACATTAAAATCAATAAATTATCGCTGACATCATACAGTGAATGAATCTGCAGACTTTATTCAAATCCTCTTTATCTTCCCTCTAATGTCCTTTTTCTGGAACAGGGTCCAATGTACAATTACACATTGCATCTCATTGTTTTGTCCTCTCAGTCTCCTTTAATCTGGGACAGTTCCTCAGAATTTCTTTTGCCTTCATGACCTTAACATTTTTGAAAAGTATTGGCGTTGTTATTTTGTAGTTACCCTCAGTTTAAATTTTTCTAATTTTTTCTCATGATTAAACTGAGGTTATACACTTCGGTCAAGAAAACCAAAGAGGCGATTTTGTGCCTTCTCCATCCATTATATTAGGATGCCCTAAGATGTCGATATCTCTAATTAATGGGATGTTAACTTTGAGCCCTGGGCTAAAATTCCTCCACAATAAAATGACCGTTTTCCTTGGAAGCATTCTTAAACAACCAATGCCTGGGCACACAATGCACCAATCCAGTCAGACATACTTGGGGAAAGCACAGACATTGGTACATTTTAAATGCCCTACAAGTT
This sequence comes from Homo sapiens, assembly GCF_000001405.40. Taxonomy (NCBI): domain Eukaryota; kingdom Metazoa; phylum Chordata; class Mammalia; order Primates; family Hominidae; genus Homo; species Homo sapiens. The sequence continues at coordinate 42,570,520 of NC_000019.10, read as the reverse complement.
ACTCTAACCAGTATCCAGGAATGGAAACCCAAAGTTTAGACAATGAAGATTAGAATCCTGGATATCAGCTAAGAAGCCATTCCTTGGGCTGCTCTTTTCAAAAAGAACATCCAATTCTAGACACAATTAAACACATATGGACTTTGGCATGGACCCCTGGTAGGAAAATGAGAAGGTTAAAAATCCCCTCACTGGGAACATGATGAGTGAGTAGACTGCTGTCTAATAAAAAGAGAAGGCAGGGCCGGGAATGGTGGCTCACACTTGTAATCCCAGCATTTGGAAGAGGCCAAAATGGCTAGATCACTGGAGCCCAGAAGTTCGAGACCAACCTGAGCAATATGGTGAAAACCCATCTCTACAAAAACAGACAAACAAATAAACAAAACAAAAAATTAGCTGGGCATGATGGCATGTGCTTGTGGTCCCAGCTAACAAGGAGGCTGATATGGGAGGATCACTTGAGCCCAGGAGGTGGAGGTTGAAGTGAGCTATAGTCCACTACACTCCAGCCTGGGTGTCAGAGTGAGACTCTGTCTCAAAAGAGAAAGAGAGAGAGAGAGAGAGAAAGGCAGGGCACTAAGTAAAGTGACCAGCCCTCCTGGCCTATTTTCTCTCCAGATATCAGAAACCCTGGCTTCAGTAATAGTGCACACCCATATATTTTATCCTCATAAGCCTAACATGAACTCCTAATTGCCACTGACAGGGACAGAATTATGAATCATGTGATCCAAATATACGACCACACATGCAAAGATGCACACTTCCACACAGAGTTGAATGAACAATTGATAGACTCCAGATTGAAAGTACATGACCTCCCTTAAACAAACCTGTCCTCCCCATTTGGTCCTTTGTCCTTAATCTCTTCTGAATCTGTTGTAAATTTTATGAAATAGGAAAGTGTACACATCTCCTGCCACCAAGCTGTTTAAGTTAGAAAATACTGTGCTCAACTTCCTTAGAGTTATTACCTTAGGCTTTCCATAAAGGGATATCATCAATAACCTCCTCAGAGGGGCCACCTGATAAGATGCAAAAGAAAACGCCAGTTTCACCAAAACCCAGAGGCAGGAGTGACCCTGACAGGAACAAACCCTAAGGTATTCACTTGCCTGCCCAGGGTCTGGTGCAGCTGGCGCAGGAGGAACTGCTGCTGGCAATAGCTGAAAAAAAAAAGAGATGGTAGCTCTAACACTCAGGGGGTAGTAAGAAAGGAGCTCACTCAATTCACCTTCAGTTTTCACACAGCCAACACCCTTCCAGCCTCCCTATGGGGTCTCACTGGGACATAATTAAATGCCAATACATGGGTGAAACAATTTATAGAAGGGTGGGATCAATTGGGTCAGAAATGCTCATAAGGCCGGGTGTGGTGGTTCATGCCTGTAGTCCTAACACTTTGGGAGGCTGAGGCGGGCAGATCACTTGAGGTCAGGAGTTCGAGACCATCCTGACCAACATGGTGAAACCCCATCTCTACTAAAATACAAAAAAAAAAAATTAGCTGTGCATGGTGGCATGCACCTGTAATCCCAGCTACTCAGGAGGCTGAGGCAGGAGAATAGCTTGAACCCAGGAGGCGGAGGTTACAGTGGGCTGAGACTGCGCCACTGCACTCCAGCCTGGGGGACAGAGTGAGACTCCGTCTCAAAACAAAACAAAAAAGAAAAAAGAAAGAAAGAAACAAATGCTCACAAAAGAGACAGGGTTCAGGTTAGGCCTTGAATGGTTCAGCCTTAGGAAAGCAGAGACATGGAGAAACATAAGCCAGGGAACCAGGTGTCAGGCACCACTGTAGATGCTAGTTTTTTTTGGTTTTGGTTTTTTTTTTTTTAATTATACTTTAAGTTCCAGGGTCCATGTGCACAATGTGCAGGTTTGTTACATATGTATACATGTGCCATGTTGGTGTGCTGCACCCCATTTACTCGTCATTTACATTAGGTATCTCTCCTAGTGCTATCCCTCCCCCTTCCCTCCACCCCACGACAGGCCCCGGTGTGTGATGTTCCCCACCCTGTGTAGATGCTAGTTTTAAAGAGGGTCCGAGGAATGACAGTGGGCTTGCAGATGTTATTTTATTTACTCTCTCAATCAATACATGAAATTATTTCAGAGGAGGATGCTCATCCTCAGAAAGGGGAAGTAACTTGCCAAGGTCGGTGGTGGGTATGGGATTAGAAACTCGGTGAGTCTAACACCAGAGACCATGTAACCACCACTACCATTGAGGGACCTGAACGAAGTATGTGTAGGGAACAGGAAGGAGCAGGGAGAGCTAGAGCAGAAAGAGTCAGTTAAAAAAACAGGGAAGTTATGTAAGCTTGCTAAAGGGGGAATCACATGTTGTAGAGGCATGAACAGTAGACACCGAGGTTCAAACTTGATCTTGTGATTATAGAAGAGCCCCTCAAGGTTTTGAGGAAGGGCAGACCCAGTCAAAGTGAAACCTTGAGCCAAGATCAGTGGGTGGTGGAAATGGAGTTCTGGGTTCCTAAGGTAAAGAGATGCCACCAACAACAGTGTAGGGGCCACGTGATGCATGAAACGAGAATTGGACGGAGAAGCTGAAGCCCTGGGTTTAAATGCAAAAAGTCATGCAGTGAGGGCATAGTTATGGAAGGCAAGTTATATTCTCTCTCTGTAGTTTGGTCTCTCTTCAGCCATAAATCACATGGAATGAGAATTAATCTCTAAATGACCCTCAAGCCTTGCTACTCAAAGTGTGGTCCACCAACCAGCAGCAATGACATCATCCAAAAGCGCCTTAGAAATTGAGAATCTCAGGCCCCACCAAAAGAATCCGAATCTGTATTTAATCAAGATCTTCAGGTGATCCATGAACACATTAAGATTTGTGAAGCACTTCTCTCCAGTGTCTTCCAGTTCTAAAATGCAACTATTTCACACTCAACTATGTCACCTCACAAGAGAAAAATAATAATGAAGTTTACCTTTCACCTCATTCATGACCTTTTCTTAATCCTAAAAGCCTCTTAGGCTTGCCCACATTCAGGTAGAGGTTTTAGAAAACACCAGAGAGGGCCGGGTGCGGTGGCTCACATCTGTAATCCTAGCACTTTGAGAGGCCGAGGCGGGCGGATCGCAAAGTCAGAAGATCAAGATCATCCTGGCTAACACGGTGAAACCCTGTCTTTACTAAAAATATAAAAAATTAGCTGGGTGTGGTGGCACGCACCTGTAATCCCAGCTACGTGGCTACTCGGGAGACTGAGGCAGGAGAATCGCTTGAACCCGGGAGGCAGAGGTTGCAGTGAGCCGAGATCGCACTACTGCACTCCAGCCTGGGCAACAGAGTGAGACTCCGTCTCAGAAAAAGAAAAAAGAAAAAAAAAAGCAGCAGCAGCAGCACTGCCACCTTGTGGCCATCATTAGTTAATGCACTTAACTCCTGGGGTAAAAGAGGGGATAGGGCTGGCAGGGGCAGCCTGCCAGAGGTAGTTGGTGAAGTCCAAGTCACGGACTGGATAAGAGAATCACAGCTGCCCACATGACTGAAAGTAACTGTCATAGAGAGCTCAGCCTGCATCATTGAGCAATGTCCCATTGCAAAGGACATTTTTTTAATATGTGATATCAGTGGAAAACCACATTCCTAGCCAAGCTCTGCCCTTGTTAGCTTAAAAATCATTCTGAGAGGTATTTTCAGACACCCAGCCCTGGCTTGAATTCTGCCAGTAAACTTGTAATTTTCCAAGGAAACTTCCTTTACTGTAACAGTTCTTTTTTGTCTTGAGTCAAAAGGTGTCTGATTCACACTCACCAATCCTCATCTTACTCTCCATAGGCTGAAATAAGTTTAACATCTTTTCATACAACTGACCTTCAAATACGGGTAAACCATCCCATGCACCACCCACCCAATCTTCCCTCGGCCATTTCCCATATAGGGTCACCTGAAGCCCCACACCCTCTGGTCACTTTCCCATGGTCAAGTGAAGTGCAGCAACCACAGCAGACACTCCAAATCCTAGGGGTGTTCCCCAGAGCAGCAGAGCCCCAGGACCCCCGTCCCTGTCCTGGCACCTCACCCCTATCTAGAAGCCAAATGCCACATCAGCTGATCTGGGGACGCTGACTTTTCCTGCTTCTGCTGCTGCTCAGTCATCCCACACCTGTGCAGATGTCTACTTTTTATTCTGTTTTATTTTGTAAGAAATATTTATCGGAGGGCGGGGCGTGGTGGCTCACGCCTGTAATCCCAGCAATTTGGGAGGCCGAGGCGGGCGGATCACGAGGTCAGGAGATCGAGACCATCCTGGCTAACACGGTGAAACCCCTTCTCTACTAAAAACATTAAAAAAAAAACATTAGCCAGGCATGGTGGCAGGCGCCTGTAATCCCAGCTACTCGGGAGGCTGAGGCAGGAGAATGGCGTGAACCCTGGAGGCAGAGCTTGCAGTGAGCCGAGATCATACCACTACACTCCAGCCTGGGCATCAGAGTGAGACTCTGTCTCAAAAAAAAAAAAAAAAAAAATACTTATCGGAGTCTGCTGTGTACTGTCACTGGAGAGACAAAGGTGAATCACACCTGGTCCCTGCCTCACAGAGCTCCAGGCTACAGATGGAACCCACTCAAAGTCAGACCATTACTATTCAGTGACAAACATGATGACAGACATCAACACAGGATTTTCTGACCCATCTCACCAATGCCCTGTGAAATACCTTCCACGCTTGGTTTTCTGGGATCAGTTTTCTTCATTTCAAGCTCAAAGTGAAAAAGAGAATTCAAATGTTCCCGATGGTCCTCTGTGCAGTCATAGCTGGACCCGGCATGTCCTCCTGGTTAATCCAGGGTGCTCAGGGCTCCCACTTCACTCTGAGCGTCCTCGCTCCTATCGGAGCTCACCATGTCTGCACCTGCAGCAGCCAGGTGGCTGCACACTAACAGAAAATCCAGCAAGTCAGAAAACTTGATTTACTCCTATAACTTTGAGGCTAGTGACCTTGTGACATTGAACTAGTCCTATGACTTGCCTGCACTTTAATTTCCATGTCTGTAAAGTGGGGCAGGTGCATTCGGTCACCCTAGGTGCAGCTATATAGTGAAAGCTCCTCAGAGACAGCAGCACATCTGATCTTCTCAGCATCCACCATCTAGCAAATACCAGGCACACACTAGGCGCTCAAAGCCTCACTGAATGTGTGTGTGAATAAATGACTATATGAGAGCCATGTGGATCATGGACAGAGTCAACAAATATTTTTGAACGTCTACCAAATACACTGCAGAATAGGGAAATAAGCAACCCAGACAGGACACTGTTTTCTCCTAACTTCCCCTGACCTCCTTCCTGGGGGAGGGAGGGCCTCTGTACATCAGAGAGACTCTTGACACAAATAATGTTCTTGAAATGCATTATAAGAAGTTGTCATGTTAACAAGAGGAAAGTCCATTTGTTTTAGAGGTGTTTTAATCAATGGATCTGAGGGACCCAAAGCCCCCTGTGATGAGACACAGGATGTGATACCCACCCCAAGTGCATGGAGGGGAAACCAGATGGAGTGAACTGACAGGGAGCAGGACCTGGGAGAACAGGGGGGTAAAGAGATTGAGGGACCCAGAGGAAGGTCTGAGGAGGAGCTCCCGGCCCCTGTGGTGGCCTCGGTGTGGACTGATGCAGAACTCAGCAGCATAAGTAAAGCGGCCGCACCAGGCTCCATGTGTACGTGGGATCGCTTTTCAGTAAGATTTTCTTTCTGCTCATAGGCTGTACTTTCACACATTTTCTAATACACAGGCTGCACTTTTACATATTTTCTAACACATCAGGCCCAGTTAACAGGTTACGAAACGATCATTCCATTCAACAGTCAATTATAGAATACTCCCAAAGTGCCAGGCTCTATGAGTTCAGGGAATACAAAAATGAACACAAACAGCCCCTACCCTCAATGATCTCCATACAAAGAGCTCCAAAGAGTGCCTCTCCTACAACACACCCCTGCTCCACACAGCCGTTCTCTCTGCCCTCCACCAACCCAAATCCTACCCTGCCCTGTGAGGCCAGCTCAAGTTCCACCCAACTCGGAGTCCCCCATGCACTTCTGCCACTTTGAGAGATTACTGCACTCATATCTCTAGGCTTTATAAAGTGGATGTCATCTCCCTCATTAGACTTGAGGCTCCTGAAGGCAGAGATTATTTTTAGAATTTTCAAGAAAGAAGTCACATCAGTGGTTTGCATCAGACCACGCTTAGGCCCTGCCTGACCCTTCAATTCACACACAGGCTCCACTGCCTAGCACAGTCCCTGGCCCCTGCACGTGCTTTATAACCCCTGCAGTAGCAAAGCCCACAACCAACTCTGTGACAAGGCAACAGGCTGGGATAATTTGAAAACACAGAGAGAAGAACTGTCAAACAAAAATCAAAGGGCTTTGACTCATGGCTTGCCTCTTCCCTCCTCTCAGGGAAACAAAATCACGCCACCTGTTCTCACTCCTGCCTCATTCCAGGCCTCTTCATATTCCATGATGATCCTTGCCTATAAATAACAATTCCTGTGTTGTGAGCCAAATAGTGATTTTCCATTTCCACCACTCCTTCTACATTTATTAACTGGAATTCTGCTACAAGAAAAAGCTATTTCTGCTTCCTCATTTATTTAATTTATTCAATTATTTATTTATATCAGCATGGATTCATGGGTATTTATGAACTGGAATCCATTACTATCATTATTTATTATGTTGTTCATATTGTCCCAAAATTGACCATTGAGAGTTCCTTGGAAATCTGTGACCTTTTGACACATCCCCACCATTTTTCGTGCAGTTCCTTATTTTCTGGCCCCACAAGGAGCTCCAGGTTCCTCTATGCTTTCCTGACCCAGCCCTGGAATCAGCTATTTCTCCAGGGAGCCCTGGTTCCTTTCATGGGAGAACGATGTTTGCAGGCCATCGGCACTGATAGGCCCACGGTTAGAAGGTGCTGGTGCTTCTGTGCTCTCTAGTGGTCAGATCTGGGAAATACACACTCACACTAGTTTACTGTTACCCACATTTTAGAAATTAGGTAAATGAGGCACAGAAAAGTTACACAACTTGACCAAAATCGCAGAGCAAATAGATAGTAAAACTGTGACATGAAAATAATGACAGATGCACCACAAGTCCTAACAAGCGAAAAAGTAACTTATCACACATGTACATTACCAGAAAGCCACAAGCCCAATATTCCAGCATAGACACTCTCTCTGGAAAATAACCAGAATCCCACAGCAATAACCACAATGATAACCATCATGTACTCAACAACTGCCTGGGCACGGGGCTCCCACAGCAGCTCACTTATTCCCAACAACTCTGCAAGGTGGATTTTACCATCCTCCTTTTACAAATCAGGGAATCAAGGATCACAGAAGCCAAGTGACGTGTCCAAGTTGACATAGTTAAGTGATGGAGCCAGTAATTGACCCCAGGTCTATCTGGATATAAAGTGCATGCTTATGCCACTGTATCAGCGTTTCCCAAAACTGATTTTAGGTGAAAGTTAAATAAGCTGTTTTTTAATTTTAATACTCATGTGTTTATTTTAATGCATGTTAGAAAAACATTTAAGCACACATCAAATCTGTAATTTCATGGACAATACTGCATAAGACAAGGATGTTTTGTCTCCAACTCCTGGCCTCAAGCAATCCTTCCACCTCAGCCACTCGAGTAGCTGGGATCACAGGTGTGAGCCACTGTGCCCTGATAAACAAAGATGTTTTGTAAACTAAATTTATTTAGAAAAAAATAGTATGGGCTGGCCACGGTGGCTCATGTCTGTAATCCCAGCACTCTGGGAGGCCAAGGTGGGCAGATCACTTGAAGTCAGGAGTTCAAGACCAGCCTGGCCAACATAGTGAAACCCCGTCTCTACTAAAAATACAAAAAATTAGCTGGGTATGGTGTCGCATGCCTGTAATCCCAGCTACTCGGGAGGCTGAGGCAGGAGAATCGCTTGAACCTGGGAGGCAGAGGTTGCGCATTGAGCTCAGATCGCACCATTGCACTCCAGCCTGGGCAACAAGAGCAAAATCCCATCTCAAAAAAAGAAAAATAGTATGAAGTAAATAATAAATGTGGAACAAGCTGTAGAGAAAATCATAAAGGTGATCTAGAAATGTCTGAGGTCTGGATGACATAATACTACAGCAACGTGCAGCTTCATTCTCAGTTACTCCCAGGAAATTAGGGCCACATAGCGCTGCAGAAAGAACAAGTAAGACTCTTAGACCTGGGCTTTAGCCCCAGATGTGTCCATTCCTAGGACCCCAGACATCTTTGTGACCTCCTTGCTGGGAGGAAATCCAACCTTCCCAGACATTTAAGAACACTAAGAAGACCCTGAATACACCGAGGGATTTCTTTGTCATAGAGACAACAAACCAGGTTCGGGGACCCCAGGGACTCTCTGTGTGGTGTTGACAGACCCAAGGCCAAGACACAGCAGAGATCAGTGCTGGGGAGGGTGATTTGTCCTGTTAAGGGACAGGGGTCCAAATAAACCTTGCTTCTCAAAGCATAGTCTGGGGAATGTAAATGAAGACAGAACGGAAAAAAGAAGAATGGACAAGAAGGCAGGACTGAGAGGGGAGGGGGCAGAGAGGCTTCCTGGGCAGAGCCCACCCCCACCCATGACCCTGGGAAGTGCTCCTGCCCTGGGAGGAGGCTCAGCACACAGGGAGGAAGGACAGCAGAGCTGACAGTCACAGCAGCCCTGACAAGAGCGTTCCTGGAGCTCAAGCTCTTCCCTCAGCCCTCCCTGCAGAGGGCGCATCCCCTGGCAGGGGTTCCTTCTCACAGGTGAGGGGAGGACTCCTTGGGAGTGGGTGGGAGGAGGGAGCACAGAGACTGACTGGGATCTCCTGGGGAGGATGGGACTCTGAGGGGGGACAGAGGGCTTCTGTTGGAGCCTCAGAGGAGAGGACACCAGAGAGGGACAGGGGTCACACCAGGAAAATCTCAATGATCTGAAGCTGTTAATGGAGAAACAATCTCCACTGTTAATATACTGCAAGTGAATCATCACTGATCAATAAATTCTGAAAACTGATGACAATAAAATGTTATGTCAGGGTAACACTCCAGAAAAAAACAGAACCAGGGCCACTAAACACTGTCCTTACCCACAAACCTCAGGCCATGGAGGGCCCTGGGAACACTCATGAACTCATCCACAGGAGTCTGCAGCCTGTCCCAGACACTGGGGTGCAACCAAGATCACAAAAGTCCCCACCCTCACGGAGCTCACGCTCTCATGGGAGGAAGACAGACACCCAAAGAGATCTAGAATGTGAGGTCAGGTGCTGACAAGAGCCCTGGAGGGAACAGAGCTGGGAAAGGTCAGAAAGAGAAGAGAAGAGCAAGGGTCTCTAGAGGAGGTGTCAGGGGAAGGGTCTCCCAAGGATGTCCTGATGTGAGCAGGATCTGAGGGCGATAAGGGGTGGGGGTTTGTGCAGACTCCTGGGGAAGAGGATTCCAAACTTGGAAGTGCCAAGGTCAGAGGTGCTGAGGGAATGGGGGTCATGCTGCTGACTTTGACTCAGCAGGACCCATGCATGCACGTGCACGTGCACGTGCTCTCTCTCTCTCTCTCTCTCCAGGGCTAGGGGGTGAAGAGACCTCCTCAGAACTCAGGGCCCCATCTTTCCATCCAAATACATAGGTCCCAATATTGACTGATGTTCTCTCCCCCACCTTAGCCTCAGTTTTAACTTTCTGGAACCCACCCACTACTGCCATGCTCACTGTTGAAGCCATGCTGTCCAATGCCACAAAGGGGAAGGAGGTTCTTCTACTCACTCACAATCTGCCCCATGATCTTATTGGCTATAACTGGTACAAAGGGGAAAGGGTGGAGGCCAACCACCATATTACAGGATATGTAATAGGAACTCTAATAACTACCCCCAGGGCCTGCCCACAGCATTCAAGGGACAATATACCCCAATGCATCCCTGCTGATTCAGAATGTCACCCAGGACACAGGATTCTACACCCTACACGCCATAAAGATAAACCCTGAGAAAGAAGAAGTATCTGGCCAGTTCCATGTATACTGAGTGATTCTCCCACAGCCTCTGACTGTTGGGGGTCAGTTCTACTTCACATACATGGGATTGTCAGGCCTGGGCTGTGCCTGTGTCCCCTTCTGTATTACGTCCCATGTTGGGGTTTGAACATTTACTGCAGGACACATACAGGGTAGACAAACTTCAACAGATCAGAATTCCTTTCCCGTATCCAGACCCTGCAGGCATTCACTGCTGAGGAAAGACAGTCTGATGGGGGGGACTCAGCAGGGGGAGGTCAGTCTCAGCCAAGCACCCCATGCCCTCCCTATGGACATGACCTTGAGAAGACCCTGGAGAACTAAGTCAGGGTCTGGACTGAGGGGTCTGTGGAATCCTGTGGAGCCCTGAGGAGCCTATGCCAGAGCTGGATTGTTGCCTCCTGGGCTGACCGGGAGCCACAATTTACCAGCTGTCCAAGGGCAGTGGCTCCTGGAGCTGGTCACTAGCCAGGGCTCAGCCCCCAGGCCCTCATCTGGGCAAAGACAGAGCCTCAACATTCACCTGAGACTCAGCATGTAGAGCACAGATGGACAAGATTACTAGGGCATGAGCCCATTGCCCTGGGGGACTTAGGTGACTCCCTTGTAAGTTCAGGGTCCCTAGGGGGAGGAACAAATAGAGGATGCTCCCAGCAGCTCCTTCTCCACCTGAAATCAGGCCCAGGGCCCTTTCTCTTACAGGCAAATAAGCATATGTAAAAAGTAAAGTAGAGGTTCCTCTTCAAAGACTTTCCTCCCTGTCTAATTAGGAATAAATAGCAACCTCTCTTAGAAGCAAAATTTACTCAAAGACGTGTGCTAACATTCTTAAATATCTGCTAGCTGTAATAAAAAAAAAAAAAAAAAAATGTATTTTATGTTCTTAGCTCCCACAATTTAGCCTAAATATTTGCCCTGGCATGCTTATACTGGTCCAAGCAAGCATTAGGTCATAGCCTGCTCCTCTTCTTTATTTGAAGATGGTTTTTACCTTTCTCAGCATTCCACAAGTTACTTCCTCCTTCCTTTGTTCTCCTCTGCCTTTGCCTCTTTTAAAAAGTTCTAAGTTGCTAGCCAATCGGGACAAATACAAAATGTGACATCCTGTTCCAGCCAGTGGAAACCGGACACAGCAGTAAGGTAGACACGTCAGATTATAAATGACCCTGTCTCCTTTGTTCGGTGTACTCTTGTCACAAAATTGCTGGCGAGTATACCCTTTCTACAGAAAATATAAAAATGGCCTTGCTGAGAAAATTAAATTTATGTTCAAGTGCTATTTCTTTACAGCACTGGGGAACAAGCATTTCAAATACATACATGCTGTTCATCTGGGCAGCTGCTCTGTGCAGAGCTGAGATCAAGTAATTGTAAACATTTTGAGGTTAATTCATAAACAACCTTGTAGCCAAATAGCATTTATCTTATTTATTGAAAGGAAAATGAGGCACAGGGAGACAGTCACTGACTAGGGTCACACTGATATGGCTCTGATGACTGGAGCAATACCAGGATCCTCGGTCTTGTGCCAATTTAGATAAAACAACACAGACACATGTGGAGCAAAGAGTTTAATAGGCAAAAAAGAAGGAAAAAGCTCCCCCATACAGGGACAGACGGAGGGGGGTTCCAAGCAAAGAGAGGAAACCCTAAGTGCAGCAGAAAACAGCCAGTTATATGAGGAGGCCGGAGGACGTGGTGTCTGATTTGCACAGGGCTCAGGGGATTGGTTTGACCAGCCATGTCATTCACGTAGCCCAAGAAGAAACTGGCCCTCCACCCTGGCCTTTTAATATGCAAATGCAGGGAGCCTTGATGGTTCTACACACGTGGGGATATGTGAGGGCAACCGTGTTGCCAGGCACATATGGGAGCAAGGGCAAGAAGAGGGCAGGAATCCCCATGTTTGGGTGGACCCAGTTTCTAATGGCCTTCATTTGTATATCAAAGCTTGCCAGCCAGGCTCTAAGAGCTGGGGCTTTTCTGCTAGACAAGCAACATTTCTGGAACTGCTTTAAAAGAAACAAAAACTGGCCAAGCAGTGGCTCATGCCTGTAATCCCAGCACTTTGGGAGGCTGAGGTGGGTGGATCACCTGAGGTCAGGAGTTGGAGGCCAGCCTGGGCAACATGGTGAAACTCCATCTCTACTAAACACACAAAAATTAGCCGGGCATGGTGGTGCGTGCCTGTAATCCCAGCTACTGGGGAGGCTGAGGCAGGAGAATCACTTGAACCTGGGAGGCGGAGGTTGCAGTGAGCCGAGACCATGCCACTGCACTCCAGCCTGGGCAACAGAGCAAGACTCCGTCTCAAAAAAAGAAAAAGAAAAACTTCCCAAGGACCCCCTTTCCTCTCTATCTCCCTAAAATAATTTCCTAATAACTCCTATAACAACACAGTCCATAGGTGGCAGATTAGAGTCATGCGAGGTCTGTCTGCAGCCACAGCCCCCTCCTCTCCTCCACTGGGGTTGTGTGAGGCTGCTTGTTATTAGGCATCTGCAGACCTGAGACCAGTCATGGGTTCATCTCCCTTCATCTTGGGCATCCACAGTGCAGAGGGGGAGATTCTGATCTGAGGAGTGAGGAACAATAGGAGAATTCACCAGTTTTTATCTGGAACTAAATCCCTTGTGTCAACTATCAGGGTCAGTGTTACGCACGTCCGTGTGAAGAGACCACCAAACAGGCTTTGTGTGAGCAACGAGGCTGTTTATTCACTTGGGTGCAAGTGGGCTGAATCTGAAAAAGGAGTCAGCAAAGGGAGATGGGGGTGGGACAGTTTTACAGGATTTGGGTAGGTAGTGGAAAATTACAGTTAAAGGTAGTTATCTCTTGTGGGCAGGGGGCGGGTCACAAGGTGCACGGTGGAGAGATCATGAGATTCATTGTCCGGGGGGGAATGTCACAAGGTCAATTGATTAGTTAGGGTGCGGCAGGAACAAATCACAACGGTGGACTGTCATCAGTTAAGGCAGGAATTGGCTGTTTCACTTCTTTTGTGGTTCTTCAGTTGCTCCAGGCCATCTGGATGTATACGTGCAGGTCACAGGTTATGATGGCTTAGCGTGGGCTCAGAGGCCTGACAGTCAGTGCCGGGAATATACCAGGTGTTTGACCTTGGGCAAGACACTCAACCTCCTAGGCCTCAGTTTCCTCATCTGTAGAATTTTAACAAACACTTGGATCTCAGGATGGTTGTGAGGATGTTTATTTGAAGATTAATGTAATTAAAGCCCTTAACAGGGTAGTGCACAGAGCCAGGGCTCAATCAGTGCTATCAACTAGTATTATTATTTTTATGAGCTTTGTTATTAGCTAAGTCAAGGAGACCTTGGTTAAAATTTGGTTGTATCATGTACAAGTTCTGTGACCTTCCTTGACTTACTGAGGCACTGTAAGTCTCAGATTCTAACTCTGCAGATGGGAGTGAAGCCCCCCTCCCTCAAGGTGATAGGAGGATGAGATGAGCTGTAGGTAGGTTGGTGCCCACTGTGCCTGGCACATGGAAGACCCCCGAAAACAGTCAAAGAGCATCATCCCCGCTCATCAGCATTGAGTTGACAGCGAGGGCTAGCTCTGTATGACAATCATGGAATGGAAAAGAAGAAACAGAGGGAAGACTGGGTGCTGTGGCTCACGCCTGTAATCCCAGCACTTTGGGAGGCTGAGGCAGATGGATCACCTGAGGTCAGGAGTTTGAGACCAGCCTGGCCAACATGGTGAAACTCCGTCTCTACTAAAAATACAAAAATTAGCCTGGCATGATGGCACATTCCTGTAATCCCAGTTACGAGGGAGGCTGAGACAGGAGAACCATCTGAACTCGGGAGATGGAGGTTGCAGTGAGCTGAGATCGTGCCACTCTACTCCAGCCTGGACGAGACTCCATCTAAAAAAACAAAAGAAGAAAAGGCCAGGTGCGGTGGCTCACACCTGTAATCTTAGCACTTTAGGAGGCCGAGGTGGGTGGATCAAGAGGTCAAGAGATCGAGACCATCCTGGCCAACATGGTGAAACCCCGTCTCTGCTTAAAATACAAAAAATTAGCTGGGGGTGGTGGTGAACGCCTGTGATCCCAGTTACTCAGAAGGCTGAGGCAGAAGAATCGCTTTAACCTGGGAAGTGGAGGTTGCAGTGAGCCGAGATCACACAACTGCACTCCAGTCTGGCGATAGAGCGAGACTCCGTTTCAAAAAACAAAAAATAGAAAAGAAAAAAGCGGTAAGAGGCATGAAGTGAGAGGAAGAAGGGATTTAAAGGCACAGGAGCAGGGCGAGGTGCAGGCTCCTGGGGGAGAACGTAGGAGTCGGCGCATCCCAGTGTTTCAAGCCTGAGACACAGAAAATGGTGCAGCCACAGAGAGCGAGGGAGTCAGCTATGAGGACAGCACAACAGACCACACTCAAACTCCGTGGCATTTCCTTCCTCCCTGAACAAGCCCCTGCCCTGCAAGGCCCCTCATGGTTCCCCCTGGAACAGACTTGGGCTTCATCCCCTTTGCCTTCCCCTTTCTGCAGAAAAAAATGCCCCAGGCCTTCCTGTGGGGGCCTTCACTGGCATCGTGACCAGGGTTCTGGTCGGGGTGGCACCGGTGGCCACCCTGGCATGTTTCCTGCTCCTCGTCAGGACTGGAAGGTACTACAGCTTTTTCCTGGCCTCCCTCCCACCCCCAGGCTGACCCCAGGCCAGGAGGAAGAAGACCCCCCCCAGTATTCAGGGCCAGGCTCTTTGAGCCCTCCCCAAGAGATCCTTCCCTCTCATTCTACAGCTCCTCCCTCACCAGCTGCTGACCCTGGGCTGCCTCCTCAACAGCTTCCTCCTCTGTGAATTCGGCCTGGTTAAGGTCTCACCCCTGAGTGTGGTCCTAGTTCCCTCACACAGCAAAGCCACAGCTGCCTGGAGGAAGGGAGCGGGGGAGGGAGTGCTCAGTAACCCCGGTACCTCCTGCTGTTTATTGAATCCATCCACCAAGTGAGGGGGGATTTGCAGGCTCAGGATCTGAGAGGGAGTCCTGGGCATGGTCACACGGTGAAGGATGTAACAGCTTGGACAGGCTGGGTAGGGTCAGTGCCCCCATGGCTAATGCAGTTCCCGCAGCCCCTGAGCTGTGAGACAAGAGAACCTGGGTGCCAGGATGGCATGTCCTGGAATGTCCTTTATGTCTCTTGCCAAGGGGTAGAGAGAGAAGACAAGGCTGTTGTCCCATTTCAGCATCACTGGCCCTGAGAGCAGGGTCTGGCCACAGCAGGGACACTGAGTTCTGGGAGAATCCAAGACACCTTTGGTCCCCTCAGTGTCCTGCACATGTGCCTGGCCCTGCTTTCCCTCTGGGGACTTAACCCTTCCTCTCAGGCAAACCCCCATGATCTGGTTCCTTCCCTGGGCCCTCAGTTCCTTTCCTGCATCCCTGGGTCAATGTTCTCCTGGCCCAGCATCTGGCTGAGGGTCCTTCCCCTCTGGCCAGGACAGATGTGCCTTTGTAAAGTCTTTGATCCCCTCACCTGGCTCAGCTCCTGATACAGAACCAATGGAGAAAGGAGATCTCCATGCCCCTCTTTGGAAATAGGGTCCCCTCTTCATCCCCTGTTCTAACTCCAGAGTTTGGCTTTTAATCTTGTACTCCTCACAAATAAGCCTGACCTCTCCTAGGGCCAGTGGCCAGCATGACTTTAGAGAGCAGCTCCCCAGTGTCCCTTCAGCCTGGGTGTGGCTGGCAACCCCTAGGCCTGGCCCACAGTGTCCACTCCTGCCAGTCACCCCTGAGGTCCTCTGATCCTTTCCATGGGGCTTCAAGGAGGAGTCTCATAAAACGTCATTGCAGGGGACCCCAACTGGCCAGGTCAGCCCTGACCTGTGGGCTCTTGGTCATGGGTCACCTCTGCAAACTCACTTGCTCACTTGGCCCCTAAAATGGCTAGAGGGGTCTCTCCTGGTAAGATGCCCTGTCTCCCTGACTCTCTGGGAGTTCAGGACCCCAATGCCCTCCTCCATGAGAGGCCCAGGCTCTCCTCCCACCCAGCTGCTGACTCCTGTCTGTGTCCCCCAGGCCATGGTCCCTCAAACAACTCCACCTACCCTGTAAGCCCATCCCCTCCCCAGCCCCTTTCTACTGGGGTCCCAGCAGTACAGGTTCAGGGCAGGGGGACCATCAACCCCACAGCATAGCACAAACCCACCTTTCCCCAGAACAGTCAGGTCAAAGTGAGTGCCTCCGGCCAGGATCCAGGCCTCCCTACATGGCCAGGACCACCCATGCCCTGTGCTGACCCCACCCCGGGGCCCTCCGTCACCTGAGGAGACCCCTGGAGTGCAGCAGGTGCAGAGTGGACACTGGAAGAATCAGTCAGGGGCCCACATTAACAAGGGTGCAGGGTGGGCCCAGCCAGGACAGGGGTCGGGGTGCTGTGTCCACACTGGGAGGCTGAGCTCAAGGGCAGAGCTGGTCACTCCTGAGGGGAAATGACCATAAGTAGACCCAGGGAAGTAAGTTCTGGCCGATCAGAGACAGGAACCTTCCATGTCTCTCCCTCTCTGTCCCCTGACATCCCCTCTCTCCCCTGCCCAGGCCCCGCTACCCGACCCCAGGACAGCCGCTCCCATCTATGAGGTGAGTGTGGGTCACAGGTGTTCTGGTCCCGCAGGCTCCAGGGGGACCCAGGATCTGCCCCCACCCACACCTGGCTGAGCTCTGAGATTCAGGAAACTGCAAACACAACAGGGGGTGGTGAGCAGATGAGGAAGGGGCCTGGGAACAGGAACCCCCTGAGCACAGCCAGGTTCAGCATCAGAGCAGCCCTGGATGGGCCCAGAGCCTGGGAGACACCAGACTCTGTTCTCAGAAAGCCACAGGGGTCAAGGCCTCTTCTCTTTTTTTTTTTTTTTTTTTTTTTTTGCAGGAATTGCTAAACCATGACACAAACATTTACTGCTGGGTCAACCACAAAGCAGATGTGGTTTCTTAGGTTCCTCTGGGAGCTGCTCCTGTGGGTTGTTGGAGCGTCCCCGAAGCTCCCAGCCCTGGGGATGGGGAAGGACATGGAGCCTGAGCCAGAGAACCAGCTCTGAGTCCTGAGGAGACACTGGCCTGGGGACAGGGAGGGATGGGAGTCCCTGCTGAATATATGGAGACCTCAACAGACTGCCCTGGGCTCTGGGTGGGTCAGGACAAAGGCTTCCCATCACCACAGGAAGTGGGGGCTTGCAGGGAAAGTGAATGGGCCTGTGGCCCACCCGGGGTCACCTGGAAAGGATCTGAATAAAGGGGAACCTTCCTCTCATTGGCTCTTTTTCTGCTCGTGAGAACTTAGCAGAAACTCACCTGAAACTCCACGTCCATTCTCTCCCAGCTCACACAGGGAAAATATCTCCACCTTTTCTCAACCCCAGTCTCTCTTTCCTGGGAGACAGGAGTAGGGGGTTGGGAGTCAGGCTGGGGTGGACCCTACACAGGAAAGGGCAGGATTCACAGGAGCCCTGCCCAGCCAGCCAAGCACTCAGCTGTCTTCCCACTACCCCAGGGACCAAGGCCATGCACTGCCCCAGCCTGGGTTCCTCTGTGAATGCATGTGGGGTCTCAGGAGCGTGGAAGATGGGGCCATCTGATGTCCACACAAAGGTGAGCAATGCAGGAGCATACATGGGTGGTATAGATCGTGGCTGTGACCCCCACACAGCCTCCAGTGTCCTGAGCCCTCCTGCCCTCTTCACCCAGGCCCTGGCGGCCCTGTCTATCACTGTCCTCCACAAGTGAGTTTGCCTGTCCCCAAATCCAGGATCCTGGATGCTTAGCCCTGGCCACCAGGTTCTCCTCTGTCCCAGTGGCCACTGCTCAGGACATTTTTACCCCTGGTGGGACACAGAGAGGGGCTGTCAGAGTAATCAAGGTGGGGACAGACCAAAAATTCAGTCCTCGAGCAAGGTCCTCCAAGGCATTACCCAGGACTCTAGCCCCTCATTTCCCATCAGTTCCCAATTTACCCCCTGGCGTGGATCTCATTGAGCAAGCCTCCTTTCCACACAGGAGCATCCAGGTCAGAGGAGCAGGGCTCCCCAACCTAAAGCTCATGCAGGCTCCCATGGTGACAGGACAACCTGTCTGCTCCTCTACCTGGCCCCTCCAGCCCTGCCTCACCTGCAGCTCCTCCACACACCTGGGCCAGCGGTTCTCAGCCCTTCCCTGAGGGCCCCTGGAAGGGTGACAATCTCATGTAGGTTCACTTGGACCGGGCAGCACCTTCCGACAAACAAGCCAGTCCCTGCACTAAAGCACAGAGCCATGGTTCCCAAGGGTGTTCTGCCACTGCCACAGGCTGTTCATCATGAGATGAGAGGTAAGAAAACAACTGGTAATGGGTTGATTTACCTCAGGATTTGCATCAGGATTTAACTCTAAATGACCCCTTATCCCACCTGCACACACCGTCAGATGAGGAAAGGTGACACCTTTTTAGTTTCTTGTTGATGCTATGACAAATTACCACAAGCTGAGTGACATAAAAACATGAACCAAGGCGCCCTCATGGCTGTGTGCTTTCTGGAAGCTCCAGGTCAGAGTCCGCTTCTTCTCCTTTTCCACCTCCTAGAGGGTGCCTACATCTTTGGTTGTGTCCTTTTTCTCCATCTTCAGAGACAGCAGTGCAGCATCTTGAAACCACTCTGTCCTCTGCTTCTGTCTCCACATCTCCACCCACACCTGCCTCCCTCTCTTACTTATAAGAAAGGGGCCTTGTGGTTATTTTGGACACATCTTGGATAAACCACAATAATCTCCCTGTATTAGTCCATTTTCATGCTGCTGCTAAAGACACACCTGAGACTGGGCAATTTACAAAAGAAATAGGTTTAATGGACTTACAGTTCCACATGGCTGGGGAGGCCTCACAATCATGGCAGAAGGTGGAGGACCAAGTCATGTCTTACATGGATGGCAGCAGGCAAAAAGAGAGAGCTTGTTCAGGGAAGCTCCCCCTTATAAAACCATCAGATCTCATAAGACCCACTCACCATCACAAGAACAGCATGGGAAAGACCTGCCCCCATGATTCAATTACCTCCCACAACATGTGGTAATTCAAAATGAGATTTGGGTGGGGACAGAGCCAAACCATATTATTCCACCCTGGCCCCTCCCAAATCTCATGTCCTCACATTTCAAAACCAATCATGCCTTCCAAACAGTCCCCCAAAGTCTTAACTCATTTCAGCATTAACTCAAAAGTCCACAGCCCAAAGTCTCATCCGAGACAAGGCAAGTCCCTTCTGCCTATGAACCTGCAAAATCAAAAGCAAGTTAGTTACTTCCTAGATACAAGGGGGGCACACACATTAGGTAAATACAGCCATTCCAAATGGGAGAAATTGGCCAAAACGAATGGGCCATAGGCTCCATGCTAGTCTGAAATCCAGTGGGGCAGTCAAATCTTAAAGCTCCAAAATGATCTCCTTTGATTCCATGTCTCACATCCAGGTCATGCTGATGCAAGAGGGGGGTTCCTATGGTCTTGGGCAGCTCCGCCCCTGTGGCTTTGCAAGATACAGCCTCCCTCCTGGCTACTTTCATGGGCTGGCATTGAGTGTCTGCAGCTTTTCCAGGCACATGGTACAAGCTGTCAGTGGATATACCATTCTGGGATCTGGAGGACGGTGGCCCTCTTCTCGCAGTGCCACTAGGTGGTGCCCCAGTAGGGACTCTGTGTGGGGGCTCCAACCCCACATTTCTCTTCTGCACTGCCCTAGAAGAGGTTCTCCATGAGGGCCCTGCCCCTGCAGCAAACTCCTGTCTGAGCATCCAGGCGTTTCCATACCTCTTCTGAAATCTAGGCGGAGGTTCTGAAACCCCAATTCTTGACTTCTGTGCACCCATAGGCTCAACACCACATGCAAGCTGCCAAGGCTTGGGGCGTGCGCCCTCTGAAGTCATGGCCCAAGCTCTATGTTGGCCCCTTTCAGCCACAGCTAGAGCAGATGGGATGCAGGGCACCAAGTCTCTACACTGCACACAACACAGAGACCTTGGGCCCAACCCATGAAACTTTTTCCTCCTAAGCCTCTGGGCCTGTGATGGGAGGGGCTGCTGTGAAGAACTCTGACGTGCCCTGAAGATATTTTCCCCATTGTCTTGGGGATTAACATTTGGCTCCTCATTACTTATGCAAATTTCTGCAGCCAGCTTGAATTTCTCCTCAGAAAATGGGATTTTCTTTTCTACTGCATTGTCAGGCTGCAAATTTTCCAAATGTTTATGCTCCACTTCCCTTATAAAACTGAATGCCTTTAACAGCACCCAAGTCATTTCTTGAATGCTTCACTGCTTAGAAATTTCTTCCACCAGAAGGCTGGGTGTGGTGGCTCATGCCTGTAATCCCAACACTTTGGGTGGCCGAGGTGGCCAGATCACCTAAGGTTAGGAGTTCAAGACCAGCCTGACCAACATGGAGAAACCCCATCTCTACTAAAAATACAAAATTAGCCAGGTGTGGTGGTGCATGCCTGTAATCCCAGCTACTCGGGAGGCTGAGGCAGGAGAATCACTTGAACCCAGGAGGCGGAGGTTGCAGTGAGCCAAGATCGTACCATTGCATGCCAGCCTAGGCAATAAGAGTGAAACTCTGTCTCAAAAAAAAAAAAAAAAAAAGAAAAAGAAATTTCTTCCCCCAGATACCCTAAATCATCTCTTACAAGCTCAAAGTTCCACAAATCTCTAGGGCTGGGGCAAAATGCCACCAGTCTCTTTGCTAAAACAAAACAAGAGTCACCTTTGCTCCAGTTCCTAACAAGTTCCTCACTTCCATCTGAGACCACCTCAGTCTGGACTTTATTGTCCATATTGCTATCGGCATTTTGGGCAAAGCTATTCAACAAGTCTCTAGGAGGTTCCAAACTTTCCCATATTTTCCTGTCTTTTTCTGACCCCTCCAAACTGTTCCAACCCCTGCCTGTTACCCAGTTCCAAAGTTGCTTCCACATTTTGGGGTATCTTTTCAGCAGCACCCCACTCTATTGGTACCAATTTACTATATTAGTCTGTTTTCATGCTGCTGATAAAGACATACCTGAGACTGGGCAATTTACAAAAGAAAGAGGTTTAATGGACTTACAGTTCCACATGGCTGGGGAGGCCTCAAAATCATGGCAGAAGGGAAGGAGGAGCAAGTCATGTCTTACATGGATGGCAGCAGGCAAAAAGAGAGTTTGTACAGGGAAACTCCCCCTTATAAACCTATCAGATCTTCTGAGACCCACTCACTATCACAAGAACAGCATGGGAAAGACTTGCCCCCATGATTCAATTACCTCCCGCCAGGCCCCTCCCACAATACATAGGAATTCAAGATGAGATTTGGGTGGGGACACAGCCAAGCCTTATCACTCCCCATCTCATGATCTTTCCTTTAATCTGTAAAGTGTCTTTTACCATGAGACTTATTCACAGATATGGGGATGAGGATGAGCACATCTTTGAGAGGTTCTTGTTCTGCCCATCACTCCTCTCAAGGCCATTTTCTCATCATCATTCACTACAAACTATACATGGGTACCTGGATGAGGTCATCCTGACTGTAGTGATGTCCCCAGCACCCTCCAGGTCCTGAGAGAGAGAGACAGAGGGCTCTCCATGCCCCTAGTACCTCTCTATCTTTTCCTTGGTGACATGCTCAGTTGTTAAGAATAAATGAAAGCAGAAGTAACTGGGAGATCACAACTCATTAGCTCTTCAACAGTTCATGGACATCAGCACCCTGGACAGTGACTCAGTGCCCGCCCCCCCCCCCCCCCCATTCCCAGGCATCACAGCAGGCAGCACATGGATG
Source organism: Homo sapiens (assembly GCF_000001405.40). Classification (NCBI taxonomy): domain Eukaryota; kingdom Metazoa; phylum Chordata; class Mammalia; order Primates; family Hominidae; genus Homo; species Homo sapiens. The sequence goes on along the minus strand of NC_000019.10, from coordinate 42,548,630 downwards.
GAAAGAGACTGCGGGAAAAGCTGCCTGTATTAGTCCGTTCCGAAGCTGCTATAAAGAACTGCTGGAGACTGGGTAATCTAAAAAGGAAATAGGTTTAATTGACTCACCTTCAGCATGGCTGGGAAGGCCTCAGGAAACTTACAGTCATGGCAGAAGGGGAAGCAAACATGTCCTTCAAATGGCAGCATCAATGAGAAGAATGAGAGCCAACCAAAGGGGGAGGCTCTTTATAAAACCATCAGATCTCATGAGAACTTACTATCATTAGACTAGCATGGGGGAACGACTCCCATGATTCAATTACCTCTCACCAGGTCCCTCCCACAACATGTAGGGATTACGGGAATTACAATTCAAGATGAGATTTGGGTGGGGACACAGCCAAACCATATCACTGCCCATTCTATTCCACATGAGAAAGATGCAATGAGGGAGAAACATTTGTTGCAGGTGCCTGGACGTTAGGGTTGTAGGCACATCTGTTGCCACTCCCTGCAGGGCTGAGTGCTGCACCCAGGGTGTGGTCTCTGGGAGGCTGAGTGCCTGCTCCTGCCTCATGATGCATCTTTCTGCCCCTGACACTCAGGCCACTGTCTCTGCCTACAAAAGGTGGGAATTTTTCATGATTAATTTTTTACCCTCTTGCCTGACCCTGGAACCACACACATCACCCTGCCTGGAGCACACCCTGAGCACAGCATCCTGCTCCTCCAGCCCCAGCTGAGCCCCTGGGAAGCGGAGCTGACCCAAGCCCCTGGGCTCCTCTACCAGCTCCTCCAAGCCAAGCCTTATCACCCCCATCTTGCTCATTCCTGCTTACATCACACCCACAGAGAAGACTCTGGCCCTACAGACCATCCCTGCCCTTCAGGGACTCAGGTCCAGCCAATCCAGTGTCCCTTCTGGGCACACACAGCACTCAGAATCCCCAGTGTAAGGGTCACCTGTGGGCTCAGGGGTTGGGGGATCCTGTAACTTGCATGAGTCAGAGCCCTCCTCACATCCCACATCTGAGCAGTCACCAGGGTCCTCTCTGCCCTGTCCTCATATCCAATGTCTCGATGACTCACTCAATGTCCTGGGTCACCCTTGTCATCTCTCCTGGACACAGCCACAGCTCCTGACAGGAAGAGTTGAGGTTCAGTCTCTCCAGGAATCCCTCCCACTCTGACCACTTGAACCTGCTCATTCTCATCTGACCCTCCCCTCACCAGGGGTCTTGTGCTCTCGATCCCTGGATACCTGGGTCCTTGTCAGGCAAACATCATAACAATAACAACCACCTGAACCCTGAAACTGTCACCCAAGGCACATGTCTGATGACAGTCACCAGGTGAGACACCTGTGGCTTCACATACCTGAGGCTTCACTGTAAAGAGGCTTCCTCATCCCTTTCCTTTCATCCCTAGGGTCAGTAAGCACCACAGGCTGCCTCGGACCACCAGCCCCTTCCCCCAGACACAGCATCAGATCTATACTGACCCTCTATATGGAGAGGCTTTGGGGAACAGCAGACACTAGGAAATCCCACTGACCCAGGTGTCACCCACAGCCCCACCCCTCCTCATATCAATGGCAGGGACAGACACGTAACACACCTCTGCTCACCGCCCAGCCCCCAAGATCAATCACAGTCTGCTTCTCCCTTCACCCACTACTCCCCACATCTTCCCTCCCCAGCTGCAGCCTGGATGGCCTCCCTGCTGTTCTTGGTCCATGAAGGCAGGTTCCAACCTCTGTATCATTCCCTTCTCTTCCCTCCCCTTCCCTCTCCTCCCCTCCCCTCCCCTCCCCTCTCCATCCCTTCCCAGGAGCCCACATCAGCCTGTCCACCTGCCTTACAGCCAAAGCCATCAGCCACTTGCTCCCTTCCACCCTCCCCAACCCTGTACATGGAGGTGACGGCCCCTCCTGGAACACCCACCACTCACTGTCAGCCTTCAGTGGTAATCACAGGTTCTACAGGGGTCACCTGTGGAACCAGAACTCTTGGAAGGACGAGCAGAGGGAGCTGCTCAGGACATCTTGGGGCTCCTGGCATCTGGTCCACCACATGGACATAATCAATAGCACTTAGTGAAAGGGTAAGTGGTGGATGACTAAGTGTAAGTGAAGACGGTGTGTGGGCAGAGGTAGGCACAAGAACACGGGCACTTTCTACTTCAATCATTATTCCAAGAAAGGTGGGGATACTGGAGATGGACATTTTCATATATTCCTGATGGGACTGCAGTACTTACAACAACAACTTTGGCCCATGATTTTTTAGGTCTTGTGGAGGTTTTTGAGATGGAGTCTCGCTCTGTTGCCTAGGCAGGAGTACAGTGGCATGATCATAGCTCACTGCAGCCTTCAACTCCTAGCTTCAAGCAACCTCCTGCCTTGGCCTCCCAAAGCTCTGGAATTGCAGGTTTGAACTCAGCCATCACACCCAGCCCTGGCCTCATTGTGTTCAGTGTGCATACGCTTTGACCACTATCCCACTTCTGAGAGTCCCACTGAGCGGTGAGCTCTGAGAAGGCAGGACTGTGCCTGCCCTGTCTCTGTTAAAGCCCTTGACCTGCCCACAGCCTGGCCAGGGTACTTTATAAGAGCTGAATGAATGAGTTCCTGGATTAATACTCCACGTGGGGAAAAGATATGTGTATGAGGATAGTCACTGCAGAATGTCTTGTCAACATGAAGAGTGGGACACAGCGTCAAATCCAATAGGCGAGTGGATAAAGCATCACAGTGTAGCCATGCAATAAAATAAATAAGGGGAAAGCAATGAAAAGGCAAAGAACATCAACAGATGCTTTTCAAAAGCTTGAACATATGGACCAACATGCATATGAAAAAATGCTCAACATCACTAATTATTAGAGAAATGCAAATCAAAACCACAGTAAGATACCGTTTCACACCAGAGTGGCTATTATTAAAAAGTCAAAAAATAACAGATGCTGCTGAAGTTGCAGAGAAAAAGGAATGTGCTGGGCACGGTGGCTTACACCTGTAATCCCAGCAATTTGGGAAGCCAAGGAGGGAGGACCACTTGAGGCCAGGAGTTCAAGAGCAGCCTGCCCAACAGGATGAAACCTCGACTCTACTAAGAATACAAAAATTAGCCAGGCGTGGTGGTGCACGCCTGTAGTCCCAGCTACTTAGGAGGCTGAGGCACAAGAATCACTTGAACCCAGGAGGTGGAGTTTGCAGAGAGCTGAGGCTGTGCCACTACACTCCAGCCTGGGCAACAAAGCAAGACTGTCTAAAAAAGAAAAAAGAGAGAGAGAAAATGGAACGTTTATACACTGTTGGTGAGAATGTAAATTAGTTTAGCGATTGTGAAAAGCAGTATGGCAATTCCTCAAAGAGCTAAAAACAAAAGTACCATTTGACCCTGCAACCCCATTACTGGGTATACACCCAGAGGAATATAAATCATTCTACCATAAGGACACATGCACACGAATGTTCATTGCAGCACCATTCACAATAGCAAAGACATGGAATCAACATAAATGTCCATCAATGGTAGACTGGATAAAGAAAATGTGGTACGTACACACCATGGAATACTACACAGCTACAAAAAAGAATGAGGTCATTTCCTTTGCAGAAACATGGATGGAGCTGGAGGCCATTATCCTTAGCAAACTAACAGAGGAACAGAAAACCAAATATCACATGTTCTCATTTTTGCATTTTTAGTAGAGACGGGGTTTCACCATACTGGGCAGGCTGGTCTCGAACTCCTGACCTCGTGATCCACCCCCCGCCCCCCCCCCAGCCTCCCAAAGTGCTGGGATTACAGGCGTAAGCCACCATGCCCAGCCGCATGTTCTCACTTTTAAGTGGGACCTAAATGATTGGAACCCATGGACACAAAGAGAAGAACAAACACTGGGGCCTACTTGAGGGTGGAGGGTGGGAGGAGGGAGAGGATCAGACAAAACACCTGTTGGGTACTAGGCTTAATACCTGGGTAACAAAATCATCTGTACACCAAACCCCTGTGACATGCAGTTTATGTATATAATAAACCTGTACATGTACCCCTGAACCTAAAATAAAACCTCTAAAACAGAAAAAGAAACACAATTGGAGCAAATCCACATGTGTTGAGAAAGGAAGTGTCCACCATACATGCTTCACTATAAAACAACATTACCAATTAATAATATAATTCATTAATGTTTGGCTGTATAAACAATGAGTGGGACAAATGAGAAAGTATTATTGAAAGATTCATACCAACTGCAAACAGTGGTTACATCCTGGAAATGGAATTGGAGTGGGGTGGGGTCAGGGATCTGACACATCATTTTACAAGCGCTTATATTGCTGGAATTTACAATAAGTGTGCTTTCTTATGTGACCGTTTTTTTTTTGTTTGTTTTTTGTTTTTTTTTGAGATGGAGTCTCCCTCTGTTGCCCAGGCTGGAGTGCAGTGGTGTGATCTCAGCTCACTGCAAGCTCCACCTCCGGAGTTCACGCCATTCTCCTGCCTCAGCCTCCTGAGTAGCTGGGACTACAGGCGCCTGCCACCATACCTGGCTAATTTTTTGTAATTTTAATAGAGATGGGGTTTCACCATGTTAACCAGGATGGTCTCAATCTCCTGACCTCATGATCCACCCGCCTCGGCCTCCCAAAGTGCTGGGATTACAGGCGTGAGCCACTATGCCCAGCCACCTATATGATTTTCAAAATAACAGATGAAACCATTTCAAAAGACTCAAGAGGTGTGTGACATCCTCGGGCCCCAGAGCCCAGGCCTCCTCCAGCCCCAACACTGTTGAGTCCCCTCTGAGATGGCCCTTTGAGGTCTCCTCATCCCACCACTCAGGTACAGAGACACCGAGACTCCCAGGAGGGGATCCTTGCTGCAGATCCCACAGCAGACAGGGATAAAGTGAGGTTCTGTCCAGCCTGACACACATACTGAGTGAGCACACACACTATAGGCTTGTCCTGGATAGTGGGACAGTCCCTGCTATACAAGCACCATTCAGTGGACACTGGGAGTGAACAGATGAGACCAAACCGCCCTGCAGGTCCTAAGACAAGGGCAGCACAGAGCCCTAGGGGACATGGGTCCCATCCAGCCCTGAGCCTCCCCCTCATCTCATGGCCTCTCCCTCTCCCTGCTCCTGACCCAGGAAGAGCCACATAATGTGGGGGATTCAGTGCAACCTGAAAATGCAGTATCCTTCTTCAAGACAGGATTAAGAGGGTTTCAACACAGCCACAGAAGGGCACTATATTAAGTGCAGGACCCTTCTAAGCACAGGCCCCCATGTGATAACACAGGTCACATGCCAAGAAGCTGGCCCCGTCCTACCCTCCTGCCTCAGGTCTAGATGCCCACATTTGGGAGTGACCTCAGGGACTAAGAAGACAAAAGTTAACACAGCTCAAGAAGAGACACGGCTCTACTGCTTCCTATGCCCCTTACTCTGTTCAACTCTTCTGCAGACCCTCAGGGCAGACAGCCCCTTAGATGATGTGACAGGGATGGGCCTGGCCTCCTCCCTGGCCAGGAGAACACTGCAGGCAAAGGCCTGTGGAGTGCTGAGGTGACCCAGCCCTGCACTGACTGTCCTGCAGGGGGAGGCTGTTGTCCATCTCTGCCCAGGGCTCTGCAGGTGGAGCACTAATTTGAACCCTGGTCAATGCCTGGTTCTGGACGCAACAGGTGAGTCTAAGCCCTGAGACCATCAAGATGCGGTTATTGTGCCTCTGTCCTGATGAAACCATCTGTGGCTCCCACCATCTGTGGGACACAACCCCCACCCCCCTGCAGGTGTCCCTTGATACTGCCTCATGCCATCCTACCTTGGGTGATAACTATTCCCTGAGTCCCCAGTATTCCCACTGGGCATATCCCAGAGGTCTGCATTCACAGACTTGATGCATGCCCATGACAATGGTCAGATTTTAAAAGGAATTATAAGAAACGTGCACTGAGGCCGGGCGCAGTGGCTCACGCCTATAATCCCAGAACTTTGGGAGGTGGAGACAGGTGGATCACCTGAGTTCGAGACCACCCTGGCTAACATGGTGAAACCCCATCTCTACTAAAAATACAAAAATTAGCTGGGTGTGGTGGCACCCACCTGTAATCCCAGCTACTCAGGAGGCTGAGGCAGGAAAATCGCTGGAACCCAGGAGGCGGAGGTTGCAGGAGCCGAGATAGAACCACTGCACTCCAGCCTGGGCGACAGAGCGAGACTCCGTCTCGAAAAAGAAACATGCACTGAAGTAAGAAAGTGGCAGGGCATCAGACTTTGAACATCTGAGTTTAGTGTAAGCTTGTTTTAAAACACCAGAGAGGCTGGGCGCGGTGGCTCACGCCTGTAATCCCAGCACTTTGGGTGGCCGAGGCGGGCGGATCACGAGGTCAGGAGATCGAGACCATGCTGGCTAACACGGTGAAACCCCGTCTCTACTAAAAATACAAAAAATTAGCCGGGTGAGGTGGCGGGCGCCTGTAGTCCCAGCTACTACTCGGGAGGCTGAGGCAGGAGAATGGCGTGAACCCCGGGGGGCGGAGCCTGCAGTGAGCCGAGATCGCGCCACTACACTGCAACCTGGGCGACAGCGAGACTCCGTCTCAAAAAAAAAAAAAACACACACACACACACCAGAGAAGAGCTAGAATCAAAGAACACTGCGAAAGAAAATATATGGAACATGACAGTGTTGAAATTTTGTCTAGACACATTAAAAACAAACGATGATTTTTTTTAAACAAACCAGTTTGGCATGACCTTTTCGTCTACAATTTCCTCACTGTCCACCAGAGGGCCCCAGCCTAGGGCCTTTCCAGGGGGCTGCTGACCTCCCCTCTGCGGGGCCCACAGGTCCCAGCGGAACTGTCTCTTTGAAAGTACATTTATTTCATGCATCTGCAGTTGTCTGGTCAGTCTCATGTCTAAATCATTGGATCTCTGCACAGAATGTCATGAGGGGTCCGCACATGAGTTTGAGGACTATTTGCCCAGGGTGGGTATTTTATATGGTGGGGTTTTTTTCACCAAATACTTATTTAAAACTGTAATAAAATATACATATCAAAAAATGTATCTTTTAACCATTTTAAACTGTACAATTAAATGGAATTTACTACAGAGCCCTGATGGAGGGCTCCTGTAGCCCCAGCTACTCAGGAGGCTGAGGAGGGAGGATTGCTTGAGGCCAGGAGTTGGAGTCTAGTCTGGGCAACATGGTGAGACCCTGTCTCTAAATACACAAGTGGAATTAACTATATTCACAATGTTAAACCACCATCATCACTAATTTTTCCAGAAAATTTTCATCACCCCAAACAGCCAGACAGTAGAATAGACGCCTACACCATTTGTCCCCTCACCCCCACACCACTGGAACACTACATTTTAATCTGCACAGAGAAAAGCACTGTCACAAGAACCAAAACCAGGGGAGCAATCACAGTACCTGGTTTTAACTTCATATCGCTGAAAGAGGCATTGGGCCAGGTGCAGTGGCTCATGCCTGTAATCCCAGCACTGTGGGAGGCCAAGGCAGGTGGATCACTTGAGGTCAGGAGCATGAGACCAGCCTGGGCTACATAGACCCCATCTCTACTAAAAATACAAAAATTAGGCCGGGCGCAGTGGCTCACACCTGTAATCCCAGCACTTTGGAAGGCTGAGGCGGGTGGATCACAAGGTCAGGAATTTGAGACCACCCTGGGCAACATGGTGAAACCCCATCTCTATTAAAAATACAAAAATTAGCCGGGCATGGTGGCACGTGGCTGTAGTCCCAGCTACTCGGGAGGCTGAGGCAGAAGAATCGCTTGAACCCAGGAGGCGGAGGTTGTAGTGAGCCGAGATTGCACCACTGCACTCCAGCCTGGGCAACAGAGTGAGACTCCGCCTCAAAAAAAAAAAAAAAAAAAAAATACAAAAATTAGCCAGGTGTGGTGGCGCACTTTCATAATCCCAGCTACTCGAGAGGCTGAGGCATCAGAATCACTTGAACCCAGGAGGCAGAGGCTGCAGTAAGCTGAGATTGCACCACTACACTCCAGCCTGGGCGACAGAGCAAGGCTCTGTCTTACAAAAAGAAAGAAAAAAGGCACTGAAGAGGGCCGGAGAGAGGCCACACCACCCCTCACCCATCCCCCACCAACCCGCAGCAGCCCTGCAACATGGAGAGAGAATCTGCACTTTGGGAAGGGTGAGTGCGGCCACTGGAGGACCTTACATTGAATTCAGTGCTGCCCCATCACAGCAAAGAATAAAGGCATGCTGGGCTCAGCCAGTGCCCACACAGAGAGGCAGTACTTGGACCAGCCCTAGCCAGACAGGTATCACCCATCCCAGCAGTCGGAACTTCAGTTTTTCAGCAAGCCTCCCCACGGTGGGCTGATGTGCTCTGGAGTCCTAGGTAAACTTAAAAGGCAACTCCTAGTTAGGCTGGGCTTAAAGCCAGTGGACTAGAGTGGCGTGTAACCAAGGGAGACACCAGCTGGCATGGCTAAGGGAATGCTTTCACCACCCCTCCCCCAACCTCAGGCAACGCAGCTAGAGGCAACGAAAGTGACTCCCTCCTTCTGCTTAAGGAGAGAAGAGAGAAGAGTAAAGAGGATTTTGTCTTGCATCTTGGATACCAGCTCAGCCACAGCAGGACAGGGAACTGGGCAGAGTCATGAGGCCCTTATTCTAGGCCCTAGCTCCCAGATGACATCTCTAGACACACCGTGAGCCAAAAGGGAGCCCACTGCCTTGAAGGAAAGGACCCAATCCTGGCAGAACTCATCACCTGCTGACTAAAGAGCCCCTGGGCCCTGAATAACCAGTAGTGATACCCAGGTAATATGCAGTGGGCCTTGGGCTCTGAGACATGCTGGCTTCAGGGGTGACCCAGTGCATTCCCAGCTGTGGTAGCCATGGGGAGAGACTCCTTCTACTTGAGAAAAATAGAGGAAAAAGTAAAGGGGACTTTGTCTTGTGCCTCAGGTACCAGCTCAGCCACAGTGGGATAGAGTAACCAGCAGTCTCTTGGGGTCCCCGAGTCCAGGCCTATGTTCCTGGAGAACATTTCTGGACCTTCCCTGGGCCAGAGGGGAGCCCACTGCCCTGAAGAGTGAGTCCCAGGCCTGGCAGCATTCACCACAAGCTGATGGAAGAACCCCTGGGCTTTAAGTGAACATCAGCAGAGGACGGGTGGAATCCCCTGTGGAACAGTGGTGGTGCTGGAGAAAGGGGAAGGAAGAGCAGGAAGGACTTTGCATTGTTTGAGTGCCAGATTAGCCACAGTTTGTTTATTCATTTGTTTGTTGCAATGGAGTCTCATTCTTGTCGCCTAGGCTGGAGTGCAATGGCATGATCTCTGATCACTGCAACCTCTGCCTCCCAGGTTCAAGCGATTCTCCTGCCTCAGCTTCCTGAGTAGCTGGGATTACAGGCACCCACAACCATGCCTGGCTAATCAGCCACAGTTTTTGACTCCAATCCCTGCCTCCCAGACAGCATTTCTAGACACATCTGAGGCTTGGGAGACCTCACCACCCTCAAGGGAAGGGCCTTGGGCAAGACCCAGTGCGGTGCTTAGGTCTGACCCAGCACAATCCCAGTGGTGGTGGCCACAGAGTGCTTGCATCACCACACTCCCAGTTCCAGGTGGCTCTGCACAAACGGAGAGATTCCATTTGTTTGAAACAAATTAAGGGAAAAGAACAAGAGTCTCTACCTGGTAATCCAGATAATTCTTCCAGATCTTATCCAAGATCGCCAAGGCAGTACCTATGTAAGTCTGCAAAAACCACAGCATTCTTGGGCTTGGGACCCAAGTGCCTTCAAATACCTGGAAAGCCTTCCCAAGAAAGACAGGCATAAACAAGCCCAGACTATGACATGAAGACTACAATAAATACCTAACTTTTCAGTGACCAGACACCAACAAACACCTATAAGCATCAACACCATCCATGAAAACACGACCTCACTAAACAAGCTAAATAAGACACCAGGAACCAATCCTGGAGAAAGAGAAATATGTGACCTTTCAGACAGAGAATTCAAAATAATTGTTTTGAGGAAACTCAAATTCAAGACGACACAGAGAAGGAATTCAGAATCCTATCAGATAAATTTAACAAAGAGGCTGGGCACAGTGGCTCGTGTCTGTAATCCTAACACTTTGGGAGACAGAGGCCAGAGGATCACTTCAACTCAGGAGTTTGAGACCAGCCTGGGCAACAGAATGAGACCTTGTCTCTATAAAATAAATAAAATTAAAATGTTAACAAAGAGATTAAAATAATTAAAAAGATTCAAGCAGAAATTCTAGAGTTGAAAAATGCAATTGACATGTTGAAGAATGCAACAGAGTCTCTTAATAGCAGAATTGATCAAGCAGAAGAATTTGTGAGCTTGAAGACAGGCTATTTGAAAACACAGAGGAGACAAAAAAAAAAAAAAAAGAAGCATATCTATAAGATCTAGAAAATAGGCTCAAAATGGCAAATCTAAGAGTTATTGGCCTTAGGCCAGGCACGGTGGCTCACGCCTGTAATCCCAGCACTTTGGGAGGCCTAGGCGGGTGGATCACGAGGTCAGGAGATGGAGACCATCCTGGCTAATACGGTGAAACCCCGTCTCTATTAAAAAATACAAAAAAATTAGCCAGGCGTGGTGGCAGGTGCCTGTAGTCCCAGCTACTCAGGAGGCTGAGGCAGGAGAATGGCGTGAACCTGGGAGGCGGAGCTTGCAGTGAGCTGAGACTGTGCCACTGCACTCCAGCCTGGTGACAGAGCAAGACTCCATCTCCAGGAAAAAAAAAAAAAAAGTTATTGGCCTTAAAGAGGAGGTAGAGAAAAAGATAGGCACATAAGGTTTATTCAAAGGAATAATATAAGAGAACTTCCCAACCCTAGAGAAAGATATCAACATTCAAATACAAGAAGGTTATAGAACACCAAGCAGATTTAACACAAAGAAGACTACCTCAAGGCGTTTAACAATCAAACTCCCTAAGATCAAAGATCAAAGGATCCTAAAAGCAGCAAGAGAAAAGAAACAACATACAATGGAGCTCCAATACATCTGGCAGCAGACTTTTCAGTGGAAACCTTACAGGCCAGGAGAGAGTGTATGGCATATTTAAAGTGCTGAAGGAAAACAACTTTTACCCTAGAATAGTATATCAGGCAAAAATATCCTTCAAACACGAAGGAGAAATAAAGACCTTCCCAAGCAAAAGCTGAGGGATTTCATCAACACCAGACCTGTCCTATGAGAAATGCTAAATTTAATCCTTTAACCTGAAAGGAAAGGATGTTAATGATGAAGAAGAAATCACGTAAAGGTACAAAACTCACTGGTAATAGTTAAGCACACAGAATAGTATAACACTGTAATTGTGGTGTATAAACTTCTCTTATGTAGAAAGACTAAATGATGAACCAATCAAAAATCACGACTACATTAACTTTTCAGGACACAGACAGTACAATACGACATAAACAGAAACAACAAAACATTAAAAAGTGGGGTGACGAAGTTGAAGTGTAGAGCTTTTATTAGTTTTCTTTTTGCATGTTTGTTTGTTTATGTAATCAGTGTTAAGTTGTCATCAGTTTAAAATAATGGTTTTAAGATAGTATTTGCAAGCCTCATAGTAACCACAAATCAAAAACCATACAACAGACGCACAAAAAATAAAAAGCTAGAAATTAAAGTATACCACCAGAGGAAATCACCTTCACTAAAAGGAAGACAGGAAGGAAGGAAAGAAGAAAGAGAAGACTGCAATAAATAAAAACAGAAAAACAAATAACAAAATGACAGGAGTAAGTCCCTACTTATCAGTAATAACATTGAATGTAAATGGACTAAATTCTCCAAAAAAAGATACAGTATGGCTGAACGGCTGAAAAATAAGACCCAATTATCTGTTGCCTGCAAGAAACACATTTCAACCATAAAGATACACATAGACTGAAATTAAAGGGATGGAAAAAGATATTCCATGCCAACGGAAACCAATAAGAGAGTAGGAGTAGCTATACTTATATCAGACAAAATAGACTGAAAGACAAAAACTGTTAGAAGGGACAAAGGAGGTCATTATACAATGATAAAAGGGTCAATTCAGCAAGAGGATATAACAATTGTAAACATATATGCACCCAAAACTGGAGCACCCAAATATATAAATCAAATATTAGAGAAATAGACCCCAATACCATAATAGCTGGAGACTTCAACGCCTCACTTTCAGCATTAGACAGATCTCCCAGACAGAAAATCAACAAAGAAACATCAGACTTAATCTGAACTATAGAACAAATGGAACTATAGAACATTTCATTCAATGGCTGCAAAATACACATTCTTCTCCTCAGTACATGGATCATTCTCAAAAATAGGCTATATATTAGGTCACAAAACAAGTCTTAAAACATTCAAAAAAATTGAAGTAATATCAAGTATCTTCCCTGACTACAATGGAATAAAACTAGAAATCAAAAACAAGAGGTATTTTGGAAACTATACAAACACATGGAAATTAAACGATATACTCCTAAACGGCCAGTGGGTCAACAAAGAAATTAAGAAGGAAATTGGAAAATTTCTCAAAACAAATGATAATGAAAACACAACATACCAAAACCTGTGGGATACAATGAAAGCAGTACCAAGATGGAAATTTATAGCCCTAAGTGCCTACATCAAAAAAGAAAGAGAAGAACTTCAAATAAATAACCTAAAACCTAACGATGCATCTTAAAGAACGAGAAATGCTAATAATGAGAATATATAAGGAGCTCAAACAACTCTATGGAAAAAAATCTAATAATCCAATTAAAAGAAGGGCAAAATATCTGAACAGACTTTCTCAAAAGAAAACATACGAATAACACACAGGCATATGAAAAGGTGCTGAACATCATTGATCATCAGAGAAATGCAAATCAAAACTACAATGAGATATTATCTTGCCCCAGTTAAAATAGCTTTTATTCAAAAGACAGGCAATTAAAAATGCTAGCAAGGATATGGAGTAAAGGGAACCCTTGTACACTGTTGGTGGGAATGTAAATTAGTACAACCACAATGAAGAACTGTTTGGAGATTCTTCATAAAACTAAAAATAGAACTACCATACAATCCAGCAATCCTACTGCTGGGTATATACCCAAAAGAAAGAAAATCAGTATATCAAAGAGATATCTGTACTCCCATGTTTGTTGCAGAGCTGTTCACAACAGCCAAGATTTGGACGTAACCTAAGTGTCCATCAACAGATGAATGAATGAAGAAAAGGTGGCACTTATACACAATAGAGTATTATTCAGCCATTAAAAAATGAGATTCTATCATTTGCAACGATATGGATGGAGCTAAGGGTCATCATATTAAGTGAAACCAGGAACAGGAAGAAAAACATCACATGTTCTCACTTATTTGTGGGATCTAAAAATCAAAACAATTGAACTCATGGAGATAAAGAAGAGAAGGATGGTTCCCAGAAACTAGGAAGGGTAGTGGCGGGACAGGGGAGAGGTGGGTATATAGTTAATGGATATAAAAAAATAGAAAGAATGAATAAGACCTACTATTCAATAGCACAAGGGGATTATAGTCAACAATAATTTAATTATACATTTTAAAGTAACTAAAAGAATGCAATTGGATTGTTTGTAACACAAAGGATAAATGCTTGAGGGGATGGATACCCAATTTTCCATGATATTATTATTATACAGTGCATGCCTGTACTAAAATGTCTCATGTACCTCATATATATATATATACACCTACTATGTAACCACAAAAATTAAAGATTAAAAAAAAATAATTCCCCATTGCTCCCTACCCCCAGATCTTGATAATCTCTAATCTACTTTCTGTCTCTGAATTTACTTATTCTTGATTTTTCATATAAATGGCATCATACACATATGTCACTTTGTTTCTGGCTTATTTCACTTAGCATAATGTTTCCAAGGTCCATCTATGTTGCAGCATATGTCAGAGCTTCACTCCATTTTAAGGCTGATTGACATTCTGTTGTATGTATCACCATATTTGTTTATCCATTCATGTGTTGATGGACACTTGGGTTGTTTCTACACTTTACCTATTGTGAATAATGCTGCAGTGAACATTCCCATGCAAATATCTGTTTGAGTCCCTGTTTTCAATTCTTTGGACATATACCTAACAATGAAATTGCTATTTCATATGATAATTCTGTGATCAGCTTTTTAAGGAAAAGCCAAACCGTTTCCCACAGTGACTGTGCCATTTTATATTCCCACCAGCAATGTATGAGGATTCCAACTTCTCCACATATTGCCAACATTTCTTATTTAACATTTTAAATGAATTGTAGCAATTGTTATAGGTGTGATGTGGTGTCTTACTGTGGTTTTGATTTGCATTTCACTAGTGACTATTGATGCTAAGTGTCTTTTCATGTGCTTATTGACTATTTGTATATCATTTAGACAAATATCCATCTGAGTCCTTTGCCCATTTTTGTTGTTGTTGTTGAGATCGAGTCTCACTCTGTTGCCCAGGCTGGAGTGCAGTGGCACAATCTTGGCTCACTGCAAGCTCCGCCTCCTGGGTTCACCCCATTCTCTTGCCTCAGCCTCCCAAATAGCTGGGACTACAGGCGCCTGCCACCACGCCCGGCTAATTTTTTGTATTTTTAGTAGAGACAGGGTTTCACCGTGTAAGCCAGGATGGTCTTGAACTCCTGACCTCGTGATCTGCCCGCCTCAGCCTCCCAAAGTGCTGGGATTACAGGCGTGAGCCACCGCATCCAGCCCCTTTGCCCATTTTTAATCAGGTTTTTGGGTTTTTGTTATTATTGAGTTGTAGCAGTTCTTTATATTTTCTGGACATAAAACCTTATTCATATAATGGTCTGCAAATTTTTTCTCCCATTCGGTGGGTGATCTTTTCACTTTCTTGATAATGTCCTTTGATGCACAAAAGGCTTTCATCTTGATAAAGTCCAGTTTATTTTTCCTTTTGTTGTTCATGTTTTTGTGTCATATCTAAAAAGTCCATTGCCACATCTGAGGTGATAAAGACTTATCCTTATGTTTTCTTCTGAGAGTTTCTTATGATTTTAGCTCTTATACTTAACTCATTGATCTGTTTTAATTTTTGAATATGGTGAGAAATAGAGTTCCAAAATTTCATTTCTTTGCAGGTGGTTATCCAGTTGTCCCAGCATCATTATTTGAAAAGATTATTCTTCCTCCATTCAATTAACTTGGCACCTGTACTAGTCGGGGTCCTCAGAGAGACAGAGAAAACGGGATAAAGATATAGTTGTAGATATAGAAATAGATCTAAATATATGAGGGGATTTGTTAGAGGAATTGGCTTGTGTGAATACGGAGGCTGAGAAGTCCCATGATTAGCCAGTTACATGCTGGAAAACCAGGGAAGCTGGCAGCATGGCTCAGTTCTGACCAAAGAAGCCATGGTGTACCCTCAGTCCATGGCCAAAGGCCAAACAACCTGGAGTTCTAATGTCCAAAGACAAAAGGAAAAGGGTGTCCCAGCTCCAGGAGAGAGAAAGAGAGAATTCACCATCCCTCTGCCTTTGTGCTCTATCCAGGCCCTCAGCCAAGTGGATGGTGCCCACCCACAGTGAGTGAGGGCAGGTCTTCCTTACTGAGTTCACTGACTCCAATGCCAGTCTCTTCGGGAAACACCCTGACAGTCATACCCAGATACAAGGCTTTACCAGCTATGAGGGTGTCTCTTAATCCAGGCAAATTGACACCTAAAAAACCACAGCACCCTTGTCAAAGATCAACTGACTGTAAATGTGAGGGTTTACTTCCAGACTGTCAAATCTAATCCACTGGTGTAAGTGTATCTTTATGCCAGTTCCACACTCTTCAGATTACAGTAACTTTGTAGTAAATTTTCTTTTTTAAAAAATGTGCATAATCATAGGGTACAAGTCCAATTTTGCTATTCTGATATATTGCATTGTGGTAAAGTCAAGGCCTTCAGTGCATTCGTCACTGGAGCAAGGCACACTGTACCCACCATATAGTAAGTTTTCGGATAAGGAAATGTGAGTCCTGGCCAGGCGCGGTGGCTCACGCCTGTAATCCCAGAACTTTGGGAGGCTGAGGCAGGCAGATCACCTGAGGTCGGGAGTTCGAGATCAGCCTGACTAACATGAAGAAACCCCGTCTCTACTAAAAATACAAAAAATTAGCCGGGCATGTTGGTGCATGTCTGTAATTCCAGCTACTCGGGAGCTGAGGCAGGAGAACCGCTTGAACCCGGGAGGCGGAGGTTGCGGTGAGCTGAGATCGTGCCATTGCACTCCAGCCTGGGCAACAAGAGTGAAACTCCATCTCAAAAAAAAAAAGAAGAAAGAAAGAAATGTGAGTCCTCCAGTTTTCTTTTTCAAGACTGTTTCAGCTATTCTATCTGTCTTTATTTTTTGTTAATGTATTTCAATAGTTCTTAATGGGGACCATTCCCTGACCTGCTTCCAGGGAAATCTGGCAATCTGGAGACCTTTTTAGGAACTTGAACTAAGTAGAAAAAATATTTTTTTTTCTTTTTTTTAAGACAGAGTTTCGCTCTAGTCACCCAGGCTGGAATGCAATGGCGCAGTCTTGGTTCACTGCAACCTCCGCCTCCTGGGTTCAAGCGATTCTCCTGCCTCAGCCTCCAGAGTAGATGGGATTACAGGTGTCCACCACCACGCCCAGCTAATCTTTGTATTTTTAGTAGAGACGGGGTTTCACCATGTTGGCCAGGCTGGTCTTGAACTCCTGACCTCAGGTGATCCACCCACCTCAGCCTCCCAAAGTGCTGGGATTACAGGCATGAGCCACCGCGCCCAGTCAATATCCTCATTTTATTTGCTGAGTTGCTATGTTAAAGTGTGAGTTGCCTGCCATGAATGAATGAAGAGACACTTAAAGCACTTGCCTGCATGACGATGTGCACCACCTTCTCTCTCCCCCTGTCCTGTGCCCTCAGGCCCTCTTCACCCAGGCCCAGGTGGCCCCATCCAGTGGCCTCTACAAATGGATTCCTCCTCAAGCTGGCCCACAGACCTTCCTTCCAGCAAGTGACTCACCTGCAACCTCCTCCACACACCTGAGCCAGCGGTTCTCAGTTCTTCTCTGAGGTCCCCCAGGAAGGGTGATGATCTCATGTAGGTTCACTCGCATTAGGTGACACATTCTCACAAACAAACTGGTCTGTGCAGTAAAGCACACAGCCACAACTCCTGAGGATGTTTTGCCATTGCCAAGTGTTGTCATGAGATGAGAGGTAAGAAAACAACATTTCACATCATGATTTAGCTCTAAATGACTTTTTTAATTGTATTTTTTAATTGACACCTAATAATTGTACATATTTATGGGTCCATAGCGATGTGATACATATAAGGTACAGTGATAAGGTCAGGGTGATTAGCATATCCATCATCTCAAACATTTAGCATTTCTTTGTGTTAGGAACATTCAATATCCCCTTTCTAGCTACTTGGAACTATATATTATTGTTAACTATAGTCAGGCCGGTTGCAGTGGGTCACACCTATAATCTTAGCACTTTGGAAGGCCGAGACGGGAGGATTGCTTGAGCCCAGGAGCTCGAGACCAGCCTGACCAACATAATAAGATCAGTCTCTACAAAAAAATCAAAACACTTGGCTGGGCATGGTGGCTGTAATCCTAGAACTTTGGGAGGCCTAGGCGGAGGATCACTTGAGCTTAGGAGTTCAAGGCCAGCCTGGGCAACATAGTGATACCCTGTCTCTTTATTTAAAAAAAAATTGAAAAATAAAACAAAAAATTAGCCAGGCGTGGTGGCGTGCACCTATAGTTCCAGCTACATGGGAGACTGAGGCAGGAAGATCACCTGATCGCAGGAGGTTGAGGCTGCAGTGTACTCCAGACCCTGTCTCAAAAAAAAAAAAAAATCTGTAGTCATCCTACAGTGGTATAGAACATTAGAACTTATTCCTCCTCCTATCTAGCTGTATTTTTTTTTTTTTTTTTTTTTGAGACGGAGTCTCGCTCTGTCGCCCAGGCCGGACTGCGGACTGCAGTGGCGCAATCTCGGCTCACTGCAAGCTCCGCTTCCCAGGTTCACGCCATTCTCCTGCCTCAGCCTCCCGAGTAGCTGGGACTACAGGCGCCCGCCACCGCGCCCGGCTAATTTTTTGTATTTTTAGTAGAGACGGGGTTTCACCTTGTTAGCCAGGATGGTCTCGATCTCCTGACCTCATGATCCACCCGCCTCGGCCTCCCAAAGTGCTGGGATTACAGGCGTGAGCCACCGCGCCTGGCCTTATTTTTTTTTAAGATGGAGTCTCACTCTGTCGCCACACTGAAGTGCAATGGTGCAATCTTGGCTCATTGCAACCTCTGCCTCCCGGGTTCCAGTGATTCTCCTGCCTCAGCCTCCAAGTAGCTGGGACTACAGGTGCCCACGACCACACCTGGCTAATTTTTTGTATTTTTAGTAGAGACGGGGTTTCACCATGTTGGCCAGGATGGTCTCAATCTCTTGACCTCATGATCCACCCGCCTCGGCCTCCCAAAGTGCTGGGATTACAGGCATGAGCCACTGTGCCCGGCCTATCTAGCTGTAATTTTATATCCTTTAACACATCTTTCCCTGTCCCTCCCTTCCTCTACCCTTCCCAGCCTCTGGTATGCTCTGTTCTACTTTTTCCTTCCATGAGATCAACTGTTTTTAGGTTCCACATATTAGTAAGAACATGTGATGTTTAACTTTCTGTTCCTAGCCCACTTCCATTCATGTTGCCACATGTGACAGGATTTCATTCTCAAGCCCCCAAAGGCACCTCACTGGGCCTTTGTTTTTTTGTTTTGTTTTGTTTTTGCTTTTGTTTTTCAAACCTCTGGGACAGATGGCTCCTTCTAAGGCAGCCCATCCCCCTGGTGGACAGTTCTCTCCAATCTTGACAGAAGTCCTCTGGACAACTCACGTCCTCTCCCTGGGCTCATCCTGCACCGCATGGAGCTGGGCAGCCTGGGGACCCGCAGTGAACAGGACCTGGGGTGACTTGACCTTGAAGCCTGGAGGTCAGAGCCCACATCTGCCCAGGGGTCAGGGCCAGCTCACATCATGTAGACCCTGGTCAGCATCCCTGGGGCAGCCCTTGACAAGGCTGCAGGCCTTGTCTTGCCCTCCAGGGGGAGACATTGCACACAGACAACACTCAGGAAACATTCCCCTGGTCATGAACCTGGCTTTGCTAAGGAGGTGAAGGTAGAGCCCACTTTCCATCCCTTGCTCCAAAACACCCTTCCAGGCCCTCCCATGTACCTGCTCTGTCCCTTCCTGGGTCCTCTGAGGACCCTGTTCTGTGAGGGGTCCCTGTGCAGCTCCCCATTCCCTCCTGGCACCACCTGTGGGGAAGGTGCGGTGACCACAGGACAATCAGCCTCGCAGAGGACAGAGACCACCCAGGATGGTCAGGGAGAACATGGACAGGCCTTGAGCCTCAGCTCAAGGGAGGGAGGGTCCCCCTGAAGTCTTCCCCAAGGACAGTAGAGCCCAGAGCCACCCACCTCCCTCTATCACAGTCCTCTCTTCCCAGGACACACAGGACACCTCCCCCTCCATATCCGGGAGCTGCAGCTCCACCTGAGACCCCTGGACTTGGGTCTCTGTCCCTGGGTTAGAGGCCAGGCTGGTGACACTAGAGACAGAGGGCTGGTCCCTCCCCAGTCATCCCCCAGTGAGCCCCTTTCCATCCCCCAGAGCCACCTCTGTCACCTTCCTGCTGGGTGTCTTCCTACCTTCCCAGCACACTGAAGAGCATGGGGAGACCTGGCAGCTCACTGTGTTGCAAAGAAAATAATTACCACATTTGGATATGCCAGGGTTCTCTGTGTGCTGCTGACAGACCCATAGCCAGGACACAATAGAGGTCAGTGCTGGAGAGGGGGGATCCTCCTCCCCTGATGGGGACAGAGGTCTCATCAGCCTTGATTCTCAAAGTGTGGTCTGGGAAACCAAAATGTAGACAGAAAGGAAAGAGAAAGTAAGGACAAAGGTAGGAATGAGAGGAGAGGAAACAGAGCTTCCTGGACAAACCCCGCCCCAGCACACATGATCAGACAAAGCTCTGGGCCCCAGGGAGGAGGCTCAGCACAGAGAGTGGAAAACAGCAGAGGTGACAGAGCAGCCGTGCTCGAAGCGTTCCTGGAGCCCAAGCTCTCCTCCACAGGTGAAGACAGGGCCAGCAGGAGACACCATGGGGCACCTCTCAGCCCCACTTCACAGAGTGCGTGTACCCTGGCAGGGGCTTCTGCTCACAGGTGAGGGGAGGACACCCTGGGAAGGGGCGGAAAGAGGGCGCACAGAGAATGGCTAGGGTCCTCTGGGGAGGATGGAGCTCTAAGAGGGGACAGAGGGCTTCTCTTGGAGCCAAATAGGAGAGAGGACATGAAAGGGATAGAGATCATAAAAGGAAAGTCTCAGTGATCTGAAACTGTTAGTGAATAAACAATCTCCCATTTTTTACCTTTTCCAACTGAATCATCAATGAGCAATAAATTTCAAAAACTGCTGACAATAATCACAATTTAAGTCAGCGTGACAATTAAGGAAAACATTTTAAAAGGGGCATTAAACAGAGCCCTGAGCCACCAACCTCAGATATTGGCAAATAAACCCCAGGACATGAAGAGCCCTGGGAATGCTCACTAACTCATCCACAGGAGTCTGCAGCCTATCCCAGGCACTGGGGTGCAACCAACATCACACAAATCCCTGCCCTCACGGAGCTCACGCTCTCATGGGTGGGGAAGACAGACAAGCAAAGAGATCTAGAATGTGAGGTCAGGTGTTGACAAGAGCCCTGGAGGGAACAGAGCAGAAAAAGGTCAGAAAGGGAATACCCAGGGTCTCTAGGGGAGGTGTCAGGGAAAGGATCTCCCAAGAGCACCCTGATGTGATCAAGATCTGAGGGCAGTGGGGAGGGAGCCATGCGGATCCCTGGGGAAGGGCATTCCAGAGAAATGACAAGGTCAGAGGCACTAAGGGAATGGGAGTCACACTGCTGACCTTGACCCAGTAGGACACACACACACACACACACACACACACACACACACACACACACTCCAAGGTGGAGGGGTGAAGACACCTGCTCAGGACCCAAGGCCCCATTTTTCTACCCTAATGCATAGGTCCCAATATTGACTGATGCTCTCTCCTCTCTCCTAGCCTCACTTCTAACCTTCTGGAACCCGCCCACCACTGCCCAGCTCACTACTGAATCCATGCCATTCAATGTTGCAGAGGGGAAGGAGGTTCTTCTCCTTGTCCACAATCTGCCCCAGCAACTTTTTGGCTACAGCTGGTACAAAGGGGAAAGAGTGGATGGCAACCGTCAAATTGTAGGATATGCAATAGGAACTCAACAAGCTACCCCAGGGCCCGCAAACAGCGGTCGAGAGACAATATACCCCAATGCATCCCTGCTGATCCAGAACGTCACCCAGAATGACACAGGATTCTACACCCTACAAGTCATAAAGTCAGATCTTGTGAATGAAGAAGCAACTGGACAGTTCCATGTATACCGTGAGTATTTCCCCATGACCTCTGGGTGTTGGGGGGTTAGTTCTACTTCCCACACATGGGATTGTCAGGCCTGGGCTGTGCCTGTGTCCTCCTCTGCATTATACCCCATGTTAAGGTTTGAGCATCTAGTGCAGGACACACTATGGGACAGACATCAAAATACCGAATGTCTTACTCTGGAGTCCTGATCCTGCAGACATTTGCTTCAGAGGAAGGACAATCTGATGTGGGTAACTTATCGAGGGGAGACCAGTCTCAATCTAGCCCCCCGGGACCCTCCTGGTGAACATGTCCCTAAGAAAGACCCAGTAGGACTCAGTCAGGGTCTGGCCTGAAGGGCCTTCTGGGATCCTCACAGACAAGCTCAGCCCTGGGAATCCCCTGCTCCAAAACACTATCCCAAGGTTCTCAACTCCTGGTGACCCTGAGGAGCCTGGGCCAGGGCTAGATTGTGGCCTCCTGGGCAGGGCTGACTAGGAACAAGAATTTGAGCTATCCGAGGGCTGTGGCTCCTGGAGCTGGTAACCAGCCAGGGTTCAGGCACTAGAGCCTCATTTGGGCAAGGATGGAGCCTCATCCTTCACCTTAGTCTCAGCCTGGAGAGGACAGATGGACAAGCTCCCCAGGCCATCAGCCAACTGCCCTGGGGGCTTAGGAGATGCCATAGGAAGTTTACCATCCCCAGGAGGAGGAACAGAGGAGACAGGATGCTCCTGAAAGCTCCTTGTCCACCAGGGATCAGGCTGAGAGGCACTCTCAGGGAATCCAACAACAATAGATGCTGCGGCCGGGAGCGGTGGCTCACGCCTGTAATCCCAGTACTTTGGGAGGCCGAGGTGGATGGACTATGAGGTCAGGAGTTCAAGACCAGCCTGACCAACATGGTGAAATGCCGTCTCTACTAAAAATACAAAAAAATTAGCCGGGCATGGTGGTGCGTGCCTGTAATCCCAGCTACTCAGGAGGCTGAGGCAGGAGAATTGCTTGAACCTGGGAGGCAGAGGTTGCAGTGAGCCAAGATCACACCACTGCACCCTAGCCTGGGTGACAGAGCGAGACTCCATCTCAAAAAAATAAAATAAAATAAGATTGTTTATTTGGGCAGCTCCCCTATGCAGAGCTGAGGTCAAATAATTATAAATATTTTAAGGTTAATTCACAGACCACAAGATAAGCCAAAACCATTAACCATTTATACTATTTCACTGAGGGGAAACTGAGCCACATGGCAATAAATACAGTCACTATATCAAGGTCACACAGACCGTAACTGGAAGATCAGTTACAGGAGATTTGTCTTCAGCCACAGTCTTAACCTCTCCTCTACTCCAGGGGCCTTATTTGGCATCTGTGGACCCCAATACCAGAGTTGGTTCAGTTCCTTTCTTCTTAGGCATCTGCAGCCCAGAGGGGAGATCCTGGTCTGGGGAGTGAGATCAAATGGAGAATTAACCAAGTTTTATTCTGGAACTTATTCAACAATTAGAGTCAGTGTCAGAAATGTTCAGGCCTGGGTCAGGTGTGGTGGCTCACACCTGTAATCCCAGCACTTTGGGATGCCAAGGTGGGCGGATCACTTGAGGTCAGGAGTTCAAGACCAGCCTGGCCAACATGGTGAAACCCCATCTCTACTAAAAATACAAAAAAAATTAGTCGGGCATGGTGGTGCGTGCCTCTAATCCCAGCTACTTGGGATGCTGAGGTGGTAGAATCGCTTGAACCCAGGAGGCAGAGGTTGCAGTGAGCCAAGATCATGTCACTGTGCTCCAGCCTGGGAGACAGAGTGAGACTCTATCTCAAAAAAAAAAAAAAAAAATGTTCAGGCCTATCCCCTCAGACCCACACCTCTGCTCCCTGGACTTGAAATCCTGTGTTTCCTGATGTGTTGGTGTCACTCCCACAGGAGGATAAAGGAAAGGACTTTGCTTTCTCTCCTCACTCACACCCTGCACCAGCCAGGGCCCAATATGAAACACACACTCAGTAGTTCTCTCACGAATGAATGAATGATTGAATGATCCATAACCTCTTTAGAGACTGGATCTGGTTGCAGAATCCTGGGAGGTTCTTGCCATACCTGCTCCCCATCCCTCCAGAGACTGAGACCCATGTTCCATCCCCTGACCATCTACCCCTAAAGCCACCCCAAGTACCATATTTCATGTGACTCTGGGGCTGCTCGGCTGTGGGAAGGTTTTCAGGGCTCCCTGGTCTTGGTTCTGGGACACCAGAGGCTCCTGGTTGCTGGGGTCTCTAAGGTCACTTAGCCCCCACTGCTCACTGTCATGGGCATCTCTGACTCTCTCTGCTCCTCCATGTCCTCATTTTCCTCTCCTTTTATCCCAGCTGAACTGCACAGTTTCCTCCACCCTTAGGCCTTTCCCAGACACTCCGTCTAACAAGGTTGACTGTCCTGTTCCCTTCCCGCTCACACTGTGGCCAGGCCCACCTCCCAGGCAATAGGAAAGGCACAGAAATGAGCCCAGAGCAGCCACCCCTGCCAGGTCCATCATAAGCCACTGTCCCCACGTCCCTCAGTGAGGCTGACATGTGGAACAGGCCAGGGGACAGGGACGAGCGACTCCTCCATACACTCTCTATACTGACTCACCAGGGGATCAGAGGCAGAAGGACAGGTCTGCAGTCCCCAAAGCCCATGGGCTCATTTCACCCATTTGACTCCTAACTCCATCCCTGTTCTGCTGTGGGCTCACATCCTCTAGTGGTTCCTGGGACCTTCCCCAGGTAGAGCTAGCCAGGCAGGTGCTGTCTGATGGGTTTGCTGCCCATTCCACCTACACCTGTGTCCTCATGATGACACCATTGTCATAAGGTGGGATCTCTCAGACAGGGAGATGCATTAGCCACTGGTGTCTCACTTAGACTCTGCCCAATTTGGATGAATTTGGTCAAACTCTAGTTGTGTTTCCTGAGGTTGAGAGAAAAGGAAGAAAGCATTTCACATGACTGTTTTGGGTTCCTCTTTTTACCTGAATTTCCACAGGAATTTGTAACATAGAACTCTTTCTAAATTTACTAACATAACATACATCACTTCTCCTCATATGGCATCGTTTCTCTCTTAATGCAATTGAGAACTCTCAGATATCCTTTCTGACAAGTTCTGTCTTCCTAACAGGACCCATGAGTCCCTTCTACCCAGGGAGTCACTGATTTCAAACTGACTTCAGCATCTTTCTTTGATCATAACATGATCCTACTGGACTTCAGAGCTTGGTTTAAGAGTTTATCACGCTCTCTAGAGAATATTCCTCTTATTAATTGGTGTTAGATCCAGAGTATTAATAACAATTTTCACAAATGGAATAATTTAACTTCTCAAATTTATATCCCAGATCTACCAAACACACACGGTCCATGAGGGTCAGGCTTTCAGCAAGTTCATGCTCCTTCCGTTCCACTAGCTGGTTATTCTGCATTTGCAAAAAACCCACATATTTCAGAAAAGATCCACAGTGTCATCATCTGCTCTTTTCAGGGGGAAAAGGGACATTAAAGACCAAAGACAAGGAACGTAGATATGCTGTTAAATCCAGGCAGCCCCTGCCTGTCACCCTCACTCTTTTCTAGATCATTCCTTGGACTCTGCTCTATCTTTAGGGGGTCACTGGCTCAAGTCAGTCATCATCAAACACCTGGGAAAAACTGCCCCACCTTGTGGTTCTGCTGCCTGACGACTGAGCTACCTTCAGGCTTGCCCCTGGTGTCCCCTGTTATTTCTGCTGAAACATACAGTCCCAGGCCAGGCTGCTCAGTATCCTCAGGGTTTAAGGACAATAGGAAGTCCCATCATCACCCATCTCTAGGATGTCCTCAGACAGGGAAGCTGCAGAGAAAACACACCTAGTGGGGCAAAGTAGGACTGTGAAGCTGGAAGGGACCCAGCACCTGTATGTTCCAGGTGAGGACCCACAGGTGGGTCAGGCAGGCATCAGCCAGTCAGGGAAGGACCAGAAGTGCCTGGGGCTGTGACTCCCAGTCCTCGGTCTGTCCACGACCCAACACTGCTGCTCAGTTCACACTTGAGAAAGTCTGTGCTTCTCTCACACAGAGCAGGCGGCCTCACGGTCTCTGAGCCCTCAGATCATTGCACATCTGTCTTGTGAAACACACACTTGCCATGGGCTTTTAGGGACTTGGGTTGGCTGAGAGGTGGGGAGATGCCAACTCTGATTGAAAAATGCCCGGACGGAATCCCAGCACTTTGGGAGGCCGAGGCGGGCAGATCACGAGGTCAGGAGGTCGAGACCATCCTGGCTAACAGTGACCATCCTGGCTAAAATACAAAAAACTAGCCGGGCATGGTGGCATGCACCTGTAGTCCCAGCTACTCAGGAGGCTGAGGCAGGAGAATCGCTTGAACCCGGGAGGAAGAGGTTGCAGTGAGCCAAGATCGTGCCACTGCACCCCAGCCTCAGCAACAAAGCGAGACTCTGTCTCAAAAAAAAAAAGAAAGAAAGAAAAATGCCCAGCCAGGCACGGTGGCTCAGGCCTGTAATCCCAGCACTTTGAGAGGCCGAATCGGGCGGATTGCCAGAGCTCAGGAGTTTGAGACCAGCCTGGGCAACACGGTGAAACCCCGTCAGGCATGGTGGCATGTGCCTGTAATCCCAGCTACTCAGGAAGCTGAGGCAGGAGAATTGCTTGAATCCAGGAGGTGGAGGTTGCAGTGAGCCGAGATCGTGCCATTGCACTCCAGCCTGGGTGACAGAGCGAGGCTCCATCTCCAAAAAAAATAAATAAATAAGAAAAGAAAAATGCCTGTGGAGGAATCAAAGGTGCCACACAGGGCAATCTTCTCTCTGTTTTCTGCATAGCGGAGCTGCCCAAGCCCTCCATCTCCAGCAACAACTCCAACCCTGTGGAGGACAAGGATGCTGTGGCCTTCACCTGTGAACCTGAGACTCAGGACACAACCTACCTGTGGTGGATAAACAATCAGAGCCTCCCGGTCAGTCCCAGGCTGCAGCTGTCCAATGGCAACAGGACCCTCACTCTACTCAGTGTCACAAGGAATGACACAGGACCCTATGAGTGTGAAATACAGAACCCAGTGAGTGCGAACCGCAGTGACCCAGTCACCTTGAATGTCACCTGTGAGTATCTTCTGTTCCTCTGTGGCCCAGGCTGCCAGCCCAAATCCACGCAGCCAGAGGCCAGGCCTCTCAGTCCCTCTCAGGTCTAAGGACGCAGACCCTTAACCCTGGACACCCAGGCTGGCCATGACTTCCTTTCCCCAGGCAAACCTGGGCAGCCCCAGCCTGAACCAAGAATAGGAGGGGAGAGGCTGCTCCTGTCCTGGGAGGCTCAGGGTCCACAGCCTGTGATGGGAGAAACAGGTGAATGTCTCAGACCCAGACTCAGTGGACACAATGGAGGTTTGGTTAGGACTTCAGGGTTGTGACTTAGTAGAGAGGAACACTGTGGCCCTTCTCCAGACCAGCAGCTTCCCCTTCCCTCTGATGACATCACCTGTGGCTTTATTCTCTTTGCTCCAGATGGCCCGGACACCCCCACCATTTCCCCTTCAGACACCTATTACCGTCCAGGGGCAAACCTCAGCCTCTCCTGCTATGCAGCCTCTAACCCACCTGCACAGTACTCCTGGCTTATCAATGGAACATTCCAGCAAAGCACACAAGAGCTCTTTATCCCTAACATCACTGTGAATAATAGTGGATCCTATACCTGCCACGCCAATAACTCAGTCACTGGCTGCAACAGGACCACAGTCAAGACGATCATAGTCACTGGTAAGTAATTCCTGGAGCATCAACACTAAGATCTGGGGTACAAGCTTTCTGGTTTTCAAATAGGAGCAGAGAAGAAATTTTCTTTTGCAGCCTGTATCCAACAGGCACAAACAAGTCCAAATTCTCCCCTGAACCCTCTCAATTCATCTGTGCAGACTCTCTTCCCTTTGTTTTTCTGATTTCTCACAGCTGACCTTAGGTCCAGCCTGGAATGTGGGGAGGGGGTTCTCTCAGCCCCAGAAAGCCCCGTGTAGCAGGAGGGGCTTCACAGAGGGGGAAGCAGAAAGGGTCCTCAAGGTCAATTTGCTTCTGTCACTAACATGTCCCTTTCTGTAACTTCTTGGCCTTCTTTTACCTATTCCATGAGATATAAGGAATATGTGAGGTTTTAAAACAGACTCACAATAGTTTTCCCTAAATGAGAGAAGGAAATGCCCTTCATCAGGGATGAGCAGCTCAGACTCTGCTCCCTGCTCTACTCCCGGCTTGCCCGGTGATTGGCTCTGCCCTGACCCCATGTGGGGTAGGACGCAGGTGTGTGCAGAAGGTGTCCAGGTGGCCTGTCATGAATCCAGCTAAATCAAGATGGCAGTCAATGGCTGGGCGCTGTGGTTCATGCCTGTGATCCCAGTACTTTGGAAGGCCGAGGTGAGAGGATCACCTGAGGTCAGGAGTTCGAGACCAGCCTGACCAACATGGCAAAACTCCATCTCTACTAAAAATACAAAAAAAAAAATTTAGCCAGGCATGGTTGCACATGCCACTAGGCATGCCACTAGGGAGGCTGAGGCACAAGAATCACTTGAACCTGGGAGGCAGAGGTTGCAATGAGCCGAGATGGCACCACTGCACTCCAGCCTGGACAACACAGAGAGACTCTGTCTCAAAAACTAAATAAATAAATAAATAAAGGCAGTCAACACCTGAGCCTCCCCTGGGTCAGGCTGCCTCCCTGAGCTTGTCCTGGCTCTGAAGTCACCAGCTGTATGAGGCTGTGGGCACAGCACATGGGATAGCACAGAGCACAGCGAGTGACCCACACTTGGAGAAATCGGGAGATTCAGCCACAGGGGCTCTGCATTGGAGAGAATGGGCAATGCCAAACAGCGTGTATTTGTAGAGAAGGTAAGAATATCAGCCTTTTGTTAACACTGTGCCTACTCTAGGAATCTCCTTCACCGTGATATTCTATCCACAGACCAGGAAGTAAAACTCCTCTTTACAGTGGGAAATCCTTCGGATTGGAACTCCAGATAGTAAGGTCATGAAGACTGGATGGGGCATCATCATTCCCTAAAAAATTATTTAATGAAAAAAAACACTACCTTCCCTTTTGTATGTAAAGTGACAGTCACAGGAAGGATGCCTGATCACAGCTCCAGGAAAGGGTCAGTGGGAGGCCAGGCACAGTGGCTCACGCCTGTAATCCCAGCACTTTGGGAGGCTGAGGCGGGTGGATCATGAGGTCAGGAGATCAAGACCATCCTGGCTAACATGGTGAAACCCCGTCTCTACTAAAAATACAAAAAATTAGCTGGGCATGGTGGCACATGCCTTTAGTCCCAGCTACTCGGGAGGCTGAGGCAGGAGAATGGCTTGAACCCGGGAGGCAGAGCTTGCAGTGAGCTGAGATCATGCCACTGCATTCCGGCCTGGGTGACAGAGCGAGACTCCGTCTGAAAAAAAAAAAAAAAAAGTCAGTGGGAAAAACATTCTACCTGATGATGAGGTTGCTCGGTCTGTGCGCTGAGAAGAAGATTCCAAGTGGAGATATAGAGATATCCAGAGGGTCACTCTGAGACGATCTGGGGTCAGGAGGGAGGTGCAGCCCTCTCCTTACAATTCATCACCTGAACAAAGACACTCGACCTTCTGCAGAGGGTCAGGGCTATCCCCTGGTTGGTGACCTTTGCACAGCTCACTGTGGGACCTGAGAGCTGGCTAAAATCTCAGGGAAAGGAGCATAGCCCTAGGCCCCAGGCCCCAACCCTATTCTCAGTAGGTTATCTCAGATACTCTGCTTGTCCACAGAGCTAAGTCCAGTAGTAGCAAAGCCCCAAATCAAAGCCAGCAAGACCACAGTCACAGGAGATAAGGACTCTGTGAACCTGACCTGCTCCACAAATGACACTGGAATCTCCATCCGTTGGTTCTTCAAAAACCAGAGTCTCCCGTCCTCGGAGAGGATGAAGCTGTCCCAGGGCAACACCACCCTCAGCATAAACCCTGTCAAGAGGGAGGATGCTGGGACGTATTGGTGTGAGGTCTTCAACCCAATCAGTAAGAACCAAAGCGACCCCATCATGCTGAACGTAAACTGTAAGTGACTCCTCACCCCTTCCTATATGTCCCTCTAGGATTACTCTGTCAATGGTGTGCAAAATGGATAAAACTCACAGGAGGCAGAATATCAATGAAGAGACCATTATAGCAAACAGAATTGCAAAGTGGTTAAGAGCTCAGCTCAGGCCGGGCACAGTGGCTCACGCCTGTAATCCCAGCAGTTTGGGAGGCCAAGGCGGGCGGATCACGAGGGCAGGAGATCGAGACCATCCTGGCTAATATGGTGAAACCCCGTGTCTACTAAAAATACAAAAAAAAATTAGCCGGGCATGGTGGCGGGCGCCTGTAGTCCCAGCTACTCGGGAGGCTGAGGCGGGAGAATGGCGTGAACCTGGGAGGCGGAGCTTTCAGTGAGCCGAGATGGTGCCACTGCACTCCAGTCTAGGCAACAGAGCAAGACTCTGTCTCAAAAAAAAAAAAAAAAAAAGAGCTCAGGCTCTGAATCAAATATACATATACTTAGTTGGTTTTTTTTGGTTGGTTGGGTTTTTTTGTTTGTTTTGTTGTTTTGAGACAGGGTCTCACTCTGTCACCCAGGCTGGAGTGCTGTGGTGTGATCAAAGCTCACTCCCGCCTCAATCCCCTGGGTTCAAGCAATCCTGCCACCTCAGCCTCCAGAGTAGCTGGGACTACAGGTTGCACCACCATGCCTGGCTAAGTTTTTAAGTTTTTTTGTAGAGTTGGGGTTTCACTGTGTTGCCCAGGCTGGTCTCAATCTCCTGGTCTCAGCCTCGGCCTCCCAAAGTGCTGGGATTACAGGAATGAGCCACTCTGCCCACCCCGTATTTAACTATTCTAAGTACCTCTCATACAGATGGAAGCATGCAATATTTGTCCTTTTGTGTCTGGCTTACTTCATTTAGCACAATGTCTTCAAGCTCCATCTATGTTGTAGAATGTATCAGAATTTCATTCCTTTTGGAGACTGAATAATATTATGCTGTGTAGATAGATACATCACATTTTGCTTATCCACTCATCCATCTATGGACAGTTAGGTTGCTTCCACCTTTTGGCTATTATGAATAATGCTATTACAAACATGGGTATACAAATATCTGTTCAAATCCCTGCTTTCAGTTCTTTTAAATAGATACTCAGAAGTGGAATTGCTGGATCAAATGGTAATCCTGTTTAATTTTGAAGAACCATCATACCATTTTCCACAGTGGCTATACCATTTCACATTCCCACCAGCAATGCACTAGAGTTCCAATTTCTCTACATCTTCAAAAACATTTGTTGCTTTCTGGTTTTGTTTTGTTTTTTATAATGGCCATCCTAATGGTTATAAGGTGGTATATCATTGGAGTTTTGATTTGCACTTCCCTAATGATTAGCAATATTTAGCATCTTTTCATGTGCTTATTTGCCATTTATCTTCTTTGGAGAAATGTTTATTCAAGTCCTTTGCCCATGTTTTAATTAGGTTGTTTGGGGATTTTTGGTTGAGTTGCAGTAGTTCTTTATATATTTTGGATATTAATCCCTTATCAGATATATGATTCTCAAATATTTTCTCCCATTCTATAAGAAGTCTTTTCACTTTTGTGATAATGTGCTTTGATACACAAAAGCTTTTAATTTTCATTAAGTCCAATTTCTCTACTTCTTCTTTCGTTGCCTATGCTTTTAGTGTCATAGCCAAGAAATCATTGCCAAATTCAATGTTCCAAAGTTTTCACTCTATCTTCCAAGAGCTTTATAGTTTTAGCTCTTACATTTAGGTCTTTTATGCATTTTGAATTAATTTTTATATATGGTGTTACATAAAGGTTCAATTTCATTCTTTTGCATGGATATCCAGTTTCTTCAATGCCATTTGTTGAAAAGACTATCCTTTCCCCACTGAATGATCTTGGCACCCTTGTCAAAAAACATTTGGCTATGTATGCAAACATTTCTTTCTGGGCTCTATATTTTATTCCACTGGTTTCTATTTCTTTTTGCCAGTACCATACTGTTTTGATTACTGTAGCTTTTGGATTTTGTTTGTTTGTTTTATTGTTGTTGTTTGGGTTTTTTTGTTTTGTTTTGTTTTTTTGCTTTTCTTTGTAGAGATGGCGTTTCACCATGTTGCCAAGGCTGGTCTCAAACTCCTGAGCTCAAGCAATCCACCCGCCTCCACCTCCCAAAGTGCTAAGATTACAGGTGTGATGATTACCATAGCTTTGTAAAAAATTTTGAAACCAGGAAGTGTGAGCCCTTCAACTTTGTTCTTTTTCAAGATTGCTTTGGCTATCCATGGTCCCTTCAGAGTCTATATAAATTTTAGAATGAATTTTTCTATTTCTGCAAAAAATATTACTGGAATTTTGATAGAGATTGCACTGAATCTGTAGATCACTTTGGGTAGTACTGTCATCTTAACAATATTAAGTCTTCTAATCCATGAAAATGGGGTGTCTTTTCAATTTATGTCTTATTTAATTTCTTTTGGCAATGTTTTGTATTTTCAGGGTACAAATCTTTCACCTCTTTGGTTAAGTTTATTTCTAAGTATTTTTAAAGCTCTTATAAATAGAATTTTTTTCTTAATTTTCCTTTGAATTGTTATTAGTATACAAAAATACAACTGATTTTTGCATGTGGATTTTGTATCCTGCCACTTTGCTAAATTTATTATTCTAACAGTTTTTTTGTGGAATCTCTAGGGTTTTCTATATATAAGTTAGTGTATTCTGCAAACAGGTATAATTTTACTTCTTTCCAATCTAGATGCTTTTTTTTTCTTGCCTAATTGTTCTGTCTAGGTCTTCCAATACTACATTGAATAGAAATGGCAAAAGCAGGCATCCTTGTCTTGTTCTTGATCTTAAAGGAAAAGTTTTCAATCTTTCACCATTGACTATGATGGTAGCTGGGGGTTTTCACATGTAGCATTTATTATGTTGAGAATTTCCTTCTATTCCTAGTTTCAGTGTTTTTTAGCATGAAAGAATGTTGAATTTTGTCAAATGCTTTTATCGACTCATTTTCATTACTGGTTATAGGTCTATTCAGATTTTCTATTTATTCATGATTCTATCATGGCAGGTTTTGTGTTTCTAGGAATTTGTTCATTTCATCCAGGTTATCCAATTTGTTGGCATTCAATTACTCATAGTACTCTTATAATCCTTATTATTTCTGCAGAATTAGTAGTAATGTTTTACTTTCATTTCTGACTTTAGTAATTTGAATCTTCTTTCTTTCTTAGTCAATCTAATTAACAGTTGTCAATTATAGTGATCTTTTTTGAAGAACAACTTTTTTTTTTCGGTTTGAGACAGGTTCTCACTCTGTCACCGAGGCTGATCATGGCTCACCACAGCCTCAACTTCCCGGGTTCAAGCAATCCTCCTGCTTCAGCCTCCTGGGTAGCTGAAACTACAGACAAGCACTACCACCTCCGGCTAATTTTTGTAATTTTTTGTAGAGACAGGGTTTCACCATCTTGCCCAGCTGGTCTCAAATTCCTGAGCTCAAGTGATACACCTGCCTCAGCCTCCCAAATTGCTGGGATTACAGTCATACACCACTGTACCTGGCCTACAGTTATAAATTTCTTTCTTGCACAAGATTCTTAACTACTCTGAGCCTCGGATTCCTCAACCGAAAATTGCACTGTGAATGCCTGCTCCATAGTATTGCACGGGTTTGGGGTTTTTGTTTTGTTTTTGAGACAGGGTGTCACTCTGTCACCCAGACTGGAGTGCAGTGGTGCAAACACAGCTCACTGCAGCCTCAACCTCCTGGGCTCAAGCAATTCCCTCACCTTAGCCTCCTAAGTAGTACATACTACCACATCTGGCTAATTTATTTTTATTTTTGTTTTCAGAGAGACAGAATCTCACCATGTTACCCAGGCTGGACTCGAACTCCTGGGCTCAAGCAATCCTCCCATCTGTTTCCCAAAGTGCTGAGATTACAGGTGTGAGCCACCACGCCTGGCCCCATAGTGTTATTTTAAAGATTTAATGTAATAATAAACCTTCAGCAAAACACCACACACAGAGGAAATGTTTCATAAATGTTAGCTGCTATTACTACTACTATTATCATTAGCCTTGAAATCAGGTAGTCCTAGGGTCAAATCTCAGATCCACCTCTCACTAGCCATCTGACTTTAGGTAAGCCTTTTACCACTCTAAGCTTCCATTTTTTCATGTTTAAAATGGAAATAATGTCTACCTGACAGCACTATTTTATGGATCAAATAAGATACATGTAAAGCATTTAGCAGCACAGGGCCTGGCACACAGGAAGTACTCCACAAAAGTAGCTAACATAGCATTAGTCACCAGCCTGAGTTGACTGGTGAGGGTTAAGCCCCAAATAGTTGCAACAGATATAAACAAGAAATAGGCTAGACACAGTGGCTCACACCTGTAATCCCAACATTTGGGAGGCCGAGGCTGGAGGATCTCTTGAGCCCAGGAATCCAAGACCAGCCTAGGCAATATAGTGGAACCCTATCTCTACAAAAATTATTTTTTTTTAATTAGCCAGGTGGGTGGGCGTGGTGGCTCACGCCTGTAATCCCAACACTTTGGGAGGTTGAGGCAGGCGGGTCACCTGAGGTCGGGAGTTCAAGACCAGCCTGACCAGGATGGAGAAACCCCGTCTCTACTAAAAATACAAAATTAGCCAGGCGTGGTGGCGCATGCCTGTAATCCCAGCAATTCAGGAGGCTGAGGTAGGAGAATCGCTTGAACCTGGGAGGCAGAGGTTGCAGTGAGCCGAGATCACGCCATTGCACTCTAGCCTAGGCAACAAGAGCAAAACTCGGTCTCAAAAAAAAAAAAAAGAAAGAAAAAAATTAGCCAGGTGTGGTGGCATGTGCTTATAGTCTCAGCTACTGAGGAGACTGAGGTGGGAGGATCACTTGATCCCAAGAGGCTACAATGAGCCATGATTGTGCCACTGCACTCCAGCCTGGGTGATAGAGTGAGAACCTGCCTCAAAAAAAAAAAAAAAAAAAAAGAAGAAGAAGAAATAGATGCAAAAGGTATTATTTATATATTATATATATATATATATATATATATGGAGGGAGAAGCATTATACAAGAAACCCACTGGGACATGGCTATGATCAAATATGGGAAAGGGGGAAAAAAGGAGGTAAAGCAAAGTCTCAAGCCTGGTATGTTAGTTTCCATCTACTGAGATACAGTGAAGATGGGATTAAACATACGAGATAATTTATTGGGGAAAATGCCTGTGAGGGAAAGTAAGGCGAGAGTGAGAGGAACCTCAGACCATGATGCAGATCTGATTCCTGTGGAAGAGAAAGAGAGGAAGGAAGTTTTAGATTGAAGTGCAGTTTTTGTTTGTTTGTTTTTTGAGACAGAGTCTCACTCTGTTGCCCAGGCTTGAGTGCAGTAGTGTGATCTCGGCTCACTGAAACCTCTGCCCCCCGGGTTCAAGCGATTCTCCTGCCTCAGCCTCTCAAGTAGCTGGGATTATAGGCACCTGCCACCGCACCCAGCTAAATTTTGTATTTTTAGTAGAGATAGGGTTTCACCATCTTGGCCAGGCTGGTCTTGAACTCCTGACCTCGTGATCCACCCGCCTCAGCCTCCCAAAGTTCTGGGATTACAGGCGTCAGCCACCGCGCCCGGCCTGCAGTGCAGTTCTAAGAGCATTTCTGCAAGGCTGACAGGGAGTCCTCCAGCCATTCACACTTCAGAATAAAACAGTCACACAAAACTGGGCTAGCTTTCATACCCCTGCTGGGAGCCTGTGGGAAGCCAGTTCTCTATGCAAAAGAGGTGGTGAATTCAGAATGCACCAACTGCCACAACTGAGACACTGAGAAAAAGATGCAACCACGAAAAAGGTGGAAAGTTCTAATCACATACAAAATAGCAATCAGCCTTTCTCATATTTCAAAGCCTTAAAAATGGCTGAGCGCAGAAAAGCCAGGGTGGAATTGGCAGAAGAGAGATCATCAACCTAGAAACATGGTGACTGGGGTTGGGCGCAGTGGCTCACGCCTATAATCCAAGCACTTTGGGAGGCCGAGGCAGGCGGATCATGAGGTCAGGAGTTCAAGACCAGTCTGACCAATATGGTGAAACCCCGTCTCTACTAAAAAAATACAGAAATTAGCCAGGTGTGGTGGCACGTGCCTGTAGTCCAGCCTGAGGCAGGAGAATCGCTTGAACCTGGGAGGCGGAGGTTGCAGTGAGCCAAGATCATGCTACTGCACTCCAGCCTGAGAGACAGAGCAAGACTCTGTCTCAAAAAAAAAAAAGAAAAGAAAAAAAGAAACATGGTGATTGAAAAAAAAAAATTGCAAGGATATAGTTAGCTAATCACCTTCCAGCAACCTTCCCACAACGAAACTGTATTCCTTGAAGGAACAATTAGAAACTACTTCATTCTGAGAGTTGTTTCCCAGCCCCCATTGTAAAATAATTTCACTTTCATTTCTTCTCCTCTTTTCTCTCCATGACAGATAATGCTCTACCACAAGAAAATGGCCTCTCACCTGGGGCCATTGCTGGCATTGTGATTGGAGTAGTGGCCCTGGTTGCTCTGATAGCAGTAGCCCTGGCATGTTTTCTGCATTTCGGGAAGACCGGCAGGTATGATGGCCTTTCCTCTTGTTCTGTTTCCTCCAAGGCTGACTGCCATGCTTGGGAGAGGGAAAGAATTCTTTGCCTGTCTCTGGGCCTGGATCTCATACTCCTCCCACTAAACTCCTGCTTCTCGGCACTAATTCCCACAGGTTTCCTCTTCCCTGGTCTTCGTGCTCCCTGTCTCCCATTATCTCTTGGACATGGGTATTCCAATCCCCATCTAATCTAGAGGAAGAGACTCAAGTATGTTCCTCTGTCCCCTAGTCAGGGAAAGCAAGGTCTAAGAAGGAAAACAAATGAAAAAATGAAAGAAGCAGCAGGAGAAAGCAAGTCATGTGCTCTGTTGACCACATTGGAAGAGGAGGGAGAAATAGCATAGGAAGAGAACCTAAGAGAAAGCAAAAACAACCAAAGTCCTCTTGAACAATAAATAGAGAAAAAAAAAAAAGTATCTACCCCGGAAAACAAAATGGGAAAGGTTTTAAGGATAGAAGTAGGCACAGAAGCAGCTGATAAAGAATGAAATGAAATGTGAACATCCAGCAAACAGGAAAAGAGTAAACACTAGAAGGGATTGTAGTTAGACTGAAGAACGAGGCCCTCAGAAGAAAGGCAGTATGAACATCAAGGACTCTAAGGAATTACCTGCTCACAGTGTCCTTCCTAACTTACGGAACAAAGATCCTGTGCTTGGGAATAGCAGTCACAGTTTCTGATATTTATTTAGGGCAAGCGACCAGCGTGATCTCACAGAGCACAAACCCTCAGTCTCCAACCACAGTAAGTAAAGCCACTTACCCCAGTGAGAACTGGTATGTTCCACCACGTGCCCTCCCCTGGCAGGGAATCCTGGATTCCCAAACCACTCCCTCCCTTCTGAATTTTCACAGAAAGGATCTCTATTTCCCAACCCTAAGGTGGCATAGGTCTTCCCACCCTTCCTAGCCACAGGAGTCCCCTGAGACACATCTGAGGAGAGAGGCTCACTCTGCCTAGGCCAGGCAGGCCTGAGGAAGATCCCATGTTTCCAGGAGCCATTTCCTCAGCCTTACTCCTTCCGCCTCCTGCCTCTATTACGGATGTGGGCACTCTCCCTTGGTGAGACTTTCCTTATCTTGTGGGTGCTGTGGGTGCTACAAGTCTCAATGCCCCTCCTTGCCACTGGAGCATGTTGCTGAGAAACACATCTGGGCAAAAATCAAGGCCTTGTGAACTGGTAGAACTCTTCACAAGTGGATTGTGGCCTCCTGTGGTTCTGCCCCTGCCCCCTCTCTGGTACTAACATGCTGGGTCTGGACCATACACTCTGAGGGAAGTAAATTCCTTAACTGATCCTTAAACTCCCCACCCTCCAACTGCCACCTCCTTCAGCTAGAATCACCTGAAGTCAGCTTTGCATTTCCATGGATCGCTAACTCTTCTTTTGCTTCTCCAGCTCAGGACCACTCCAATGACCCACCTAACAAGGTAAGCATAGCCGGTTTTCATGGGCTTATTTTCTCATGGAAATGATTCTGTGTAGAATTGATTATTCATGAAGACACAATGTAACATCAAGTTTGGGTTAATGTTCCTCAGTGCAACAACAAAGACGTATTTGTAATCACTCCCATGAGTCTACTTTGCAGCAAGAACATGCATTTTGGAATTATTCCCATCCTGTGTCTGAATACTGGATGTGACTCTTAGTAGCTCTGTGACCCTTGTCAAGTAACTTAACCTCTTTGATCATCAGCTTTGTCATCTGTAAAATGGGCATTCTGCCTACTTCAAAGAGAAGTTGAAGGGATTAAACGAGATAACCTACAAAGAGCACCCAGCACAATGGCCTAAAAAAGGAAGGCACTGAATCATTCTCACTCCCCTACCTTCAGTCTGATCCTGCTCTTATTGTCAAAAGGATAATTTCAATTTTAATAGATCTGAGATCCTGTTTTTTAATAATAATTTTATAGAATTTTTCATTTTATGGCCAGGCACAGTGGCTCATGCCTGTAATCCCAGCACTTTGGGAGGCCAAGGCAGGTGAAACACAAGGTCAGGAGATCGAGACCATTCTGGCTAACATGGTGAAACCCCAGCTCTACTAAAAATACAAAAAAATTAGCCAGCTGTGGTGGCGGGCGCCTGTAGTCCCAGCTACTTGGGAGGCTGAGGCAGGAGAATGGCGTGAACCCAGGAGGTGGAGTTTGCAGTGAGCCAAGATTGCGCCATTGCGCTCCAGCCTGGGCGACAGAGGGAAACTCTGTCTCAAAAAAAAAAGAAGTTTTCATTTTACCTTTTCAATAGAGCAAACATACATACTGAAAAGTGCTAAATCATAATTATACTTTCACAATGTATGAACTTTCACAAGTTGAACACACCCAGGTAAGCAGCACCCAAATCATGAAATACTACATGACCTCCCCTTAAAAAGAGACCCTTCCAGCCAGGTGCAGTGGCTCACACCTGTAATCCCAGCACTCTGGGAGGCCAAGGCAGGTGGATCACTAGAAGTCAGGAGTTCTAAACCAGCCTGGCCAACATAGTGAAACCTTGTTCTACTAAAAATACAAAAAATTAGCCGGGCGTGGTAGTGGATGCCTGTAATCCCAGCTACTTGGGAGGCTGAGACAGGAGCATCGCTTGAACCCGGGAGGCAGAGCTTGCAGTGAGCCGAGATCGTGCCATTGCACTCCAGCCTGGGCGACAGAGCGAGACTCCGTCGCAAAAAAAAAAAACTCTACCAGTCACTTCCCTCCAAAGAGGAGTAACCACTATCCTGACTTCTAATGCTCCAGATTAGTATTGCTTGGTTTTGTTCCTATCTAAAGGAGAAATAAAACATATCCTTATATGTGGCTTCTTCAACATTGCTTTGTGAGACTCATCCATATTGTATGTATTTGTGGTTTGCTGGTTCTCATTGCTGCATTATCCTATCCCATTGCATATATACCATAATTTCTCTCTTCTAATGATCATTCATCAGGAGGTCAGCAAGCAGAGAATGGGTAACAACAAAAGCCCTTCTCCAGAGCTAAAATTTCAAAATGGTAACAGCTTGTGGTGCTGAATCACACCAGGCAAGGTGAGGCCCTGCCCTGTGTCACTGACTTAACTGATCATTATTTGTGCTTTTCAGATGAATGAAGTTACTTATTCTACCCTGAACTTTGAAGCCCAGCAACCCACACAACCAACTTCAGCCTCCCCATCCCTAACAGCCACAGAAATAATTTATTCAGAAGTAAAAAAGCAGTAATGAAACCTGTCCTGCTCACTGCAGTGCTGATGTATTTCAAGTCTCTCACCCTCATCACTAGGAGATTCCTTTCCCCTGTAGGGGTAGAGGGGTGGGGACAGAAACAACTTTCTCCTACTCTTCCTTCCTAATA
The DNA here is from genome assembly GCF_000001405.40 of Homo sapiens. Taxonomy (NCBI): domain Eukaryota; kingdom Metazoa; phylum Chordata; class Mammalia; order Primates; family Hominidae; genus Homo; species Homo sapiens. Next base: position 42,508,975 of record NC_000019.10, on the reverse strand, counting down.
GGCATCTCCAGGCTGCCTGGTCACTGCCCCTCTCTCAGTGTCAATAGATGAAAGTACATTGGGAGTCTGTAGGAAACCCAACCTTCTTGTCATTGAAATTTGGCAAAGCTGACTTTGGGAAAGAGGGACCAGAACTTCCCCTCCCTTCCCCTTTTCCCAACCTGGACTTGTTTTAAACTTGCCTGTTCAGAGCACTCATTCCTTCCCACCCCCAGTCCTGTCCTATCACTCTAATTCGGATTTGCCATAGCCTTGAGGTTATGTCCTTTTCCATTAAGTACATGTGCCAGGAAACAAGAGAGAGAGAAAGTAAAGGCAGTAATGCCTTCTCCTATTTCTCCAAAGCCTTGTGTGAACTCACCAAACACAAGAAAATCAAATATATAACCAATAGTGAAATGCCACACCTTTGTCCACTGTCAGGGTTGTCTACCTGTAGGATCAGGGTCTAAGCACCTTGGTGCTTAGCTAGAATACCACCTAATCCTTCTGGCAAGCCTGTCTTCAGAGAACCCACTAGAAGCAACTAGGAAAATCACTTGCCAAAATCCAAGGCAATTCCTGATGGAAAATGCAAAAGCACATATATGTTTTAATATCTTTATGGGCTCTGTTCAAGGCAGTGCTGAGAGGGAGGGGTTATAGCTTCAGGAGGGAACCAGCTTCTGATAAACACAATCTGCTAGGAACTTGGGAAAGGAATCAGAGAGCTGCCCTTCAGCGATTATTTAAATTATTGTTAAAGAATACACAATTTGGGGTATTGGGATTTTTCTCCTTTTCTCTGAGACATTCCACCATTTTAATTTTTGTAACTGCTTATTTATGTGAAAAGGGTTATTTTTACTTAGCTTAGCTATGTCAGCCAATCCGATTGCCTTAGGTGAAAGAAACCACCGAAATCCCTCAGGTCCCTTGGTCAGGAGCCTCTCAAGATTTTTTTTGTCAGAGGCTCCAAATAGAAAATAAGAAAAGGTTTTCTTCATTCATGGCTAGAGCTAGATTTAACTCAGTTTCTAGGCACCTCAGACCAATCATCAACTACCATTCTATTCCATGTTTGCACCTGTGCATTTTCTGTTTGCCCCCATTCACTTTGTCAGGAAACCTTGGCCTCTGCTAAGGTGTATTTGGTCCTTGAGAAGTGGGAGCACCCTACAGGGACACTATCACTCATGCTGGTGGCATTGTTTACAGCTAGAAAGCTGCACTGGTGCTAATGCCCCTTGGGGAAATGGGGCTGTGAGGAGGAGGATTATAACTTAGGCCTAGCCTCTTTTAACAGCCTCTGAAATTTATCTTTTCTTCTATGGGGTCTATAAATGTATCTTATAATAAAAAGGAAGGACAGGAGGAAGACAGGCAAATGTACTTCTCACCCAGTCTTCTACACAGATGGAATCTCTTTGGGGCTAAGAGAAAGGTTTTATTCTATATTGCTTACCTGATCTCATGTTAGGCCTAAGAGGCTTTCTCCAGGAGGATTAGCTTGGAGTTCTCTATACTCAGGTACCTCTTTCAGGGTTTTCTAACCCTGACACGGACTGTGCATACTTTCCCTCATCCATGCTGTGCTGTGTTATTTAATTTTTCCTGGCTAAGATCATGTCTGAATTATGTATGAAAATTATTCTATGTTTTTATAATAAAAATAATATATCAGACATCGACATGCTGCCTCATGGTTGATACTACCTTGGACAATGTTTTTCTCTACAGGCAGAATAAACAAATTGTTCAATGGGGAGTCAGAGTAAAACTCTTTTTTTTTTTTTTTTGAGACAGAGTCTCACTGTGTCGCCCAGGCTGGAGTGCAGTGGCGCAATCTCCGCTCACTGCAACCTCCACTTCCCTGGTTCAAGCAATTCCCCTGCCCCAGCCTCCCCAAGTAGCTGGGATTACAGGTGCATGCCACCATGCCCAGCTAATTTTTTTGTATTTTTAGTAGAGACGGGGTTTCATTATATTGGCCAGACTGGTCTCAAACTCCTGACCTCAGGCAGTCCGCCCGCCTTGGCCTCCCAAAGTGCTGGAATTACAGGCGTGAGCCACTGCGCCCGGCCGTGAAACTATTTTTAAGCCTACAGATATTTGATCTAGTGATCAGAGAATTAGCTAAATTCATTTGCATACCTGCTAACAAAGTGAGTATATCTGGGAGCAACAGACCACAGCTCCAACTTGCCTGGGAGGAAGTGCCTATCTTCCTCTGGGAGGGAAGATGATCTCATGAGTAAAAGACCTCCCAGCCTCTTCATTAGGGGCCAACAACACTTCCCACACCAGCGGCTCCAGTGAATCAGATGTAGCTATACAAGGGTCTCCACAGGTTCATTCACATAGAAATCCCTCTAGACCTTCTAACTCTTCCTGGTTCCCAATTCCTTTATTCTGCCCTCTAGGAGGGTCGGATCTCTTCTAACCCGAATAGCCTTCATTTATTAATTCTGCTAAGTACTAAGCTATAACCTCATTTCCTTCACTTCCAAGCAATTGAAACACATGTGTTGTCTTTGCCTTTCCTCATCACCTAATTTTTCCTGGCCCTCTGCAGTGCCTCCCTACCCAAGATCGCTGGGAACAGCACAAAATCAGTATCCATGTCTTGGCCAAATCCAAAGGCATTTTTAGGGACCTCACACTTTTTCCTTTTACAATATCTAAGATGACAGACAACTTTTCCCTTCTGGAAAGCTCTCCTCCCTCCATTTCCCACTTACGACTGCTCCCCCACACCAGATTTAGTACTCAGACCCTTCTTGTCTCCCTCCATCTACCCTCTTTCATCAGCTTAGTGACCTCTCTGGAGATGGCTCTTAATTTATATCTCTAGCCCCAACTACTTCCAGAACTCATGACACCCACATCCAAATACTGTCTGAAGTTACCCATTTAAACAAGCTCTCCCACACAGCTCACTCATTTCTCCCAGTGACACCCCCTAAGTTTCCACAGCCCCTGCTCATTTGTTTCCAGATTCAATACATTGTGAAAGCCTCTTGATCCTTTTTTAACAACTGTCAGTTATGCTGTTCTCACCATTCCCATAAACCTAACTGACCCAGACCCTCAACAACACTCAAAGTCTTGCTTGACTTCTTGTCTCCAGTCTCTCCGAAATCTTTCTTGCATATGACTGCCTCATTACCCTCCTAGTACACTCCCCTATTCAAAAATCTACAGTGGCCTACTCTGGCCTATTAGATAAGTTCAAACTTCTTCTAAAGAGAAGATGTTTCTGACCGAGTGCGGTGGCTCATGCCTGTAATCCCAGCACTTTGGGAGGCCAACGTGGGTGTATCACTTGAGGTCAGGAGTTCGAGACCAGCCTGGCCAACATGGTGAAATTCTGTCTCTACTAAAAATACAAAAATTCACTGGGTGTGGTGGTGGGCGCCTGTAATCCCAGCTACTCTGGAGGCTGAGGCAGGAGAATCACTTGAACCTGGGAGGCACAGGTTGCAGTGAGCCGAGATCATGCTATTGCACTCTACCCTGGATGACAGAGCCAGACTCCATCTCAAAAAAAAGAAAAAAAAGAAGTTTCTTCCTTCCTTTATCACTACTTCCTTGTATAATTCCTCCATCCTAATTAGATCTCTCTCCCTACATATCCCTGCCCCTCCACCCCACACACAGAATTCTTAGTTCCAAGGCTACACCTAAAAACATACCAAACAGGGTGACCTCCATCTACCAGCTGCACTGTGGAGTTACCCACATCCTTCATCGCAAGCAACCTCTGACCTTGTGGAGAACAAAGACTGTAGCATTAACATGTGAACCTGAGACCCAGGACACAACCTATGTGTGGCTGAGAATCTCTTCCTGATGACCAATTCATGTGTTCATGAAAGATACAGAAATGAAAAAGGCAAGGTCCCTACCCCAAGGAATATAAAGCCCAAGACAGGAGATAAGACCTGAAAAATAATCATAATACCGAAAAAGAAAGGCGTAAATGCCACAAGAAGTCAAGAGAAATCTAATGGGAAATGTGGCTGCACGCTGGAATAACTGGGGAATTTTTTAAAAGAACAACTGATGCTCAGACTCCACCCACAAATTCCAACATAATTGGTCTGGAGAGGGATCCAGGCTTTGTAAACTTTTTTTTTTTTTTTTTTTTTTTTTTTGAGACAAGTCTCACTCTGTTGCCCAGACTGGAGTGCAGCGGCATGATCTCAGCTCACTGCAGGCTCTGCCTCCCAGGTTCAAACAATTCTCCTGCCTCAGCCTCCTGAGTAGCTGGGACTACAGGCGCCTGCCACCACACCCAGCTAATTTTTTGTATTTTTAGTAGAGACAGGGTTTCACTGTGTTAGCCAGGATGGTCTCAATCTCCTGACCTTGTTATCCACCCGGCTCAGCCTCCCAAAGTGCTGGAATTACAGGCATGAGCCACAGCGCCCGGCCCAGGCTTTGTAATTTTTAAGCCTTCCCAGACACTACTAACATATAGCCAGGATGGAGCTAATAGGTAAGACCTGGGGCTAAATCAATGGTTTTTAGCTAGGGGTATGCATCAGAATTACCTAGGGAACGTTTTCAACATACGTAAGTATATATACCATCCCTGGAAAAGCTGATACAATATGCCTGTAGTGAGACCTGGGCTTGTGTATTCTGAAACACTCCCAAGTGATTCTCACATTTATTCCGTGTTAGGAAACAGTGTCCTGAAGCACAGGTAGGAATTAAATTATAAAAAGAGTTGGAAGGACATACTATATGATGGGCATGAGATGAATAATCTATTCTGCAAAGCACAGAGAGGTACTCAAGAAGAAATTGTTGGCAACTGGCTGAACTTTAAAAGATTTGACCATACCAAGTGAGGATGGGGAATGATTGGTATTCTTATGTATTGCTAGGGGAAATATAAAATGGCACACCCACTCTAGAAAACAGTTGACACTTTCTTATAAAGTTCAATATACACTTTTACAATCCAGCAATCCTACTCATAGATATTTACCCAAGAGAAATGAAAATACATATCCACACAAACAGTTGTACATGAATGCTCATAGCAGTATTATTCATAATAGCCAAAAACTGGAAACCCAAATGTCTATCAGCAGATGAATGGATAAACAAATTACGGAATATCCATACCATAGTATACTAATCAGCAATCAAAGGGTACAATCTACAGACAAAACAAAATGGATGGGCTGGCAGCATGGCTCATACCTTCAATCTCAGCACTTTAGGAGGCCAAGGTGGAAGGATCTGCTTGAGACCAGGAGTTCAAAGCTGCAGTGAGCTATGATCATACTATGGCACTCCGGCCTGCACAACAGAATGAGACCCTCCCTGTAAGGACGCGTGGTGGCTCACGCCTGTAATCCCAGCACTTTGGGAGGCCGAGGCAGGTGGATCATGAGGTCAAGAGATCGAGACCATCCTGGCCAACATGGTGAAACCCTGTCTGTACAAAAAATACAAAAATTAGCTGGGCATGGTGGTGCGCGCCTGTAGTCCCAGCTTCTTGGGAGGCTGAAGCAGGAGAATCGCTTGAACCCGGGAGGCAGAGGTTGCAGTGAGCCGAGATCACACCACTGCACTCCAACCTGGTGACAGAGCAAGACTGCATCTCAAAAAAAAAAAAGATAAATCTTGAAAACATTATACCATGCAAAAGAAGCCAGACACAAAGGAGTGCATGCTATATAATGTCATTGTTCTTTTTCAGAGGGGGTCTCACTCTGTCACCCAGGCCGAGTGTAGTGGCACGATCACGGCTTACTGCAGCCTTGACCTCCCAGGCTCAAGTAATCCTCCCACTTCAACCTCCTCAGTAGCTGGGACTACAGATGCATGCCACCACCACACCCGGCTAATTTTTTATTTTTTATAGAGAGGAGGTCTCGCTATGTTGCCCAGACTGGTCTTGAACTCCTGGAGGCAAGTGATCTTCCCGCCTCGGCCCTCCCAAAGTGCTGGAATTACAAGCATGAGCCATTATGCCCAGCCTATATGATGCCATTTAAATGAAGCTCCAGAATAGGCAATTCCAATTAAAGATGTTAAGAATTCGCCCTAGGCCAGGCGCGATGGCTCACACCTGTAATCCCAGCACTTTGGGAGGCCGAGGCAGGCGGATCACAAAGTCAGGAGATCTAGACCATCCTGCTAACACGGTGAAACCCCGTCTCTACTAAAAAATACAAAAAATTAGCCGGGCGTGTTGACAACTGCCTGTAGTCCCAGCTAATCGTGAGGCTGAGGCAGGAGAATGAGATGAACCCAGGAGGCAGAGCTTGCAGTGAGCCGAGATCGAGCCATTGCACTCCAGCCTGGGTGACAGAGGAGCGAGACTCTCTCTCAAAAAAAAAAAAACAGAATTCGCCCTAGAGGGTGGGATTAATGACAAAGATGCTCAAGGGAGCTCTGGGGCTGATGGAAATGTTCTACATCTCAATTCAGGTAGTGATTGCATGGGTATACACATTTACCAAAAATCAACTTGTATACTTGAGATCTATAGACATTTCAATGTATTTTAATTTTACTTCAAGTTTTAAATATAAACTAAGGAAAGGAGCCACTAATTCAATCTATCAGGTACAAAGCACCTGTATTCATGTTCTATTGCTATACAATAAACCGCCACTAATTTAGTGGCTTAAAACAACACTTACTCATTAGTTTGCAGAATTCAGTTCCTTGAAGTCAGTTTGAGTTCCCCACTGTCCTGTTGTCGGCCAGGGACTATTATTAGCTCCTAGAAGACCTTTTCAGGTCCTAGCACTGTGACCTCCTCCATCTTAGCCATGGAGAACCTCTCTCAAGTCAAATCCCTCTCACACTTCTACTATCTCTGATTTTCCCTTCTGAGACCAGCCTGAGAAAAAGCTCTGATTTTGCTTTTAAAAAGCTCATGTGATTACATTAGGTCCACTCAGATCATTTCCCTTCTGATTAATTCAAAATCAACTAAGTTGTAACCTTAATTATGTCTTCAAAATCCTGTTTGCCACACAAGGTAACATAATCGTGGGTGTGGTTTCTCATCATATTCATAGTTCTAGGTATTAGGGGCCATCTTAGAATTCTGTGTACCAAGCACACATAAAGCCACTGGTGCTTTCTGGAAACTCCTTTACAATCCTGTTCTGAGGAAGTGGCAAAGAAGCCAAAAATGATCAATCCAACTTTTTGTTTTGTTTTTTTTTGAGACAGTCTCACTCTGTCACCCAAGCTGGAGTATAGTGGCACAATCTCAGCCCAATGCAACCTCGGTATCCTGGGCTCAAGTGATTCTCGTGCCTCAGCCTCCTGAGTAGCTGGGATTACAGGTGCATGCTACCACACCAGGCTAATTTTTGTATTCTTTTTAGTAGAGATGGGGTTTTGCCATGTTGGTCAGGCTGGTCTCAAACTCCTGGCCTCAAGTGATCCACCTACCTTGGCCTCCCAGAGTGCTGGGATTATAGGTGTCAGCCACTGTGCCTGGCCCCCAACTTTTATTTTTTGAGACAGGATCTCACTATGTTGCCCAGGCTGGAGTGTAGTGGCACAATCATGGCTAATTGCAGTCTTGACCTCCCAGACTCAGGCGATTCCCAGGCTCAGCCTCCTGAATAGGTGGGACCACAAGCGCATACCACCACATGGGGCTAATATTTTTATTTGTTGTAGAGACAGGGTCTCACTGTGTTGCCCAGGCTGTTCTTGAACTTCTGAACAGAAGCAATCTTCCTGCCTCGGCCTAAACAAGTGCTGGGATTACAGGAGTGAGCGACAATTTAACGTGCAGTAAGATACTGTTATTAGTCTGCTATAACACTATATGGCTGCCATATGACTATATGGCTGAGTACCAGAAAGCCTGAATTGCTTAAACAACAGAAATTAATTTCTCATAGTTTTGGAGGTGCCTTCTTGCTGTCTCCTCACATGGTCTCTTCTCTGTACCTACACATCTGTGGTGTCTCTCATTGTGTCCCAATTTCCTCTTCAAGGACAGCAGTCAGAATCAATTAGGGCCCACCCTACAGGCATTATCTTAATCACCTTTAAAGCCCCTATTTCCAAATAAAGTCACATTCTGAGACACCAGGGGTTAGGGTTTCAACAGAAGAATTTTAAGGGAACACAATTCAGCCCATGACAGAGACCAAGGACAAAAAACAGAAACAAGAAAGCAAGGACCAGGCCAGGCGCAGTGGCTCACACCTGTAATCCCAACACTTTGGGAGGCCGAGGCAGGCGGATCACCTGAGGCCAGGAGTTCAAGACCAGCCTTGGCAACATGGTGAAACCCCGTCTCTACTAAAAATACAAAAAATTAGCTGGGTATGGTGGTGCGTGCCTGTAATCCCAGCTACTTGGGAGGCTGGGGCGCAAGAATCACTTGAACTTGGAAGGTAGAGGTTGCAGTGAGCCAAGGTCATGCCACTGCACTGCAACCTGGGTGACAGCATGAGACTCTGTCTCAAAGCAAAAAAAAAAAAAAAAAAAAAAAAGGACCCCCATTTCCTCCTAGCCTAGAAATGTCTGAGTCAAGGATATACCCATTGCCCTCAAACCTCTGGCAATGTTCATACACTGACAATAGCTAGCACCAAAGTTAACCCCTGAAAAACTAAGGTTATCAGAAATTGAAAGGCATTCCAAGAAACCAACCAAATATCAAACAGGACCTTTTCTAGGTTTCTGATTATTTGTTTAACAAACATTTATTGAGGACTTACTATATGTCAAATACTAAGCTAGGTATTAAAGAGAATATGAACATTAAAAAATAAAGTCCTTCTGATTTGGATTCTGGTTCAAACAATCTTACTATTTAAAAAAGAAGAGGAGGGAGGGAAAGAACAAAGGAAGGAATCAAAGAACAAATAAATGAAAAACGGAAAGGAAGAACAATTATAAGGTAATTGCAGAAATTTGATCATTGGCTGGATATTTTATGATATTAAGGAGGAAATAATCTTTTTTTTTTTTTTTTTTTTTTTTTGAGATGGAGTCTCGCTCTGTCACCCAGGCTGGAGTGCAGTGGCGTGATCTCCGCTCACTGCAAGCTCCACCTCCCAGGTTCACACCATTCTCCTGCCTCAGCCTCCCACCACCACACCCGGCTAATTTTTTTGTATTTTTAGTAGAGACGGGGTTTCACTGTGCTAGCCAGGATGGTCTCGATCTCCTGACCTTGTGATTCACCTGCCTTGGCCTCCCAAAGTGCTGGGATTACAGGTGTGAGCCACCGCGCCCAGCCAAGGAGGAAATAATCTTTTACTGTGATAATGTTTTCTGATATGCTTGTGATACTGTTTCTTAAAATGCCCTTGTATTTTAGGAGTAAGTTGAAATATCTACAGATGAAATGATTTGATGTCTATGATTTTCTACAAAATAATTCATGGTTGGAAGGGGGAATATAGATGAGCTAAGATTGAACTGAAATGTTCATCACTGAAGCTGGATGATAAGTACATGTAAACTCATTATATTATTGGCTCTACTTTTATAACTGTTTTCCGAGAATAAAAATTCCTTGCTCTCCAGAAGCTTATAATAAAAGGAGTCAGACATTCCAACAAATAGAATACAATGACAAAGTGTTGGGTAAGCTCCAAGGGCAGCAATGGCTCTGGGATAGGCAGAAGGAGTCAGAGAAGATATCAAAGAAGAGTCCCTCGTTGACCAGAGGCTTTAAGGAAGAGTATCTCAGGCCAAGGAAAGACAAGCGGGTACAAAGGCATGTAGACATGAAGTGGCAGAGCTTCCCCACATGACTTATTAGCAGCTATGTTAGTGTGAGCGTAGGTTCTAGAACCAGACTACCTGTGCTGGAGTTCTGCTTCTGAGTGCCTGCTGTGAGACCTCAGGCAGGCTATGTGTAATGCCTCTGTGCCTCAGATTCTTTACCTATAAAACAAGGATTATAGCAATAGTAATATATACTTCAAGGGGCCGATGTCAGGAGTTGATGAGTTATTTAATGCATAAAATGCTTAGAAGACGGTGGGTAAAAAATAAATGCCAGCTATTAGCAATGGTAGCAGACTCCTAGCCCACAATACCACACATTCTGAAAAATCTCCTCCAATTTGTTAATTTATCTCCTTTTTGTTAGACTGTAAACTTGTAAAATAAGGACTGTGTCTTATTTATCTCTTTATCCCTAAAACCTAGCCTAAGACTATGCCCATAGTAGGCCTTGATCAGGAGTTCTTTCAGGTGTCAGGGTAGGGACCACCAACAGCCTCTGTCTAACTCGCTCTTTATTTCTCCATGTGATACCCTCAATTCCTGAAATTCTCTGGCTTCCTTTAGCTTCCTTCCTGTGTCTAACTCATCCCCTATTCTGCTCCAGGGTTGTTCATTTATAATTATGCCCTCTGGTCCCTCCCCTGGCAAGTGTTCCAGTGCTTCCTCTCCCTCTCCCCACAGATAAGATACTCTCTGAACAGCCTCTGCATTGCTTATTCTGCAATTAGTGAAGGGTGAGGGAGGCTGAACTCCTAGATCATACCTATTTGTGAAAAGTAGAATACTCTGGAAAAGAGAAAAGCAGGTCAGATGGCCAAAGTATAAAGCCTTCTAATGTAGCCCCAGCTTGAGGAAATCCTGTAGACATGTTTGTACCATCAGCTAAAATCTCACTGTAATGTTCTGAGGGTTTAGAAACTGCTAGGGAGGAAGGAGGCATGATGAGCAGGGAGCCCAGCTTTCTATCAATTTTTGCAAACTTCAGTATTTCTTTTTCCTCTGCTAGTAAACGTCCTCATTTTCCCTCAGAGCAGAGTCAGAGAGAAAGAAAATTGAAAGATCCATTTTCATATCCGGAGCCTGAAAACTGAGAACATGCAAGACTACAGATGGCTACTGACTCTACAGATGAAGTAGGAAAGTCAGATGCAGCTCCCTCTGTGTACAAAGTGCCCTCTGCCCTAAGCTGTGATGTGCGGCTGGAACATGATCCCAGTCTCCCCAAGAGTGGGGACTGCTGGTAGATCATTAACTAACTACCCACGAGCAGAAGGAAAAAGAGACCTCTGAAGTACCTCGCTCTACCCATTCTCCCAGTTTCCTCTGAGAGGACAATTCAAGGCCATGTCCCCAGCCTCAGGTTTAAGGGTTCTTTAATACAAAAAGAGTGGGGGAGGGGATCACAAAGCAGAAACAGGACACTGGAGAAAACAGACTGACCATGCTTTGTTTAAAGGTCAAAGTCTTGTGAAGCATGCCAATCTTTCTTCATTGCTTAGGCTCTGTATGATGTGAGCCTTGTCCTGTACTTGGAGCACTATGTGAACCCAGAGCTTTCCTTGCTTGGGGCTAGAGAAATAAAAAGGGGTAACTATTTAAAAAAGGCCAATAAACATAAACAGACTAGCAAGTATCTGAAATCCTAAGTGTGATTATAAGGAAGTGAAACTGATTTTCTTGTAGGCCTCAGACTGGTTTTGAAAGTAACTCTACATGGCAAGTTGACCAAAATATTTTGAGTAATGATGACAGAATTTTTTGAATAGATGTGTATTTATTCCCAGGACAACTACTTTTAAGGTGCCCATATTTATCTGGATATGATATACTTGTTAACAGAATCCTATACCTATAACTCACATGAGTTTCATAACTTTTTTGTCTTAACTTACATAGGACTGAGGAACAGTTTAATACTAGCAGGAGTTTAAATGAGCCAATTTCCCCATTTGAAGCCTTCCTGGTTAATTCCATCAGCCAGCCCTGTTTCGTCCAGAGGAGAAGGAGCAGGAATGGAAATGGACAGAAACAGACATGACATTCTCCCACTTCCATTTAACTCAAGAAGGGCTTTATTATCTTTATTGGAGAATTAGGCTTTGCTTATTCACTGGCTACTTCACATCAGACAGAGAAACTTAATTAATATAAATTATTCAAAGAACCAGCTGTAAAATTTATCACTAAAGTAACAAAGTACAGGGCAAGAGTTATTAGTGCTTCATGCATGTTTCAGCTTATTCTCTAAAGCTCAGCAACTTCTCTCTTCTTAAGAATTGTAAACCCTCCATACTGTCAGAGGTGTTCGAACCAGAGCAACTCCATATTGAACTGGGGCTGGGTAAAATGAGGCTGAGATCTGCTGGGCTGCATTCCCAGGAGGTTAGGCATTCTTAGCTGCAGGATGAGCTAGAAGGTCAACACAAGATACAGGTCACAAATCCCCTGCTGATAAAACAGGATGCAGTAAAGAAGGTGGTCAAAACCCACCAAAACCAACATAGCGATGAAACTGACCTCTGGTTGCTCTCACTGCTCATTATACACTAATTATAATGTATTAGCATGCTAGAAGACACTCCCCCCAGCACCATGGCAGTTTGCAAATGCCATGGCAATGTCTGGAAGTTACCCTATATGGTCTAAAAAAAAAGAGGAGCCCTCAGTTCTGAGAAATCCCTGCCCCTTCCTTGGAAAACTCATGAATAATTCACCCTATATTTAGCACATGATCAAAAAATAACCATAAAAATAGCCAACTAGCAGCACTCAGGGCTGCTCTACCTATGGAGTAGCCATTCTTTTGTTTCTTTACTTCTCTAATAACCTTGCTTTCACTTTATGGACTTGCCCTGAATTCTTTCTTGTGCAAGATCCAAGAACCCTCTCTTGGGGTCTGGATTGGGGCCCATTTCCCATAACATCTTCCAGAGAACCATGAAGGGACAATACTGGAGAGACCCCCGACTCCAAAGGAAAATTATCCATGCAGCACCAATTGGCTGACTCTGGGTAAGTGCTGGGGTACATTTTATCCTGGGTAAAGGACAAAGTTGGGTTAGAGGCCCAACCTGAAAGGGTTAGAATACCTTCTAAGACATAGCGGGTTGTGCTCGCTTCAGCAACACATATACTAAAATTGGACTGATACACAGAAGATTAGCTAAAAATTTTTATATATTAAAAGAGAAAAGGAAGGAAGGAAGGGAGGGAGGGAGGAAGGAAGATGGGAGGGAGGGAGGGAGGGAGGGAGGAAGGAAGATGGAAAGGAAGGAGGGAAAGGGGGAGAGAGGGAGAGAGGGAGGGAGGGAGGGAGGAAGGAAGGAAGGAAGGAAGGAAGGCAGGCAGGCAGGCAGGCAGGCAGGCAGGCAGACAGGCAGGCATAAGGGGTTAAAAGGCCCATCACAGTAAAGGGCAAAGACGCTTGTCTGAACTTGGGTTAAAGGCTCAACTTAGGAAGGTCAGAGTCCCTCCTAAGACATAGGGAGTTAGAGGTCTCCCTTGGTAACACTGTTCTTGGTTAAAAATGGATTTGGTACTACGGGATGTTAACCACTATTCTCTTTGGATTAATCTGCCTTGCGCTCTTTGCTGAAGGCTATGAGTGATAGGATTAGGCATGTACAGGATCGTGGGACACAGGGAGCTTTTTTCTCCCTAAAGGGGGAAACTTGAGAGCCAATGAGACTACCAGAAAAGATCCCTTCAAGACTGACGATCAGCTGCCTGAACATTTGATCCAGTGTCGCTGCAATGGGTGGGTCTTTCCCTGGCCCCCCGAGCTCCTTGCCTCCCCTGCCCTGCTGCAGGCAATGCTTTTCTCCCTCTCCCTTCCCTTTCCTCTCTCTCTCTGTGCGCAAACCAGTTGAATGCATGGTAAAAATCACTTTTTATCTCCTCTGCAAAGTTTTCATTACTGGGAAAAAGGATTTATGAAGCTAATCTTAGGCTGTAACAAATCCAGTGTAATTTGTGCTATGAATTTGTCTTTCTGTGTCGTTCTGTCATAAAAAGAGATACCACAGGATAGAATGCAGGCCAAGGACCCCTGTAAGCCCTCTGTTCAAGCCACCCCAGAAAGCTGTTCAGTTACAAATTGCTGCTGGTTAATGAAACCAAAAAACAAAACAAACAAACAAACCAAAAACCTGGATGAGGTTTCTCCTTCATCTTGTTTTATGTCCTTGGGAGTCTGACATTGTAACCATGGTACTTTCTCTTGGTCTCTGCCATCTGGAGGGCAGGAATTTGGGGGCTCATGTCACAGCCCTAAAAATTATCTTGAGCAGTTAAAAGCCTTAGCAAGTTCAAAATTGGCTGCTCTAGGCTCCTTCTGGGAAGAATAACAGAAACTGCCCAATGTTGTAGCTCAGTAGCTAAGATTTCATCTTTTCACAATGGTGGCCTGGGTTCAATTTCCAGCCTGGGGAATAAGTCCTTTCTGGTTTATTTGTGTGACCTTTACCATTTATTAATTCCTTTCCTCTCCATGAACAACTTCTTTTTTATTTTTTATTTTTATTACTTTTTGTTTGTTTGTTTTTGCCCATGACATAACCCTCAGGAGATCCTGAGAACATGTGCCCCCATCCATGAACAACTTCTGGCTTCCCTTCTCAAATTTTCCTTTCTCTGTGCTACCTTTAGAGATTCTATATCTTGTAAAAACTGCTTACCAACTCTTTGGAAATACCCGGTACACCCACAGTTAAGTCATAACCTTAGTTAAAACTTATTGGTTTCATCTGGGAAGTTACCTTTGGTAAAGTCCAAAAGCCAGAAATATTGGCTGTTTGTCTTAACTAGAATCTAGTAATAAGAGATTTGGTTAAAAGCTGGCTTAATTTAAAGCAGATGTCCAAGCGATGCATACGTTTTAAAGGCCTTTATGGTTTTTTTCTTGGATCTTACTTTTCTGGAAAAAACAAAAACTTTTTCTTCTCAGACGACTGAATTCTCTTTCTCCAGTTTTTATTCTTGCCACCTTCATGCCCACATAAGAGGACCTAAGATAATTTCTGACAGCTGGGACTCCTTGGGAAAAACAGGGGTGACACAGACCCCATTTTGGGGAAACTTCTCTTTTCTTCATGGAACCCCAGCAATTAAAAGTGGATAGGCCGGGCACGGTGGCTCACACCTGTAATCCCAGCACTTTGGGAGGCTGAGGCAGGTCGATCACGAGGTCAGGAGTTCAAGACCAGCCAAGATACTGAAACCTCATCTCTACTAAAAATACAAAAATTAGCTGAGCATGGTGGCGGGCGCCTGTAATCCCAGCTACTTAGGAGGCTGAGGCAGAGAATTGCTTTAACTCATGAGGCGGAGTTTGCAGTGAGCTGAGATTACACCACTGCACTCCAGCCTGGGTGACAGAGCAAGACTCTGTCTCAAAAAATACAAAATAAAAGAGGATAGATGCCTCTCAAAATCTAAGGCTCTGTTCTGTTTTGCACTGCATTACCTGACATTTTGATTTTTGGGGGGTATCAGAAATTACTTTGCATTGGCCGGGTGCAGTGGCTCACGCCTGTAATCCCCACACTTTGGGAGGCCGAGGCAGGTGGATCACCTGAGGTCAGGAGTTTGAGACCAGCCTCAACATGGAGAAACCCCGTCTCTACTAAAAATACAAAATTAGCGGGGCATGGTGGTGCATGCCTATAATCCCAGCTACTCGGGAGGCTGAGGCAGGAGAATTGCTTGAACCTGGGAGGCGGAGGTTGCAGTGAGCCAAGATTGCGCCATTGCACTCCAGCCTGGGCAACAAGAGAGAAACTCTGTCTCAAAAAAGAAAAAAAAGAAATTACTTTGCATTATGAGAGAGCTTTTAGCCTCCATGTGTAATAACTAGGTAGGAAATATATTTAAGGGACGGCTAATGGCAGTTATGGGGGGATACTCAGCTCTTTGCATGTTTGGATCAGAGAAACATGCTCTCAGCCACCTAAAAGGTATGGAAACATCCACAACTCCCACTGAGAGATAAGTCTCCCATGGGAGATGGGCTGATTACCTCTTTTTTGGGATCCAGGATCCAGTACAAAAATGGGTCCCTTGGCAGGGCCCAGTGGCTCATGCCTGTAATCCCAGCACTTTGGGAGGCCGAGGCGGGCAGATCACGAGGTCAGGAGATTAGAGACCATCCTGGCTAGCACAGTGAAACCCCGTCTCTACTAAAAATACAAAAAATTAGCCGGGTGTGGTGGCGGGAGCCTGTGGTCCCAGCTACTCGGGAGGCTGAGGCAGGAGAATGGTGTGAACCCAGGAAGGGGAGCTTGCAGTGAGCTGAGACCGCGCCACTGCACTCCAGCCTGGACGACAGAGCGAGACTCCATCTCAAAAAAAAAAAAAATGGGTCCGTTAATTCTTGGGGAATCTGTTTTGCCTTCCAGCTGTGTCTGCTTATTAGGTTCTAGAAACCGCATGCTTCCCTGGCATTGTTCTTTAAAAGGCTCCACCCGAAAGCCAGTCAGTAATTAACTTAACTTACATCCTTAGAGAAATCTCCATGTGTAAGAGTGTATGTTTTTCCTAGCTGTCTTTTTTTTTTTTTTTTTTTTTTTTTGAGACAGAGTTTTGCTCTTGTTTCCAAGGCTGGAGTGCAATGGTGCAATCTCGGCTCACTGCAACCTCCACCTCCCAGGTTCAAGTGTTTCTCCTGCCTCAGCCTCCCGAGTAGCTGGGATTACAGGCACCCGCCATCATGTCCAGCTAATTTTGTATTTTTTTATTAGAGACTGGGTTTCACCATGTTGGCCAGGCTGATCACAAACTCCTGACCTCAGGTAATCCACCCAACTTGGCCTCCCAAAGTGCTGGGATTACAGGCATAAGCCACCACGCCTGGCCCTGGCTGTCTTAACTGAACTGTTATTCACACCACTTTTCCTTGGTTTGAATAAAACATGAATTCTCTATTTTGTTTCATCTAAGAGTTGGCCCTTTGGAAATGTAATTTAGTATTGCTTAGCTGACAATTAGGACAGGGGACAGAAGAAAATAGAAAAAAGGTAGAAAGAGAAAAAAACAGTAGGGGAGAGAGGTGTGAAGAAAGTTATGGATATGAAGATGTATTTTTGGTAAGGAAAGTTATAAAGAAAAGAAATATTATGTGAGAAAAGATCTTGTATGGTAAATCCTTGTCCTAAAGTAGAATGACTGATTATTTAGGAAAAAGGGAAATGTAAGACAAGTTAGAAAGTCTAGATGGTCTGTGTAAGTCATGATAGGGTTCATAAAATGGGAAAGAAAAACTTAAAAACTGGCAAATGAAAAATCTTACAACTATTGGTTCTGCTTCTGTCTGTGTATCTAAGTTTTGTTTTTTGTTCTTGTTTTTGTTTTTCTTGTCTGTGTATTTATATGTGTTGTGTGTGTGGTATTTATATAAAAAGCTCCAATTAATTGGCTTTAAGAAAAGTGCTGAAATCAAATATTTTGTCAGAAAAATAAAAACTTTAATGCCTTTTAGTTCACATGACTTTAGTAATCTTTATGAAATAAAGACACTTTTCAAGATTATTGGTAAAATAAAAACATCTTCAAAACTTAAGACATTTAGTCTAAATTAGGTAGGTCAAATACTATCTTTGCTAGACGGTTTAAGGTTATAAACTACTTCTTTGACTTTTGATACTTGTACAACTTACCTGCTTTGTAGCTAGATTCTAGGTAAGGCCTGGGGACATATGGAGTTATCCATGCCCCCAACTATGTTGGAAATAGTCAGACCTTATCTGCATTTCTGTCTGGTGTCCTAGGCTACACACCTGGCACATAAATAAAATTGCTTACTTACCAGGTCTTTCACCAAAAATAAAAGTTGCTAAGAGTTAACATTGTAACATATGTAATTGAGACTACTAGAGAAACAGTTTTACATGCAAGGTATATAAGGAAAGTAGAATGTGTTTTTGGTAAAAGATTATAAGAAAGTATGGGGATGTGTTTTTTTCCCTAATTTAGAGAGTTAAAGGATAGGATAAAGCTGATGTTTGAGTAAGTTGTGAAAGGTTTATGAAAGATTAGTGTTGTAAAAGAAATTCTGTATGAGAATATACTGGCTAAAATTAAAGGGGTATTATTCAATTTATCTGTAAATTGAACATTGGAATAAAAGCATAACATGGCTTTCTTAGAGCATGGTTCTATTCTTTAACCAAAAAAAAACTGTAAAGAGTTATAAAAGGTTTATAAGAATCTAACCTTATGATAAAACGATTAAGATTAGGCAGATTTGTGTATAAGATTTTTTTTTTTGGCCAGGCACGGTGGCTCACGCCTGTAATCCCAGCACTGTGGGAGGCCAAGGCGGGTGGATCATAAGGTCAGGAGATCAAGACCATCCTGGCCAACATGGTGAAATCCTGTCTCTACTAAAAATACAAAAATTAGCTGGGTGTGGCGATGCACACCTGTAATCCCAGCTACTCGGGAGGCTGAGGCAGGGGAATGGCATGAACCTGGGAGGTGGAAATTGCAGTGAGCCAAGATCACACCACTGCACTCCAGCCTGGTGACAGAGTAAGACTCCATCTCAAAAAAAAAAAAAAAAAAAAAAGATTTTTTTTTTTTTTTTAAGAGACAGGGTCTCACTGTGTTGCCCAGGCTGGTCTTGAACTCCTGGGCTCAAGTGATTCTCCTGCCTCAGCCTCCCAAAGTGTTAGGATTACAGGCATGAGCCATTGCACCTGAACAGATTTGTCTATTAGGTTTTATTAAGAACTGGATTTAACATCAATATAGTACACTAACATAAAGGTGAGACTTGGCTTTCACTCTTGAACAAGATTTTTGTGTAATTTTTTTTAATGAAAGATTTTTGTTTGCCTTTTGAATAAACTACAGGAAAAAGAATGAAAGAAAAGAGAAAATTATTTGGAAAGCTAAGTCTTCCCTCTATCAATGAGTAAAGGTTTTCCCCCCCTTTTTTTTTTTTTTTTTTTTTTTCAGGTAGAGTCTCACTCTGTCACCCAGGCTGGAGTGCAGTGGAACAATCTTGGCTCACTGAAACCTCCGCCTCCCGGGTTCAAGCAATTCTCCTGCCTCAGCCTCCCGAGTAGCTGGGATTACAGGCGTGCACCACCACGCCTGGCTAATTTTTTGTATTTTTAGTGAGACGGGGTTTCACCATATTGGCCAGGCTGGTCTCAAACTCCTGACCTTATGATCCGCCCACCTCAGCCTCCCAAAGTGCTGGGATTACAGGCGTGAGCCACCATGCCCGGCCAGGTTTTTCCCTTTTTAAAATCTTTATCATTTTGGCTCAATGACTTACAGTGTGCTGGGATTCTATTTTATATCAAGTATTTTAAAACTTTAATATTTGAAAACTTTCCAAAATCAAATTATAAGTTGCCTTTTTCTGACCTGATTAATCCTTTAGATATCAGGTACCCTAAAGTCCAAAAGAGACATATTTGGCTTATTTGGTATATTAAAATCATACAGGAAGCACTGTCAAATATGAAACAGTGTTTGGCTTTCTTTGGGTGTATTTGTATAAATGTGTTATTGGTATGTTTTCCAAAATTATGCTATACTCCTATAATACTGATATGACTTAGTGTATATTATCAGTAATAATTATAATTGTTTTGTAAAATTGTTGTATGCCACAGAAGTAACCATGACTGCCATAATAATTTTTGTCATCCACAGACAATTGTTGTCTTATTTTGATCCTCTTTAAAGAGCAGTTTATAATCAGCTATAGGACTCTGATGAGTACTCTTAAATGCAGGCCTTTGATAACTTTGGAAAGTGTGCCATTAAAATAGAGAAGAAAGAACTTCAAAGACTCTCTTGGAAAACTAATGTGTACATAAATGTTGAGTGAAACAGGAACTAATTGCATAGACTGAACTAACAAAAGATGAAAATAATCTTTTTATGACTTTTTGCCTAAAACATTGCTGATCCTTTCTGTCTTTTCAGAGTCAAGAATACTTTTCTTTTGAGCTATTTACAGCTTTTAACAAGTAAAATATATTCCTATAAAGAAAATTTGGAGCATATTTCTTTCTCCAAAATTTGGAAACTGTAAGTATTCTTGACTATGGCAATATTTGCACAAGTACAATAACAATCTGTTTTCTTTCGTAACAGGACACCATTGGAGACAATGGTTCTTTTATGAAGGCTTTGACTGGAATGGCATGCCAGGTACAAAAAGACTACTTTTAAGGAATCAAAGTTGACTTACAGAGTCAGAAAAAGCCCCCTGGGAAAACTGGCCTCGTGCCTTGTCTATGCAGTCCTTGTACAGCGATCCTGACCTGTGGTAAGTAAAGAATGTCACTTTCTAAAGAATGTCACTTTTTTTTTTTTTTTTTTTTTGAGAGAGTGTTTCACTCTGTCACCCAGGCTGGAGTGCAGTGATATGATCTTGGCTTACTGCAACCTCCGCCTCCCACGTTCAAGTGATTCTCCTAACTCAGCCTCCGAGCAGCTGGGATTATAGGCATGTGCCACTATGCCAGGCTAAATTTTTTTTGTATTATTAGTAGAGACAGGCTTTTCACCATGTTAGCCAGGCTGGTCTCAAACTCCTGACGTCAAGTAATCAACCCACCTCAGCCTCCAAAAGTGCTGGGGTTACAGGTGTGACGACCACACCTGGCCAAAAATGTCACTTTCTGGCCCAGGAGTCCCAATTATCCTGGGAAATTGAGAGGAAAGAAATGTACCCAATTCATACGAGTATTTGAAGGTACAAACCCGTGGCTAGGATCAGTGCTTTAAAAGCTCTAATCTGAGATTCCTTATGGAACAAAGTTCCATCAAATCCAATTTAAAAAGAGCCTATATGGCAAATAATTACTCTTGCTGCACTTTATACAAATAATCAGACCTAGTATAATAAGACTAAAACTTAGTTTGCAAATAAATGAGTCCTACCATGATTTGTTTTTAATAAAAATGGGAATGAGAGAAAAATTATTTTTCAAAAACCGTGATACACCTGTTATTAGATTCTAGTCTCATCTGTTGAGTTTTTTCTGCAATTTAGACTGACTCTGCTTCTTCCTGTGAACCAACCAGTGATCTCTGGCTGCTGCTCAGAAGAAACAAAAGGGGAAGGTAATGTAAAAATCTGGATCAATATTTTAATTCTGGGCATGTATTGGAATCAGCTAGTGACTGTATCAGCTTGGTTCCAACAACTGCCCCGTTCATGAAAAGCTTTCTTATTTAGTTCACTTGGAATAATTTTACTTATTTCGCTTTACTTTTGTGGAATATATTGCTGTCATATTCTTTGTGTAAAAATGCAAGAAAAGCTTATTCAATGTTTTCTTAAATTGAGCACTTATTAGTCTTTCAGATATCACCTTTTGTCAGAACTCAGAGTTATGACGGGCCCTCACCATACTGAGGCTTTCTGACTGAGCTCCTCTCTACCCTGGATACAAGAGACCCTAATAGGCAGGAATATCATTGCCCCTAGTCAGCCTAAAGAAGTTACAGTGGATGGATCTTTGCCCCTCTGCAACCCTTAGGATTAAAGATCCCCTTGTAAAAAGGAGGGGGGAAATATGTCAGAAGTGTTTGAACCAGAGCAACTGCATCTTGAACAGGGTCTGGGTAAAATAAAGCTGAGACCTGCTGGGCTGCATTCCCAGATTAGGCATTCTTAGTTGCAGGATGAGATAGGAGGTCAGCACAAGATACAGGTCACAAAGACCCTGCTGATAAAACAGGATGCAGTAAAGAAGCTGGCCAAAACACGCCCAAACCAAGATACAGATGGAACTGACTTCTGGTTGTCCTCATTGCTCTTTATACACTAATTATAATGTGTAACCATGCTAGAAGACACTCCCACCAGTGCCACGACAGTTTACAAATACCATGGCAATGTCTAGAAGTTACCCTAAATGGTCAAAAAGGAAAAGGAACCCTCAGTTCCAAGAAATCGCCACCCCTTTCCTGGAAAACTCATGAATAATCCACCCCATATGTAGCATATAATCAAGAAATAACCACAAAAATATCCAACCAGCAGCCCTCAGGGCTGCTCTGCCTATGGACCAGCCATTCTTTTGTTTCTTCTCTAATAAACTTGCTTTCACTTTACTCTATAGACTTACCCTGACTTCTTTCCTGTGTAAGATCCAAGAACCCTCTCTTGGGGACTTGATCAGGACCCCATTCTGGTAATAATATGACCCAACAATTGCACTCCTAGGTATATACCCAAGAGAAATAAAAACATGTCTATACAAAAACTCATACACAGATGTCCACGGCTGGGCTTGATGGCTCACCCCTGTAATCCCAGCACTTTGGGAGGCTGAGGTGGGCAGATCACTTGAGCTCAGGAGTTCAAGACCAGCCTGGCCAACATGGTGAAACTGCGTCTCTACTAAAAATACCAATATTAGCTGGGTGTAGTTGTGTGCACCTGTAATCCCAGCTACTCAGAAGGCTGGGCCAGGAGAATCATTTGAACTGGAAAGACGGAGGTTTCAGTGATCCGAGCAACACTCCATCTCTTAGAAAGAAAGAAAATGTTCATAAGCAGCATTGTTTGTAATAGCCAAAAGCAGAAACAACTCAAATGTCCACCAACTGATGAATGGATTTACAAAACGTGGTATATACATATAATGGAAGATTATTTGGCAATAAAAAGAAACGGGGCTGGGCACAGTGGCTCACACCTATAATCCCAACAATTTGAAAGGCCAAGGTGGGAGGATCGCTTGAGCCCAGTTGTTTGAGACCAGCCTGGGTAATACAGTGAGACTTCATCTGTATAGGAAAAAAATTTTAAGTAAAAAATAAAAAGAAATAAAGTATTGATACATGATACAACATGGATAAAGTTTGAAAACATTATGCTAAGTGAAAGAAGCCAGTCACAAGAACACATATTATTCCATTCATATGAAATATTGAGAATAGGCAAGTTCACAGAAACAAAGAAGTAGATTAGGGTTCCCAGGGGCTGGAGAGAGGAGGCTGAAGGGTGGGGTGAAAAAAGGAGCAATTACTAATGGGTATGGGGTTTCTTGCTGGGGTGATGAATATGTTCTGAAGATTGATTATGGTGACAGTTACACAATTCTGTGACTATACTAAAAATCAGGCACTTGTTCTTCAAGTCACGCACTTGGGTGTCTTCCAAGCATACTTTCTCTTTTTTTATTTTCTAAAGACTTTTAAAAATAAACTTCCAGCCAGGCGCGGTGGCTTACACCTGTAATCCCAAGCACTTTGGGAAGCCGAGGTGGGTGGATCACCTGAGGTCAGGAGTTGGAGACCAGCCTGGCCAACATGGTGAAACCTCATCTCTATTAAAAATACAAAAAAAAAAAATTAGCTGGGCATGGTGGCAGGCGCCTGTAATCCCAGCTGCTCAGGAGGTTGCGGCAGGAGAATCGTTTGAACCCAGGAGGCAGAGGTTGCCGTGAGCCGAAATCACACCATTGCACTCCACCCTGGACGACAAGAGCAAGACTCCATCTTAAAAATAAAATAAAATCCCTTTGGCCATGGGGATGGTTGGAACTCAGACCTGGCAGAAAAATATGGCTCAGGAGACTAACCAGACCCCGGGGCCCATGCTGTGTAGCACAGGATGTGGCTTTTATGGAAATCCTAGGACAAATGGAATGTGTTCAGTTTGCTACAAAGAACATCTTCAGAGGCAGCAGAATAGTGGCAGAATGAGCCCAATGGGGACAGCTAGTGGTTCCAACAGTCCTACCTCAGATTCTGCATCTGTACAGAGAGCAGACACTAGCTTAAACAACTGTGAAGGTGCTGCTGGCAGCACATCTGAAAAATCAAGAAATGTGCCTGCGGCTGCCTTGCCTGTAACTCAGCAAATGACAGAAATGAGCATTTCAACAGAGGACAAAATAACTACCCCGAAAACAGAGGTGTGAGAGCCAGTTGTCACTCAGCCCAGCCCATCAGTTTTTCAGCCCAGTACTTCTCAGAGTAAAGAAAAAGCTCCTGAATTGCCCAAACCAAAGAAAAACAGATGTTTCATGTGCAGAAAGAAAGTTGGTCTTACAGGTTTGACTGCCGATGTGGAAATTTGTTTTGTGGACTTCACCGTTAACTCTGACAAGCACAACTGTCCGTATGATTACAAAGCAGAAGCTGCAGCAAAAATCAGAAAAGAGAATCCAGTTGTTGTGGCTGAAAAAATTCAGAGAATATAAATTACTTCTTGTGAAGAGACTGAAACTTTGTTTTTATTTTAATACATCATAGGAAAACATTAAAGAGCAGATGCATGGCCATTTTTAAAAAAAAATAAATAAATAAAAATAAAATAAAATAAAATAAACTTCCACTCTTGCTCTGGGAAAAAATCATTGAGGAATATACTTTAAATGGGTGAGTGGTATGGCATATAAATTATATCTCAATAAAGCTTTTTTTTTTTTAAGAAAAAAAAGAACACTGAAGCCTGGATAAAGACTGTACCAGCTGGACAGAGTTTAGATTCAGTTGTAATATCCCATAAGCCCATTAAGACCCATAGCCAACCTGTAAAAC
This sequence comes from Homo sapiens, assembly GCF_000001405.40. NCBI lineage: Eukaryota > Metazoa > Chordata > Mammalia > Primates > Hominidae > Homo > Homo sapiens. Next base: position 42,484,732 of record NC_000019.10, on the reverse strand, counting down.
TGCAATAATCTGAACTTTGACTTTACTTTTAAAAAAAAAAACCTAACATTGAAGCCTAGGACCCCATTTTTGGTCATTCCCTACCAGCTTTGTACCACTTGTTTAATTGATTTAATGGCAAACATAGCCAAAGTAACGATGTGTATTTACTGAGCATCTATTATGTGATAGCTACTTTTCTAGGACCCAGGATTCAATAGTGAGACATGTAGTCCCTGCATACAAAATGCTTACAATACATTCACCAGGTAATCTTGAGAGGGCATGGTAAGCGCTACACAGGGGTAAGTACTGGGTACTTCAGAAGCATGACCTGGGGTTGGGGTGTTAGCATAGCATAGCACAGAAGAAGGGATGTCTAAACCAAAGATAACTAAAGTTGATAAGAAAGAGGCGTAACAGGAGCATTCTAGGCAGACAGAATAACTGCAAAGGCCCAGATACAATAGAGAACAGGGGTATTTAAGGAATTAAAGTATGTGTTGTGTACCTGGAGTACAAGAATGGGGGAAAGGTGGGGGCAGGATTAGCACAGATGAAGCTGGAGAAGACTGAGTTCTTTTAAATTTGTAATATAACAACAACAAAAAAAGCTTGGGGGCCCTATTGAAGAGATCAAAGTGCATCCTGAGGGCAACAGAGAACCATTTAAAGGGCTTTAATATTAGGGAAAATGTGATTAGAATTTTGTTTCATACATCCACTTCACCCACACTGCAGAAAATGAATTAGAGTGGCATGGAATTAGACTGAAGACAAAAAAGTGGAATCAGAGAGAAGGCTGCTGCAGTGATCTAGAAAAGGAAATGGCTGAATCAGTAGTGTGAGTAAGGTTGGAAAAAGAAGTGGACAGCTTGAGAGATATTTAGCAGGTAGTATTGTCAAGACTGAGTGATCGACTAGATGTGGGGGTGATAAAAGAGTAATCAAAGATGGTGGCCAGATTTCCGGTGTGGATCTTTGTGGGGTACCATCCACTGAAATTTTTTTTTTTAATTTTTTGAGACAGGGTCTCACTCTGTCACCTAGGCTACAGTGCAGTCATGTGATCACAGTTCACTGCAGACTCAACCTCCGGGGCTCAAGCAATCCCGACCTCCTGAGTACCTGGTACTATAGGCACATGCCACCACGCCGAGCTAATTTTTTTTTTTTAAGACATGAAGTCTCATTATGTTGCCCAGGTCACAGGCATGAGCCATCGCGCCCAGCCATCTCTGTCTCTCTTTAAATGGAGATGGGGTCTTACTCTTTGCTTGGTCACAAACTCCTGGACTCAAGCAATCCTCCCGCCTCAGCCTCCCAAAAGTGCTGGGATTACAGGTGTGAGCTGCTGCACCTGGCTAAAATTTTGTTTTAAACAATCAAGTTTAGAGGCAAGATAAGTTCAGTTTTTTTGGACATGTTGCATATTCAAAAGCAGATGTCCAATAAACTGTTGAGATATACAATTCCAGAGAGATGGAGGGCTGGGTGCAGTGGCTCACACCTGTAATTCCAGCACTTTGGGAGGCCAAGGCAGGCGGATCACTTGAGGTCAGTAGTTTGAGACCAGCCTGGCCAACAAGGCGAAACGCTGTCTCTACTAAAAATACAAAAACTAGCCAGGTGTGGTGGTGGGCACCTGTAATCTCAGCTACCTGGGAGGCTGAGGCAGGAGAATCGCTTGAACCCGGGAGGGAGAGGTTTCAGTGAGCAGAGATCATGTCACTGCACTCCAGCCTGGGCGACAGAGGGAGACTCTGTCTCAAAAAAAAAAAAAAAAAAAAAAAAAAAAAGAGAGAGAGAGAGAACGAGAGAGATGGAGGACAGGCACAGTCGCTCACACCTGTAACCCCAGCCCTTTGAAAGGCTTAGGTAGCTGAATAGCTCGAAGCCAGAGGAGTTCAAGATCAGCCTGTTCAACATAGCAAGACCCTGTCTCTACCAAAAAAAAAAAAAAAAAGTTTTTAATTAGCTGGGCACAGTTGGCCAGGCACGGTGGCTCACACCTGTAATCCCAGCACTTTGGGAGGCCGAGGTGGGCGGATCACGAGGTCAGGAGATGGAGACCATCCTGGCTAACACGGTGAAACCCCATCTCTACTAAAAATACAAAAAAATTAGCTGGGCGTGGTGGCGGGCACCTGTAGTCCCAGCTACTCGGGAGGCTGAGGCAGGAGAATGGAGTGAACCCGGAAGGCAGAGCTTGCAGTGAGCTGAGATTGCGCCACTGCATTCCAGCCTGGGCAACAGAGCGAGACTCTGTCTCAAAAAAAAAAAAAAAAAATTAGCTGGTTACAGTGGCTCACACCTGTATCCCAGCACTTTGGGATGCTAAAGTGGAAGGATTGCTTGAGTCCAGGAGTTAAAAGTTATAGTGAGCTATGATCGCACCACTGCATTCTATCCTGGGCGAAAGAGTAAGACCCCATCTCTGTTTAAAGAGAGAGAGAGATGGCCGGCGTGATGGCTCACGCCTGTAATCCCAGCACTTTGGGAGGGCGAGGCGGGCAGATCACAAGGTCAGGAGATTGAGACCATCCTGGCTAACACAGTGAAACCCCGTCTCTACTAAAAATACAAAAAATTAGCCAGGCGTGGTGGTGGGCACCTGTAGTCCCAGCTACTCGGGAGGCTGAGGCAGGAGAATGGCATGAACCCAGGAGGCAGAGGTTGCAGTGAGCCGAGATCACACCACTGCATTCCAGCCGGGGCAACAGAGCAAGACACCATCTCAAAAAAAAAAAAAAAGAGAGAGAGAGAGAGATGGGCCATTCATCAGGTATCAATTATAACTGAAGTCACAGAGGGAACATGAGTATATAGAAAGAGAAGAGGACATTAGGACAGAACCCTACAGACCAATGACATTTAAGGAATGGAATGGACACATCAGAGAAGGTGGTAAGGAAAACTCAAAAGGAACGGGCGAAGAGGTAGAAGAGAACCCAACAGTGTGAGGGCCAGAGCAGCAGTTCCAAAGCAAAGCACTGGCGGACTGTGGTAAGTGGGCTGCAACGCCAAGTAAAACAAGGGTGAAAGGGTCATTCTATTTTGCAACTGTGTCATCATTGGCGACACTGGTAAGAGTAGTTTTGGTTGCACAACGGGAATAAATCTACTCTAGGATGCTCAGGAGTAGATGGGAGATAAGTAAATGGAGATAGTAACTATAAACTCTTTTTAAGTATTAGTTTAGGCCAGGCACGGTGGCTCAAGCCTGTAATCCCAGCAATCTGGGAGGCCGAGGAGAGCAGATCACCTGAGGTCAGGAGTTTAAGACCAGCGTGGCCAATATGGTGAAACCCCGTCTCTACTAAAAATACAAAAATTAGCCGGGCGTGGTGGTACATGCCTGTAGTCCCAGGTACTTGAGAGGCTGAGGCAGGAGAATTGCTTGAACTCGGTAGGAGGTTGCGGTAAACCGAGATTGCAACACTGCACTCCAGCCTGGGCAACAGAGCGAGATACTGTCTCAAAAAAAAATAATAAGCATAAATAAATAAATGTTTGCTTCTAAAAAAAGAAGAGAGTGATACGGTAGAAGCCAGTAAGAGAAGTAGAGTTCAAAAAGGGGATTTTTTAATATAAGACAGGCTTAAATATATTTAAATATTGAAATATTGAAATAGATGCACAGTTTTTAGTTTCCTATTACGATCATGCTCTTTCTTCTAACTACTTCCTTCCTTCTCACAGGAAATTATTACTGAAATACCAAGCATTCAGCCTAGTCCTGCGGTTTGCTGCACAGAATGCCAGTCACTGAGTCAACAAGTATTTCCAGGAAGGAGGGCTTGAATCTGGTGCTGCAGTGAAGGTCAACAGGAGATAAAGTCTCAGATCAATCTCTGACAGACTGAAACTGGGGAGTTTATATAGCAGGGAAGGTGGGAAAACAGAAATTAGGGAGGGGTAGGGAAGCAGTCACGATGGATGAGGAGTCTGGTATCTCGTTGTCTGGGTGTGAGGATCTGATGGGTTTCAGTTCCTTGCCTGAGGGTAGGTTTCCTAAGGAAGGAACTCAGATGAGACAGATACAAGTTTAGAGTTCTAAGACTAGGGAAGGTCAATTTCTATGTTTATTAAAAAAACCTGTAAACATTAGTCCTGTGGGACAATTGCGCTGGTTTCAAAATCTGGAAGGGAAGAGCTAGCTGAAGATAAGACAGATCCTAAGTATTTTAAGCCAGACCAGCTTCACGACAGATTTGATTTATCAACATTTCAAACATAATGCCTCCATACCGCATTAAAATCTGCTCTCCTATAACCAGGTCTTTTCTCTGCTTATGACCACATATAATATAAAACTACTGATTTGCTCATCATCTTTTAAACAAATCATATTCTTCTAAAATAGGACTTTCAAAACTATAAATAGTTGCTAACTTAGAAAAATCCAGTGGAGACTGCTAATGGTTTCCTTCTTTCTCTCTTCCTATGCTAGCAGTAGAATCTCCATTGCTACTTCTGTGGGAGTGCTTGTTTGTTAATGTTTTGGGAGAAACTGTGGTTTCTTTTTTTTTCTTTTTTTTTTTTTTTTTTTGAGACAAGAGTCTCTTGTTGCCCAGGCTGGAGTGCAATGGTGCGATCTCCACTCACCGCAACCTCTGCCTCCCGGGTTCAAGTGATTCTCCTGCCTCAGCCTCCTGAGTAGCTGGGATTGCAGGTATGTACCACCACGCCCAGCTAATTTCATATTTTTAGTAGAGACGAGGTTTCTCCATATTGGTCAGGCTGGTCTCGAATTCCCTACCACAGGTGATCCGCCCTCCTCAGCCTCCCAAAGTGCTAGGATTACAGGCGTGAGCCACCGCCCCTGGTGAAACTGGTTTCAAAGATGGAAAAGGGAAGAATCTGTCAAAGCAGTAAGCGCACAGGAATGCTAACCCTAGGACTGACTCCAGGTAGGGTTGAGTAACTCCCATTGGGCAGTTACTCGAAGATTTTACCCCCACTCTGCCTAAAATTTTCATCCCACTTTATTAAACTACATGGTATTTCATCCAATTCATTTAGCAAATGACTCTGAGAAGATTACAGAGCTTTCAGCTATACATGAATCACTTGTACAAACTGCTTTTCCCTTACCACCCAGCTTCCATCTAACACACTGAGTTGGGAGCTTTAATGGGAATGGGGTAGGATTGGGAAAATGACTCAAAAGCAAAGGAAATTTGGGCCAAAAGGAAATTTGGGCCATAAATGAGGAAGAAGATAGGCCTGGATCAGATATTAAAGTAGAGGGATAAGGGTAGCATCAAAGTCCTATATACCTTAAATCTTAGAAGAGGGAGAAGAGTTCAAAAAAAGGGTGCAAGAGATGAAAAGATATCAAAGGTAAGCATCATTTTTAAAGTGTGCCTCATGTTAATCCTGTGCCAGGAATGGTAGATAGGACTCTTTTCCCTTCCCTGGGATACTTCTAACATTTAGAACCCAAGTGTAGTAGGGTTCTCCAGAGAAGCAGAACCAACAAGATATGTGTGTGTGTGTGTGTGTGTAAAAAGAGCTTTATTATAAAGAATTGTCTCACACAATTATGGAGGCTGACAAGTCCCAAGAGCTTCAGGGTGAGCTGGAAAGCTAGAGACCCAAGAGAGCCAGTTGTATAGTTTCAGTCCAAAGGCCAGCAAGGCTCAAGAGGTGATGATTCAGTTTGAGTCTGGAGACAGGAAGAAGCCAATATCCCAGTTTGAAAGTGGTCAGGCAGGAGGAATTCCTTTCCTCAAGGGAGGATAAATCTTTTTATTCTATTCAGGCCTTCAACTGATTGGATGAGGCCCACCCATATTAGGGAGAGCAATCTACTTTATTCAATCTATCAATTTAAATCTTAATCTCATGCAAAAATATCTTCACAGAAATACCCAGAATAGGCCGGGAGCAGTGGCTCAGGCCTGTAATCCAGCACTTTGGGAGGACAAGGTAGGCGGATCATGAGGTCAGGAGTTCAAGACCAGCCTGGCCAACATGTAGAAACCCCGTCTCTACTAAAAATACAAAAATTAGCCAGGTGTGGTGGCATGAGCCTGTAATCCCAGCTACTCAGGAGACTGAGGCAGGAGAATTGCTTGAACTTGGGAGGTGGAGGTTGCAGTGAGCCGAGATCACGCCGTTGCACTCCAGCCTGGGCGACAGAGCAAGGTTCCATCTTGGGGGAAAAAAAAAAAAAACACCCAGAATAATGTCTGACCAAATCCCTGGGCACGTCATGGTCCAGCTAGGTTGACAAGTAAAAGTAAGCATAACACTAAGTTAGTAATACAGCTCAGCCACATTGTCCATTCAACATTTACAAAGACCTGTGCTAGACACTCTGGAATACTCATAGCTAAATTACATATGATTCCTTCCTTCTAGTGTAAGAATGATAACCCATATATAATTCTAGGTAGAGAGCATTAAGTACCACAAGGGGGTCTAAAAATTGAGATGACTTCGGTAGGGAGAGATTATTTTTTCCATAAGGTTTCATGAAAAGCATTTCAGCAGGGCACTGAAGAATGATGACAATGGCATAAAGGAAAAAACATTCCTAACGAAGAAAGGAAACATAAAAAGACAAAGAATCAGGAAACCATGGCAAGTCATGTAGTTTAACTGTTATTTATTTATTTATTTATTTATTTATTTATTTATTTATTTTTATTTAGATGGGGTCTCACTCTGTTGCCCAGGCTGGAGTGCAGTGATACCATCTTGGCTCACTGAGGCCTTGACCTCCTGGGCTCACAAGTGATCTTCTCACCTCAGCCTCTCAAGTAGCTGGAACTATAGGTGTGCACCACCATGCCCAGCTAATTTTGTTTATTTTTTGTAAAGACAAGGTCTCAGCCAGGCGTGGTGGCTCACGCCTGTAATCCTAACACTTTGGGAGACCGAGGCAGGCAGATCACGAGGTCAAGAGATCGAGACCATCCTGGCCAACATGGTGAAACCCTGTCTCTACTAAAAATACAAAAATTAGCTGGGTGTGGTGGTGCATGCCTGTAGTTCCAGCTACTGGGGAGGCTGAGGCAAAAGAATCGCTTGAACCCGGGAGGCGGAGGTTGCAGTGAGCCGAGATCGCACAACTGCACTCCAGCCTAGTGACAGAATGAGACTCTGTCTCAAAAGAAAAAAAAAAAAAAAAAAGACAAGGTCTCTCTACATTGCTCAGGTTGCTCTAGAACTCCTGGGCTCAAGTGATCCTCCCACTTTAGCCTCCCAACATGCTGGGATTATAGGTGTGGGCCACCGCACCCTGCCAATTTTATTCTTTTTTTTTTTTTTTCCAGAAACAAGGTCTCACTCTGTCACCCAGGCTGGAGTGCCCTGGTATAATCATGGCTCACTCAGCCTTGACCTGCTGGGCTCAAGTGATCCTCTCACCTCAGCCTCCCAAGTAGCTGGGACAACAGGTGCATGCCACCACACCTGGCTAATTTTTTAATGGAGATCTTGCTGTGTTGCCCAGGCTGCTCTTGGACTCCTGGCCTCAAGCAATCTTCCTACCTTGGCCTTCCAAAGTGTTGGGATTACAGGCATCAGCCACTGTGCCAGCCAAATGTATTTTAAAGTATATGAGGAAGAACAAAAGCGATTTGTATAACAGTAGGTAGCAAAAGGAATTCAGAACTTCCCAATCTCCCCAGTAGGTCTTTCTAAAAACCTTTGGCCCAGAATCTTTCTGGAACTGTCTCAGTTCAACTGCTAAATACTTCTGGGAAGTAACTTACTTCCATTCTGCTAATTCCTGCCATTTCCTAGAGTTTCCCTCCTTCTCAGGCCTTAGATATGCCCAGTACCCCATTAGGCTCTAGATTTAAAAGGCTTTTGAGGGGGAATCCGAGCACCTAATCAACATTTACAGCATATTTCATGAAACATATTTCAAATACAAAACATGAATTTCAAATTCATGAAACAAATATCTATCATTGCCTAGTATGTATCACGTATTGTGATAAGTCCAGGGACTACAAAAATGAATAAAAATATGTTTCCTGCCCTAAAGGAACCCACTGTCAACTTTGGAACAAAGACTCTTCACAAAATGGAAAATGCCTATGGAGACATCTTGAGAAGAGCCAAACATATCTTCTGGCTGGGCACGATGGCTCACGCCTGTAATCTCAGCACTTTGGGAGGCTGAGGTAGGGGGATCATTTGAGGTCAGGAGTTCAAGACCAGCCTGACCAACATGGTGAAACCTCATCTCAAATGAAAATACAAAAATTAGCTGGGCGTGGTGGCGCACGCCTGTAATCCCAGCTACTCAGGAGGCTAAGGCAGAAGACTTGCTTGAACCCAGGAGGCGGAGACTGCAGTGAGCCAAGATCATGCCACTGCACTCCAACCTGGGCGATTGAGTGACTGCCTCAAAAAATATATGTGTGTGTTTGTATGTGTGTGTGTATTTGTGTGTGTGTGTGTGTGTGTGTGTGTGTGTGTATCTTCCACGTCAGTTCTAACCAAGAAAGCAATTTTGCCTGATTTGTGACCACAGGAAAAAGGGTGCTCACTTTACTTTCAAATCAGTGCCCCAGTCACTGTTAGCACAAGCCACAGCAGTGGAGTAACCAACACATGATGTAAAATGCCTTCTATTTGCCTGGTGCTATGGCAAGTACTACAGGCAAGATCTGTAAAGATGGAAAGGGGCATCCCAGAGAAGAAAGCAGCAATCACAGCTAACGCAACTTATCCTGCTTCTGGGCTTCATCTTCCCCTAACTCATAGATTCAATCTGTCCTCCACTTTGACAGTCAAAGAGATCACCCTAAAACACAAGTCTGCTAATGTCAATGATACTGCCTTTGGAAAAATTATAACAGTGAAAAAAATATGGCAGTAAGAGATCTTATCTAACCCATGCTCCCCCATCTTGCCTTTCCCTTAATCATTCCTATGCTTAGGCTAAACTAACTTTGGGAGACATTTGGTTTATAGTTTAAATGATAAGAAACCTTCCCCAAAACTCAACCACCTTTGTAAAGCTAATGAAAGGCCATCAGGATAGAGGGAGGAGAGGAACCTGAATTCTGCTAAGCTGTAGACTGGTCACCAGATATGTCCTGCACATAACATCACTGTTGTAGATTGGCCTTTTGAGATATCTTTTCAGGTTTTTTGCATGTCTGACACCCAGAGCTCCACCTGGACCTGCCAACTCCACTCCTGTGGCCCTAGCCAGAAGCAACTCGCTAAAGAGAGCAGCTTCAAGATCCTATGATTTCATCTCCACCCAAACCAATCAGCCGCAAGCACTCCAACCCCTTCCCCCAAACTGCCTTTGAAAAACCTCTAACCTGGGGGGAGGGGGGAGGGATAGCATTTGGAGATATACCTAATGCTAAATGACGAGTTAATGGGTGCAGCACACCAACATGGCACACGTATACATACGTAACAAACCTGCACATTGTGCACATGTACCCTAAAACTTAAAGTATAATAATAATAAAATAAAATAAAATAGGAAAAAAATAAAAACCTCTAACCTATGAGCTGAAGATGAGGTTGATTTGAATAACAACTCCATCTCCCATGTGGTGTGGCCAGCCTTGTGTCAATTAAACTCTTTCGTCCCACCGCATAAACTCTTTCTTTACTGCAATGCTGTGGTCATTATTTGTACAGCAGGCAGGAAGAACCCATTGGGTGGTTACATCAATACCCTGCCTAAAATCTAGGTATAGTTCTCCATCACCTTGAGGATAAAATCTAAACTTCTTCACCAAGCATACCAGGCTCTTCGTAATCTGGTCCCTGATTACTTCTAATCACTGTGCCTGTGTACTCTCTGTGACAACAGGCTCAGCTACTTGCAGTTCCCGGAACACATCACTGACTTTGCACTCCCTCACATCACAGACTTTGCGTGTATTGTTCCTTCTCCCTAGACGGCCCTCCTCTCAATTTCTACTCCTCTTTCAGAACTTAGCTCTTAAAAATAGAAAGAAAAGAGAAGAAAAGAAAAGGTTTCTCTGTTCTCAGCATTCTCATCCCAGGATGAGTTAGTAAGCCCTCCCCTATGCTCCTGTAACACTTGATTTGTCCTTTAATCATAACGCTTGTTATTCTTTTTTTTTTTTTTTTTTTTTTTTGCGACAGAGTCTCGCTCTTGTCGCCCAGGCTGGAGTACAATGGCACGATCTCAGCTCACTGCAACTTCCGCCTCCCGAGTTCAAGCAATTCTCCTGCCTCAGCCTCCCAAGTAGCTGGGACTACAGGCACCCATCATCATGCCTGGCTAATTTTTGTATTTTTAGTAGAGATGGGGTTTCTCCATGTTGGCCAAGCTAGTCTCAAACTCCTGACCTCAGGTGATCCAACTGCCTCAGCCTCCCAAAGTGCTGGGATTACAGGCATGAGCCACCGTGCCTGACCCATGCTTGTCATTCTGTTCTGTAACTGTTTGACTTGTCTCCTTTAAAAGACTATGAGCTCCTTAAGGGCCACCATGTTTTTATTTCCATTAATATACTTAGTACCTAATATAGTGCTTAGTATCTAGCAGGCATTCAGGAAACTACATGCTTATTAAGGAATTCAATGAGTGAATAAACAGCACCAAACATTTACTGGATTCCATGTGTGAGGCACATGGTGAAGTCTTAAACTTAATCAATGTATTGAGTTTGTGAAAGGAAAATAAAATCTTGGGATCCCAAATTCACTATGCCAAAGGGAAAAGTTAAGCTTGGGAACTGAGTCATGCAGAAACTGCCTTCTTTTTGTTCCTAAACAGATAGCTGTAATTTCACAGTCTTACATTATCTTATGTAAAATGTAGATCTATTGAGCACTAGATAAATGCATAATTGACTTCCCCTCCATTCCTTTCTTTTCACATGTAAAATGCGAATTCACTGAGTGCTAATCAAAGCCTCCCAAGAATGTAACTGTTTGCCTCACTGCCTACCCTCCCCTTTCTTTTTCTTTCCTCCTCCTCCTCCTGCCTGTTCTTTCTCCTTTAAATATTGAAGTCCTCGGCTGGGCACGGTGGCTTACGCCTGTAATCCCAGCACTTTAGGAGGCTGAGGGGGGCGGATCACGAGGTCAGGAGATTGAGACCATCCTGGCTAACACGGTGAAACCCTGTCTCTACTAAAAATACAAAAAAAAAAAATTAGCCAGGCATGGTGGCGGGCACCTGTAGTCCCAGCTACTCAGGAGGCTGAGGCAGGAGAATGGCGTGAACAAGGGAGGCGGAGCTTGCAGTGAGCCCCGAGATCGTGCCACTGCACTCCAGCCTGGGCAACAGAGCAAGACGCCATCTCAAAAATAAATAAATAAATAAAGACAAAAATAAAATAGTCTTCCTGTATCATAGAATCATAAACTCTCTAGCTAGAGAAACTCCTCTACAATCACATGATCCAAACTTCTTACTGTATAGATAAGGGATCTAAGGTCCAGAGAAATTAAAAGAATACATGGCCAAATCAAGGTCACAATATGAACATCATTCCCCTCCTCAAAAACCTTCAGATAAATTCCAAACTCCTTAGCACGGCATTCAAAGCTCTTTACAACCTGACCTCAACCCACCTATTCAATCTCATTTCCCTCTCATGTCTCCTACAAGCCCTTGGTTCCAATCTGTTTTCTTCCTATCCTCTGAACTTATGCTACTTGGCCTCATTCTGTTCTTTTTCTGGAGTGTCCCTCCACCTTCCTCTCCAACCTTTGCAGGTTTGCAACACTCACTTGTTCAGAAAGCCTTCCCTGGCTTAGCCCATGGGGCAGCTCTCATAGCTCTGAACTCCCAAAGCCTTCATGGTCCATGACACTTGTTGGCTGATGTTATTGCGAAAGTTTCCCATTCACAATAATTGCACCTCGGATAAACCTCATTGGCTACAATAATACCACTGCGCACAACCAGCCAGTATTATTTTACATGCATTCCCAACATTGTGATTTACATGATCTTCTATCTTATTACCTCTCACCCCATCTAGACTGCAACCTCCTTAAAGGCAAGAGATTGTACTTTATATTTCTCCACAGCTCCCAACTGCACCTAACCTGTGACTATGAGCATTTACTGAGCACCTATAATGTGTAAGTTGCTGTTCTAAGGCCTTTGTGTACATGATGTCATTTGATCCTCATAATTCAGCCAGGCACGGTGGCTCACGCCTATAATTCCAGAACTTTAGGTGGCTGAGGTGGGAGGACTGCTTGAGCCCAGCAGTTTCAGACGAGCCTGGGCAATATAGAGAGACTTCATCTCCACAAGAAATTTAAAAATTAGCCAGGCATGGTGGCACACATCTGTAGTCCCAGCTACTTGGGAGGCTGAGATGGGAAAATTGCTTGAGCCCAGGAAGACGAGGCTACAGTGAGCTGTGATCAAGCCACTGCACTCCAGCCTGGTAACAGAATGAGACTCTGTCTCAAAAAAGATCTTCATAATTTTCTCAAATGAGAAAAGTGAGGCTCACAAAAGAGTAAACTGTCAAGATCACACAACTTAACTAAAAAGTGGCAGAGCTATAGTGAAATGCAGGTTCCTCAGCTTCCATAAAAACATTTAGCCAAAAACCATGCTGCCTCTAACCCAGTTGGTGTCTTGAATGGGACAGGTGCACCCGAACTGCTCAGTGACTAACCAAGACATTCACAAGCCCAGGCAGAGGGCCAAAGTATACATGACAAAGAATCAGAGCAGGCTTGATGCTCCCTTCCCCTGAAGCCCAGATTTGGGTTTCCCCAGGTCCCTGCAGGGTCTCCTTTGTTTCTTGGCATTGACTCTTCACCTTGTGCCAATTTAGGCAGAGGCCCCACTCTGTTCCCCAGGTAGCTTATCCAGGAGCCCTGACCAAATGGGTAAGACAGCAGGATACAAAAAGCCAGATTCCTCTGAAGCAGTGAGAAAAGTGATTCTTGAGCAACTGGCTCACTGGAAGGGAGCCCTTTCCTATGGCCACCCTGCTCCTGTGTTTTCCTTTCGGGGCCTGTTAGGCAACTTTGGGATTAGAGAAACAAGACTTTGCCAACAAACTGTGTCTAACAGAGTCGGAGTGGAAGAAGCCCTGACACCTTGCAAACCCTGGACAGCGGGAAGACCCGTCTCTCTCCTGCCTTGCCCTGACTGAGGGCCACATCCTCCGTGTGCCCATGGGGAAACACAGCTTGGAAAACAGGCTTTTCTACCCTGGCGGCAACAGCTGCCATTTACTGCCATCAGTTATGTAATTTAATAACTTATTGCCAAGCTCTATACCTGGTACTTTAAATGCTTTGTGTTTTTGGGGGGCTTTTTTGTTTTTTTCCCCCCACCTCAATCCTTGTTAACATTCTGTGGACTATAGTCCACTGCAGTAGTTAAGGACACAGGCTCTGAGGTTGGGCTTCCATGTTCAGAATCCCAGCTCCACAACTTAAGAATTGTGTTACTGTTGGCATGCTGCTTAACCTCTCTATGCCTCAGTTTTCTTATCTGAGAAATGACAACTACAATAGTACCTAATTCCTAGAGATATATGGGGATTAACTGTATTAATAAATATAAAGTGCTCAATACAGTAGCTATTATAACTATTACATGGTATCATCTTCATTTTACAAATGTCGCAATTGAGCCCTAGAGAGCTTAAGTCAGTTGTCCAAGATCACGCAGATAATAGAGAACAAAGTGGATTTAAATCCAGGTCCAGTCTGTCTGACTCCCAAGGCACCAAACACCCAGTGCTTGAAGTTTCTCTCTCTGTGTCTCTTTCTCTCAAGCTGAACTATACTTACAGAGCTGTTGGGGTGGTTAAAGAGCTACAATAGGACCCAAGTTAGAATTAAGTTCCCAGGGTCACCCTGAAGAAGTGAAATTATGTAGGGCCCAGAGCTGCCATTAAGAATGTGGGGTTTGGGGCCAGGCGTGGTGGCTCAGACCTATAATCCCAGCATTTTGAGAGGCCCAAGTGGGTGGATCAGCTGAGGTCAGGAGTTCGAGACCATCCTGGCCAATATGGTGAAACCCTGTCTCTACTAAAAATACAAACAAAAATTAGCTGGGTGCGGTGGTGGGCACCTGTAATCCTGGCTACTAGGGAGGCTGAGGCAGGAGAATCACTTGAACCCAAGAGGCAGAGATTGCAGTGAGCCAAGATCACACCATCGCACTGCAGCCTAGGCGACAGAGAATCCGTCTCAAAAAAAAAAAAAAAAACATGGGGTTTGGGCCAGACGCAGTGGCTCATGCCTATAATCCCAGCACTATGGGAGGCTGAGGCAGGAGGATCACTTGAGCCCAGGAGCTAGAGACTAACCTGAACAATATAGCAAGACCCCGTCCCTACAAAAATAAGTTAAAAAGTTAGCCACATGTGGTGGCACACACCTCACACCTGTGGTCTCAGCTACCCAGGAGGCTGAGGTGGGAGGATCGCTTGAGCCCAGGAGGTTGAGACTGCAGTGAGGTATGTTCACACCACTGCACTTCAGCCTGGGTGATACAGCAAGACCCTGTCTCAAAAAATAAAAAACAAAAATAAAAAAAGAATGTGGGGTTTGGGCTGAGTACAGCAGCTCAAGCTGATATATAATCCTAGCACTTTGGGAGGCTGATGCAGGAGGATCACATGAGCCCAGGAGTTTGAGACCAGTGTAGGCAACAAAGTGAGACCCTGTCTCTACAAAAAATTAGCCAAGTGTGGTCGCATGCGCCAGCTGCTCCGGAAGCTGAGGCAGGAAAATCACTTAAGCCCAAAAGGTCATGGCTGCAGTGAGTCGTGATTGTGACATGGTACTCCAGCCTGTGCAACAGAGTGAGACTCTGTCCCAAAAAAAAAAAGAATGTGTGGTTTGGAAAATTTTCACCCAGCCTACCCCCAGTGATTTTGCACAAGTGACATCAGGCTGAAATGATATCAAAAGCAGTATTAAAGGGGGAAAGAAGTCACAAAAGGGCATCATGAAGAATTAGAAGAATGGGAGAAAACAGGGAAGGAAGTCCCAGCTGCCACTGCCTTTGTGCCTCTGTGTGGTGGAGGGGACAGCAGCTTAATGTATGAGCCTCCGACAAAAATGTGGCACCAGTTGGTCTGAGTATGTCTTTTTTATTTTTTTATTTTGAGACAGACTCTGCCCTCTGTCACTCAGGCTGGAGTGCTGTGGGGCAATCATGACTCACTGCAGCCTCGACCACCAAGGCTCTAGTGATCATCTTGCCTCAGCCTCTCAAGTAGCTGGGACTACAGGCATGTGTCACCATACTCAGCTAAATTTTTAAATTTTTTTTTTTTTTTTTTTTTAGAGATAAGGTCTCGCTATGTTGCCCAGACTGGTCTTGAATTCCTGGGCTCAAGGAGTCCTCCCACCTCGGCCTCCCAAAGGATTGGGATTACAGGCATGTGCCACCATGCCTGGCCTGAGCATTTCTTGTGCATCTTTCTCCACAAATGCCCCTCCCTCCCTTTTTTTGAGATGGAGTCTCACTCTATTACCCAGGCTGGAGTGCAGTGGTATGATCTCAGCTCACTGCAACCTCCACCTGCTGGGTTCAAGTGATTCTCATGCCTCAGCCTCCCGAGTAGCTAGGATTACAAGTGTGCACCACCATGCCCAGCTAATTTTTATATATAGATAGATACCTATATATATAGATATCTATGTCTATCTATCTGTGCATGTGTGCGTGTGTGTGTGTGTATAAATATATATATATATACATATATATTTTTTTTTAGACAAAGTCTCACTCTGTCACCCAGGCTGGAGTACACTGGCAAGATTTTAGCTCCCTGCAACCTCCTCCTCCCGGGTTCAAGCAATTCTCCTGCCTCAGCCTCCTGAGTAGCTGGGATTATAGGCGTGTGCCACCTCGCCCAGCAAATTTTTGTATTTTTGGTAGAGATGGGGGTTTCACCATGTTGGCCAGGCTGGTCTCAAACTCCTGACCTCAGGTGATCCACCCACCTCGGCCTCCCAAAGTACAGGGATTACAGGCATGAGCCACCATGCCCAGCCTTAATTTTTATATTTTTAGTAGAGACAAGGTTTCACCAAGTTGGCCAGGCTAGTCTCAAACTCTTGGCCTCAAGCAATCCTCCCACTTCAGCCTCCCAAATTGCTGGGATTAAAGCCATGAGCCACCGTGCCTGGCCCTGCCCCATTTAACTACTGCCTAGCATCCTGGTCTGAATGGAGAGAAGTAATTATAGTTCCCTACGGATGACTCATGACTCCGCAAGGCTCAAATTGCCCTGCCATCTCACTACTACAGTTTGTAAGAACAACTAACAAATCCATTTCTGGTCCCCCAGGGAACATACACTCATTCTCCACTTCTGGGTGTGCTTGAGGCCATGCTGTTGTATCTGGAGAGATGAGGGGCAAGCTGAGGGATAATTGCAGTTGCCACCTCCACCACATTCCCCCCACAGCCTTTCTTAAGGAGCCCAGTGTCTTGCCTTCCCATGGCCACTGTGTCCTAAAAGGGAGAGTCAGAAAGTGGCAAGGGGCTGGACTCACACCCCACTCTCCTGTGTCAGCTGCTGCATGACTGAGCTAGCCTGTCTGGTTCTGAGAGCTCCCAAAGGCTTGCAAGACAGACAGTTGGGTACTGTGAGAATTAGCCCCAGAAGTCCATGTTCAAAAAAAGACAAACCGTTTGTTCCTGAGGAAAGAGATCCTATTTTATTTATCTTTTTTTTTTTTTTTTTTTTTGAGATGGAGTCTCACTCTGTCGCCCAGGCTGGAGTGCAGTGGCGCGATCTCGGCTCACTGCAACCTCCGCCTCCTGGGTTCAAGCGATTCTCCTGCCTCAGCCTCCCAAGTAGCTGGGATTACAGGTGCCCGCCACCACCCCGGCTAATTTTTGTATTTTTAGTAGAAGTGGGGTTTCACCATCTTGGCCAGGCTTGTCTTGAACTCCTGACCTAGTGATCCACCTGCCTCGGCCTCCCAAAGTGCTGGGATTACAGGCGTGAGCCACCACGCCCGGCTTATTTTATTTATCTTTGAGAATTCAGCAACTGGCCCTTGTTAGATACATGAAAAACATCAGTGAAATTTAATTGTTTTTAAAGGGCAGAACGCCTACATGTTGGTTAGAAACAAGCCATAAATCTGACCAATTTCCTGCATGTCAACGTGTCGCCAGTTTTCTGGGAACAGGATGATACCTCTGTCACAGAAGCGATCAAATCCTCTAGGTCCAACTCATAAATCTAAGGGTGTGATGGCTAAACAACCAACATCTGATTTCTGAGAACTGACCTTGGACTATTCAGAAGGTATGGGAATTTCATCCTCCACCTCCCAACCCCTCACATGATTCATACCCAGGAATAAAACAAGGCAGATTTCAGACTGGATTAAGAAAATTTCTAACATCTTATCCAGCCTCTGACAAGTTACCAGGACATTGCACAAAAAGCAGAAACATAAAGAGAGCAAGCCCAGCTCCTAAATCACTTCCTCTCAGCATCAGCACATCAGCAGCCACTGATCCACATTCTGACCCACACGCATGCACCAGACACATGTAATACACTCACAAAGCTTCACCTTAAACTCTTAAGTAGCAGTGACATACAAGACATTATCACAGAACACAGAATCTCACATGTGTTACAGGAGCTCCCCGGACAATACTAACCAAACCGTAAGAATCTAACTCCACCTACCCTTCACCATATCTGTATGAATACTGGGAGCTGGAACATGCACATGTGTCTCTCTGTGCCCTGGATCTGTCAGGTTCTATGGAAAAGGGGAAATATGAAACAGAGACCCTGATGGCTATGAAAAGAATTTCCTGCTATTTGCTTCAAAGACACATAGGCAGGAAACAGTTGGGAAATCTATCAAAACAATCATAGCCTACTCTAGAAACTGAATATTAGAGAGGCAGGCAGAACAGGGAGGGAAGTCATGTTATTACTGGAACATAAGAAGTCTGTGCAATGGCAGGGAAGCTACCAACTGGGCCTCCTTCCCCAGAGCCAAAGGAAGCTCCTGCCTCCAGACTCTCCTCACCACACCCACAGTGGGCCTCTTCAGCCCTTAGAAACACAGAGCTATTCAAGAAGAGATGCAAATAAAACTCACTACTTGTTCCTTTTGGGGGAGGGAGGCACATGTGACAGAAAAAGCAGCATTCGGGGCTCTGCCACACCTGCCTCAACCTACCACTGTTAATCACAGAATCAGAACTTGAGAACACAAAAGATGATCTCACTCAAATCCAACAGCTTACAGATAAGAAAACTCCCGTCCAGAGTGAGCGAGTGACTTTCTCATGGTAACAAAGAACGTCGGTAGCTTAGCTGACACAGAACAAGGCCTCCTCACTCCCAGCCCAGAGCCTTTCCCTCACTTCTGGATCTTCCTGAGGCCAGAGTGTGTGAACATCCCCAAAACTGAGCTGCATAAAACTCTCTGATGTCCTCACCCGAGGCAGTGGGTATAACTGGACTGGCCTTCCAAACTTGCTAGTGGATGAGATGGAAGCAGAAAGATTAATACTTCCTCCTGTTTGTCTGTCTTGCTCAGCTCAGGGCCCTAGGGGAGTCACAAAAGATGAGGACACGTGAAGACTACAGCTGCAGGTAACAGGATCCCCGTTTCACATCCCAGGCTGCAATTCCACTGTCCCCCATTCACTGCTCTCAGCAGTCCCCACTCTTGAGCAGACTGAGGTGAAGCAGCTAAACTTCATGTCACTCCACCTCCATGGCAGAGCATGGCAGGCCCGAGAGAAGTCACTACAACTGCTCCCCTCCCAATGCTCATCGCCCAACCGAGCACCAAACCACATGGAGGTCCTCAGCTGGGAAGTTCCCCAACAGGACAGAGAGAGAAGTGAAACCCATCTGGGGGAGAAAAATAAATGAAAGGTAAATGTAAGAGATGCTGCCTCACAGTGCCTCCTCTGGTATAAAGGCAAGTGCAATTTTATCCACTCTTGGTCCTCCCACCCCACCCCTCCAAGAGCCCAAAGAAAGAAAGAGAGCACGGACCACATTATTGTTTTGGGTTTTGTTTGTTTGTTTGTTTGTTTGAAATGGAGTCTCGCTCTGTCGCTCAGGCTGGAGTGCAGTGGCGTGATCTTGGCTCACTGCTACCTCTACCCACTAGGTTCAAGCAATTCTCCTGCCTCAGCCTCCCTAGTAGCCGGGATTACAGGCATGCGCTACCAAAGCCTGGCTAATTTTTGTATTTTTAGTAGAGACGGGGTTCCACCATGTTGGCCAGGCTGGTCTCAAACTCCTGACCTCAGGTGATCCACCCGCCTCAGACTCCCAAAGTGCTGGGATTACAGGCGTGAACCACCGTGCCGGCCTACATTGTTAATTTTACAGAGGAACAAGACCCAAACTGTGGTGACTGAAGAAGCCAAGATTCCATTTCCTTCCAGAACCAGACATTCAGCCTTAAATCAGTAGGTCTCAAACATCAATGTTTGAGAAATTCTTCTTTCAGTTGGCCCAAGTGATAACTATAGATCTCAGGGTATTTTTTGTTTTGTTTGTTGTTGTTTTTGTTTTGAGACCGTCTCACTCTGTTGCCCAGGCTGGAGTGCAGTGGCGCGATCTCGGCTCACTGCAACCTCTGCCTCCTGGGTTCAAGCAATTCTCCCACCTCATCTTCCTGAGTAGCTGAGAGTACAGGTGCACACCCCCATGCTCAGCTAATTTTTATATTTTTAGTAGAGACAGGGTTTCACCATGTTGGCCAGGCTCGTCTTGAACTCCTGACCTCAAGAGATCCCCCGCCTCGGCCTCCCAAAGTGCTGGGATTACAGACACGAGCCATCGCGCCTGGCCTAGATCTCGGTTGTTTGTTTTTGAGATGGAGTCTCGCTCTGTTGCCCAGGCTGGAGTGCAGTGGTGCAATCTCGGCTCACTGCAGGCTCCGCCTCCTGGGTTCACGCCATTCTCCTGCCTCAGCCACCCCATCAGCCAGGACTACAGGCGCCTGCCGCCATGCCCGGCTGATTTTTGTATTTTTAGTAAAGACGGGTTTTCACCGTGTTAGCCAGGATGGTCTCAATCTCCTGACCTTGTGATCTGCCCACCTCGGCCTCCCAAAGTGCTGGGATTACAGGTGTGAGCCACCACGCCCAGCCTAGATCTCAGTTTTTAATAAACATCCTCGAAGATCCCAATACAGATGATCCAAGGACCACTCTATGAGAAGTCCTACCCTGTTGCTTTCCTCAGCATTCCTGCTCTCAATCTGGGAATCAACCTGAAAGTTGACACTTTCTGTACCTGAGCTGCATTTTATCTATGTCTTCGTCAGAGGTAAAAGGAAACAAAAGAAAACAAACAAACAAAAAAAAACACAGAAAAGGTCAGGCACGGTGGCTCACGTCTGTAATCCCAGCACTTTGGGAGGCTGAGGTGGGCAGACCACGAGGTCAGGAGTTCAAGACCACCCTGGCCAACACAGTGAAACCCTGTCTCTACTAAAAATACAAAAATTAGCCGGGCGTGGTGGTGCGTGCCTGTAGTCCCAGCTACTCGGGAGGCTGAGGCAGGAGAATCACTTGAACCTGGGAGGCAGAGGCTGCAGTGAGCCGAGATTGCACCACTGCACTCCAGCCTGGGTGACAGAGCAAGACTCCATCTCAAAAAAAACAAAAACAAAAAAACAGAAAAGTACAGAATGTACTGAACTACCCTGAACTGCTGAGTGATTAAGACCACATGCTATATAGTCCCCCAGGCGGCCTGGCTTCATATTCTGGCTCCAGCATACAAGCTGCAAGGCCCTGGGCAAATGACTATACCTCACTCCCCTCATCTGTAAAATGGGGCCAATAAAAGTACCCGCCGCATGTGCTGTTGTGAGGATCAACTGAGGTAATCTAGTTAAAGTGTTTAGCACACTGCCTGGTATATACTGAGCACACAATATTTGTTGGCCACTCATCGTACTATTAGTACACAATATTAGTTACACTAGCTGTGTTAGATGTACTAATTGTAAGCATACAATATTTGTTGGCTATTAGCATTTAATATCGTCATATAAACATATAAGACCCATTACTCATTACACCCAGGCCAGGCACAGTGGCTCATGCCTATAATCCCAGCACTTTGGGAGGCCAAGGCGGGCGGATCACCTGAGGTCGGGAGTTCAAGACCAGCCTGGCCAACATGGCAAAACCCCCTCTCTACTAAAAATACAAAATTAGCCGGGTGTGGTGGCGCATGCCTGTAATCCCGTCTATTCCAGAGGCTGAGGCAGAAGAATCACTTGAACCCCATAGGTGGAGGTTGCAGTGAGTCAAGATTGTGCCATTGCACTCCAGCCTGGGCAACAAGAGCAAAACTCTGTCTCCAAAAAAAAAAAAAAAAAAAAAAAAAACTCATTACACCAAAGAGATTGGATAGGCCAAGTAATTTTTAAGCAGTAGAGAGCCTTCCAAGGAGACTTCTAGATCTAGTAGCCTGGCTTTTGGCTTCATCCTTCTAAGCTACTTCTTCCCCTTTACCCTCCTAGTCTCACCTCTCCCCCTTCCAACCCATGGTCACAGTGTTCTCAGCAGAACTGTACATTTGCATTGTGCTTTTTATAGTTTATAATGAATGCTAACACATTTTATAGCATGTGTTTCACCTGCCTCCTCTTCCCTATTATCTTTCTCCAAAAGTCCTTCCTTCACTCTCCTCTTTTCACCTCTCCATTCATTGATTCACAGTCCCCATTTTCCAAAAGACCTATTGGTAGTAAATATGTGACCCCTGGGCTAATAATATCTATCCAGCCAAAACCCTGAAAAATTGCTCTGATCAGAGAACAGAGAGGGAAAGAGTAGAACACAGCCATGAGCTCGACGCAGGAGAGCAGGTGTGAAGTTACTACAGAGGCAGAGACCCCCCCAGCTCACTCCCTCTTTCCTCTTCACCCTCTACCACTCCCTGGCTCCAGCGCCAGCTGTATTCTTCCCACTCCCCACACAGTAGTTCCACCTGGATGGCCGATAGGCATCTTATCTAACATTCAAAACTAGGTTTAGCATTTCAGCCCCTAATCAACCTAGCCCCACCCTTATCTTGGGGCTAATGACATCTGGTCCACCCAAAATCCCAAACTAGACACAGCTCGGAGCCATCTTCAGGCCCCTCCTTCCCATCTCCTCCCCTCTGGTCACTCACAAAGACCTCCAACTCTTCCTCAAATGGCTCACGCCTATGCCCCTGTTCTTCATGCCCTCTGATTTCTCACTTCAGATCTGAGTCTCTCATGTGGACTCTGCACAGCCACACTTCTCCTAGAGTATGTGTCCTGAGACACAGGTCACTTCCCACTTTAAGCCTCTGGTAGTTCCACACTCACAAGAGTCCAGACTCCTTAAGCTGGTGGTCAAGACTTTCACAGTCTGTCAGGACTCTGCCCTTCCTGCTATCAAAGAGCACCAAAAGAAGACCAGAACAAAAATATCCACCCTCACCACTCTTGCATAAAAGGCCAAAGAGCACATAAAGCCTGAGGGTTGGTCCCCTCTCATAAGGACATTAGCCAAATTGATTTCTTCTGAGCATGGGTCCTTGGGCCCTGAAGGAATGATATAGATTTCAATGAGGAAGAGAAAAGAAAATGCATGGCTAGAGCAGTCAAGCTGTAAGGGCTTGAGTTCATCTCAAATCTCATTTTGCAGCAGGCACAGCTAAGGCCTAGATAGGCAAATCTACTCATTCAAAGTCAGAGCTCAGTCACCAACACCAGGACCCAGGTCCTGGCCCACAATTCTGCTTCTTCTGCCAACAGGCCTAGAAGACTCTCTCAAGAACAACTGTCTTGGATTCCCACAGCTTTCCCCTTTCTGTGGTCACCACTCAGGACTCCCTACCCTGCCCCACAAGCCTGCAGATTCTGAGATGACCTGGAAGGAACGGAACAGGAAGGCGTGAGCTTTGGCACCAGTTTAACGTAGAACTGTACGGGCCAAACACAGGGCCTTTGATTATAGAAAAAAATAGGCCCATTGTCTTGGTGGGTGGAACCAAAGCATAGCAGCATCTAAGAAACCAGTTTCTTTGTGTCCAGTGATGAGGGCTTAGCCCTAAAATATTAGGGTGGGGAGGGAGGAGGGGTGAAAGGGAAACATACTTTAATAAAATAGATTAGCAAACTAATACAGGAACAGAAAACCAAATACTGTGTCTTCTCACTTATAAGTGGAAGCTAAATGAGAACACATGGACAGAAAGAGGGGAACAACAGACACTGGGGCCTACTTGAGGGTGGAGGGTGGGAGGAGGGAGAGGATCAGAAAAAAAAAAAAAAAAACTGTTGGGTACTAAGTACCCGAGTGACAAAATAGTCTGTATACGAAACCCCTGAGTCACAAGTTTACCTGTATAACAAACCTGCAGGCCAGGCACGGTAACTCACGCCTGTAATTCCAGCATTTTGGGAGGCTGCGGATTGCCTGAGGTCAGGAGTTCCAGACCAGCCTGGCCAACGTGGTGAAACCCCGTCTCTAATAAAAATATAAAAATTAGCTGGAAGTGGTGGCTGGCGCCTGTAATCCCAGCTACTCAGGAGGCTGAGGCAGGAGAACTGCTTGAACTCAGGAGATGGAGGTTGCAGTGAGCAGAGATCGCGCCACTACACTCCAGCCTGGGCGACAGAGCGAGACTCTGTCTCAAAAAACAAAAACAAAAAACCTGTACATGGAGCCCTGAACCTAAAATAAAAGTTTAAAATATTTTAAAAGAAAGAAAAAAAAAAGAGGCAATTACAAGAGTTCTTACCCCTAGGTTTTCTTGTTTCCTCACATAGTGCTTACACAAGGTCCTCTGATTCCCCCAGGATCTAGGAGGACTGGGTAAAGGTGTGGCTCCCTGGAGGTTAGAGGAATCAGTAAGAGATTTAGATGGCTCCATTATGAGGCTGTTAGTAGAGAAAGCAGCCACTCTATGTTTCCCTAATTGCTAGTAAAGAAAAACAAAAAAAAAACAAACTCAGGGCTATATATCCACCCCTTTCAACAAAGGAAACAAACCTTCCTATTAAGTACAGGTGACCTGTTCCGGGACTGGGGCCCTGCCCACCTCAGCATTGTTAAGAAATAATAGGAAGAAAAAAGCAGAAAAGGCTGAGCCCTAAACAACAGATTTTAGGAGCACATTCTCCCCTGCCACCAAGTCTGAAACTACTTCACATTGATTCCAGGCTCCTGGAATGTCTCAGTTTACCCCATAAGATGTCACTGAACACATTCCTTGATGACTAGTCATTCCTTTGAGTTTGATCCATGGAAATGATGGACCATTTAGGTTGAAGGATAAGGCCCTCTCTTCCTGCCTTTAAAAAACTGTGCCTATAACGTCACTCCTGTCCTTGGCAAATTCATCCTTACACTCAAAGATATGCCTTCTCAGTGATCGTCCAGAGGATTTAACAGGTACATTGAAATACTTCTATTTATAACATCGCAATGTAATTGTTACTCGCGTCCATGTGAAGACAGTCTACTATACAGGCACTTGGGTGCAAGTGGGCTGAGTCTGAAAAGAGAGTCAGCAAAGGGAGAATTGGGGGGACAGTTTTACAGGATTTGGGTAGGTAGTGGAAAATTACAGTTAAAGGTGGTTTTCTCTTGTGGGCAGTGGTGGAGGTCACAAAGTGCACGGTGGAGAGATCATGAGACTCACTGTCCAAGAAAAAGAATGTCACAAGGTCAATTGATCAGTTAGAGTGGGGCAGAAACAAATCACAATGGTAGAATGCCATCAGTTAAGGCAGGAACTGGCTCTTTTTACTTTTGTGGTTCTTCAGTTGCTTCGGGCCAGCTGGATGTATACATGCAGATCACTGGAGATATGATGACTTAGCTTGGGCTCAGAGGCCTGACAGTAATTACCTTTAATTTCTTACCTTTGAAAATTAAGACATAAAGTATGAAAGAAAAAATAGCTATCACTTGTATTCTATTTTCCACCCATAATCTAGACCTAATCGTTGTTTAATATTTTGGCCTATTTTTTCCAGTCCCTTTTCACTATGTAGCAGACTGTAACCTCCTGGAATGTAAAAACTACATACATTTTTCCCAGTTCTTATAGTTCTGGAGGTCAAAAGTCCAAAATAGATTTCTCTGGGCTAAAATCAAGGCATTGGCGGTGTTCCTTCTGGAGGTTTCCTTCTGGAGGTTTAAGGAATGGATCCTCTTCTTTGCCCGACCCAGCTTCTCGATGCCACCTATATTCCTTTGCTTATGGCCCCCTTCCATCTTCAAAGCCAGCAGTGGCCAGTGGAGTCTTCCTCATGCTACATCATTTTCACCCTGACTCTCCTGCCTCCCTCTTTCACCTATAAGGATCCTTCTGATTATAATGTGCCCACTCAGATAATCCAGGATAATTCCCCCATCTCAAGATTCTTAACTTCATCTTATCTGCAAAGTCTTTCTGCCAAATAAAGTAAAATGCACAGGTCCCAGGGATTAGGATGTGGATATTTTCAGGAGGCCATTATTCTGCCTAATACAGGTACCTTTTATAAACTTCACCCACAACAAAAATTTGCCTTGCCTTCCTGCTGTGTCTCACTTTTCTGTCTGAATCATAGGCAAGAGCACAAACTTTGAGGTGAAACACACTAGCTCTGCTATGAACTGGCTGGATGATGCTGACCACTCACCTCGCCTCCCTCAGCTTCTTCTCATTTGCAGCACAAAGGTGACTCTTACTCCATCAGAGGATGACAATAAAAGAGTAAATTAAGATGTGTAAGGCATTGTTCAGGCGCAGTGGTTCACGCCTGTAATCCCAGCACTTTGGGAGTCCAAGGCAGGTGGATCACGAGCTCAGGAGTTCGAGATCAGCCTGACCAACATGGTGAAACCCCGTCTCTACTAAAAACACAAAAATTAGTTGGGTGTGGTGGTGCACGCCTGTAATCCCAGCTACTCAGGAGGCTGAGGCAGGAGAATCCCTTGAATCAGGGAGGTGGAGGTTGCAGTGAGCCAAGATCACGTCACTGCACTCCAGCCTGGGCAACAGAGCAAGACTCCATCTTAAAAAAAAAAAAAAAAAAAAAAACATGTGTAAGGCATTAGACACACAGCTTGGTACCTGGTGAGCCCTCGGTAAACATTTATTTCAGTCTTTTCCTTTCACCATCCCATCTCTCTCACCCTCACCCATCTTCTTGGTCTCCTTTCTTTTCAGTGATTTGCTCACTCTAAACTACCATTTAGAAAGCGGCCACACTATCCATTCTCTTGTGATTCTGCTGGAATGTTCTTGTGATGGAGTCTGCTATCTACTCAAGACAGTCCACATTATTTATATGGAGAGGTCTGTTTAAAACAAGAAGTCCTTTTTATGTTCACATACAATTTTTACATGCTTCCTCTTAACGTACACATACCAGTCCCAATTCTGCCCTGCTAATGCATATATATCCTTATTTCACTCTTCTTCAGTCTCTTTTTTGAGACAGAGTTTCGTTCTTGTCACCCAGGCTGCAGTGCAATGGCACGATCTCGGCTCACTGCAACCTCCGCCTCCTGGGTTCAAGTGATTTTCCTGCCTCAGCCTCCTGAGTAGCTGGAATTACAGGCACACACCACCACACCCAGCTAATTTTTGTATTTTTTAGTAGAGATGGAGTTTCGCCATATTGGCCAGGCTGGTCTCGAACTCCTGACCTCAGGCAATCCGCCCCCGCTTGGCCTCCCAAACTGCTGGGATTACAGGCGTGATCCACTGAGCCCAGCCCAGTCTTTCTCTTTACATCTTGTAAATAAGGATAGTACAGGCCGGGCGCGGTGGCTCATGCCTGTAATCCCAGCACTTTGGGAGGCCGAGGTGGGCAGATCACGAGGTCAGGAGATCGAGACCATCCTGGCTAACACAGTGAAACCCCGTCTCTACTAAAAGTACAAAAAAAATTAGCCAGGCATGGTGGCGGGCGCCTGTAGTCCCAGCTACTTGGGAGGCTGAGGCAGGAGAATGGTGTCAACCCGGGAGGTGGAACTTGCAGTGAGCTGAGATCCACCACTGCACTCCAGCCTGGGCAAAAGAGCAAGACTCCTTCTCAAAAAAAAAAAAAAAAAAAAAAAAAAAAGGATAGTACCAAGACAAAAATAATGACCTGGGCCACAAGAAGGGATTCTTTTAGCACGTAAATGCTTTCTTTTAACAAGATGAACATTTTCCTTTGGCAAGATGAATGCTAATTTGCAAGGCACCCCTGAAGCCTGTTTCTAGGCTTGGGTTTCACATTCCTAGACCCCAGGGACAATAATTGTGACAGAAGCCACACCCACTGTGCGTATTCCTGCTGTTGGGTAAAGGTATTTTCACAGAATGTTATGCATGAGTTACTCCTTCCCAATCCTTCCACTCCTGGAGGTTAAGCCTCCCCCTTCACCAGCTTCATCTCCAGCTGGCCTCCCAGGACTCTGACTGGAAAATACCTCCTCACTCTGGATGCCCCGGGTGACACCTTTGTCTATTCCCATAATTATAATAGCTCACACTGATGCAGCACTCACTATCCGCCAGGCACTATCCCAAGGGGTTTCCATGTAGCTCCAGTCCTCTCAAAGAATCCTGAGTGTCACCATCCCCATTTTTACAGATTAAAAAAACAGAGGCAGGGGCCAGGCATGGTGGCTCACGCCTGTAATCCCAGCACTTTGGGAGGCCGAGGCAGGCGGATCACGAGGTAAGGAGATCAAAACCATGCTGGCCAACACGGTGAAACCCCATCTCTACTAAAAATACAAAAAAAAATTAGCCGGGAGTGGTGGCGGGCGCCTGTAGTCCCAGCTACTCCGGAGGCTGAGGCAGGAGAATGGCATGAACCTGGGAGGCGGAGCGCGCAGTGAGCCAAGATCATGCCACTGCACTCCAGCCTGGGCGACACAGTGAGACTCCGTCTCAAAAAAAAAAAAAAAAAAAAAAAAACTGAAGCAGAGAAGTTTAGTAATGTACCAAGTGTCACTCAACTCCATAATTTAACCTCATCCTCCTCCCCATCTGGGCGAGGACACCCTAAGATTTCCAAGGTGTCCTGAATGACATCCACCTTTCAGAATGATTTTTGTCCCCTCTACTCTCAGGATTTGACAAACAGCCAGCATTTTGTTTTCTGTCTTACCCTTCACTTATGTACCTGTTCCCTAACACCACACTCACAACTGCACAGCCCGGAATAAAAGCTGGCTTTTATGGACCTCAATCTCTTTTGGCAAAAAGGAAGGCCAGGTTCCCAGTTCTCCCAAAAAGTAATTTTTTTTTTTTTTTGAGATGGAGTCTCGCTCTGTCGCCCAAGCTGGAGTGCAGTGGCACAGTCTTGGCTCACTGCAACCTCCGCCTCCCAGGTTCAAGCAATTCTCCTGCCTCAGCCTCCTGAGTAGCTGGGCTTACAGGTGCGTGCCACCACACCCAGCTAATTTTTGTATTTTTAGTAGAGATGGGGTTTCACCATGTTGGTCAGGCTGGTCTTCAACTCCTGACCTCGTGATCCGCCCTCCTCATCCTCCCAAGTGATGGAATTACAGGTGTGAGCCACCGTGCTCAGCTGTAACTTTTACTGAATTGTTAACTATTTGTACAGCCATTCTCTGGCCGTAAAAGGGATGCACTAGGAACAGATAGTGTGATGAGAAGGAAGCAGGAGGAGGGTGAGTCTCTGGAATGATCACAAAGGGGAAAAGATTTCAAATCCAGGAACAGTCATAAAACACACCCAGAGTGTGTGGCCTTTGAGCAATGACAGCCCCACCTGCCTCTTTCCATGCCTAGTGGCCTCTGACTTCCTTCTCAGTTGCCCCTCCCAGTCTTGCTTTCTTAGGCCAATACTAATGGCCTGGGAAGTGGGGCCAGACCATAGCACATAGCACTGAGTGGTGAGGATGGAGGAGCTGAAGACGGAGAAGAATGATTGACTCATGGGGATCTGACTCATCCAGGTACACATCATCTGGACAGGGAATGGATTAGTGAAGGGCTGTTCAGGACTCATGGTTTAAGGAGTTGTACTAGGGAGTGGTACTTCCTCACTGCTGTCTCACTGACAGCAACAGAGTGGGTGTGGAAGGCATCACAGCTTTTTCCTACTTAAAAACCCAGTTCCTCCTTCTCCCTCTTTTGGGTTACATTCCTCTGCCCTTAGGTCACTTATTTACTCAGTTGTGTTCCAAGGGGGAAAAAAAAAAATCTCAGTTGCATTTCTTAAAGTCCCAAGCATTCAGTTCCATTAAAGAGCATCTGTCATCTTAGTGATGACCAGGTGCAAATATTTTTAAAAGGCTCTTTAGGAAATTTTGATAAGAGCCTTCACACCACCCACAAACTTTCTGGGAACCACTGAGCTATTAAAGTGCTGAGGAAAGAATCTGCTATATGCTGTGCTGAGGACCTTTATGTTTGCATCTGATCTAATGGTCACAATGACCCTTTGATGCAGGTACTCTATTACCCCTCTATTCCAAGATGTTGATAAACTTGTCCCTTATCTCAGAACTGGTTAAAGGTGGAACTGTCAAAGGATTCAAACTCACATATTTCTGAATCTAAAGCTCGTGGTTCACTCCACATCACGGTACCTACCAGAATTCAAAGAAAGGAAGGATGATTGCTTCTAACAGGAATAACTATACAGGCTTCAATGAAGAGACAGGGTCTGAAATGGGCCATAGCACAAAGAACAGCTCAGGAGGCTGAACAGGAAGGCAAGGGTATTATATAGGAAGGAGTAAAAGAATTAGAATAAGCTCAGGCATGAGAAAGTAAAATGTAGGTTAAGTCCTTCCACGTAGATCAACGG
This sequence comes from Homo sapiens, assembly GCF_000001405.40. Lineage (NCBI taxonomy): Eukaryota > Metazoa > Chordata > Mammalia > Primates > Hominidae > Homo > Homo sapiens. Next base: position 42,455,011 of record NC_000019.10, on the reverse strand, counting down.
AGTAGATTGAGGCCATGCTATGGGGGCTTTAAATGGTAGCCTAAGGAGCAGGAACTTCATCCTAGATGACAGCAATCACTGGAAAGCTTTGAAAAGGTCACAAACATAACAATATGGTATTTCCAGGAAGATTACTCTTGACAGTATTATTAAGCAAGATAACTTAGAGAAGTGGTTTTCAGCTTTGGCAACTCAGTAGAATTACCTGGAAGCTTTCTTTTCCTTTCTTTAGTTTCATCTGAAATAATTTCAGACTTTCAAAAAACTTCTACAAATAGTCAGGGTCTTCATATACTTTTCACTCAGCCTCCCCAAATATTAACATTTTAGATAACCACAGTATAATCATCAAAATCAATAAATGATCACTGATACTGTACAATGAATGAATCTGTAGACCTTATTCAAATCCCCTTTATCTTCCCACTAATGTTCTTTTTCTGGACCAGGATCCAATCTAGGATCAGACATTGCATCTCATTGCTCTGTCCTCCCAGTTTCCTTTAATCTGGGACAGTTCCTCAGAATTTCTCTTGCCTTCATGACCTTAACATTTTCGAAGAGTATTGGTGAGTTATTTTGTATAATGACCCTCGGTTTGGGCTTTCCTAGTTGTTTCTCATGATGAAACTAAAGTTATATACATTGGGCAAGAATACTACAGAGGTGATGCTGCGCCTTCTCCATCCATCATATTAGGATGCCCTAAGATGTCAGTATCTCTGATTACTGGAGATGTTAACTTTGAGCACTGGGCTACAGTTCCCCCACTGTAAAATGACCATTTTCCTTGGAAGCATTCATAAACAACCAGTGCGTGGGCCACATCATGCATCAATCAAATCACACTCTCTTGGGGGAAGGCACAAGCATTGGTAGGTTTTAAATGCCCTACAAGCGACTCTAATCAGTATTCAAGGTTGGAAACCCACAGTTTAGACAGTGAAGATTAGAATCCTGGAAATCTGCTAGGAAGCCATCCCTGGGATTCACTTTTTAAAAGAACATCCAGTTCCAGGCACAATAAATATATCTGAACATTGGCATGGATCCTTTATAGGAAAATGGGAAGGTTAAAAAGCCCCTGATTGGCCGGGCGCGGTGGTTCATGCCTGTAATCCCAGCACTTTGGGAGGCTGAGGTGGGTGGATCATGAGCTCAGGAGATCAAGACCATCCTGGCTAACACCGTGAAACCCCGTCTCTACTAAAAATACAAAAAATTAGCCAGGCATGGTGGCGGGCGCCTGTAGTCCCAACTACTCAGGAGGCTGAGGCAGAAGAATGGCATGAACCCGGGAGGTGGAGCTTGCAGTGAGCCGAGATCGTGCCATTGCACTCCAGCCTGGGCGACAGAGCGAGACTCCATCTCAAAAAAAAAAAAAAAAAAGCCCCTGATTGGGAAAGTGATGGCTGAGTAGGCTGCTGTCCAATAAAAAGAGAAGGCAGGACCCCAAGTAAAGGGTCCAGCCCTACTGGTCCATTTTCTCTCCAGACTTCAGAGAAACCTTTGCTCCAGTGAAAGCACATACTACATAATTTTAATATCCTAAGCCTGACTGACATGATCTCCTAATTGCCACTGACAGGCAGGGAATTATGAGTGATGTGATATAAATATATGACCACACATACAAAGATGTACACTTCCAGACATGATTGAAAGAACAATTCAGAGAATCCAGGTTAGAGGTACATTAACTCCCCTAAACCACCCTGTCCTCCCCACTTGTTTTTTTTTTTTTTTCTTGGTCTATCACCCAGGCCAGAGTGCAACAGCGTGATCATAGTTCACTGCAGCTTTGAGCTCCTGGGTTCAAACGATCCTCACACCTCAACCTCCAAAGTAGCTGGGACTACAGGCACACACCACCACACCCAGCTAATTTTTTTTTTGTAGAGATGGGGTCTCCCTATGTTGCCCACACTCCCACTTGGTCTTTTGTCCCCAGTCTCTTCTGAAGTAAGAGAGTAAAGACTGTTGTAATTTTAACGAAACAAGAAAGTGTGTACACATCTCCTGTAACCAGGCTGTTTAAGCAATAAGATATTGAGTTCAACTTCCTCAGTTATTATCTTGGCATTTCCATAAAGAGATATCATCAATCTCTCCCTTAGAGGGACCACTGATATCGTGCAAAAGGAAACACCAATTTAACCAAAACCCAGAGGCAGGAAGGACCCTGACAAGAGCAATCCCTAAGGTATTCACATGCCTGCCAGGGTCTGGTGCAGCTGGTGCAGGAGGAACTGCCGCTGGGACTAGCTGAAAAAAAGAGACGGCAGCTCTAACACTCAGTGGGTAGTAAGAAAAGTATTCATTCAATTAACCTTCAATTCGCACACATCCAATACCCTTCCAGCCTCCCTATGGGGTCTCACTGAGAGGGCTGGCATGTAATTAAATGCCCATACATAGGTAAAATAATTTATAGAAGCGAGGGATCAACTGGGTCAGGAATGGCTGGGAAAGGTTTCATGGAACAGACGGGATTCAGGTGAGGTCCTGAAGGGTTCAACCTTAGGAAAGCAGAGACAAGGAGAAACACACGCCAAGGAAACCAGGTGGCAGGCACTGCTGTAGATGCTAGCTTTGAAGAGGGTCTCAGGAATGAGAGCGGGTTTGCAGATGTCGTTTTACTTTTTTTTTAATTTTTACATTTGGGGGTACATAGTAGGTATATATATTTATGAGGTACAGATGATTTTTTATTTACTCCTCTCAACCACCATGTGGGGTTATTTCACAGGAGGATGCTGATCCTCAAAAAGGTGAAGTAACTTGCCAAGGTTGTTGGTGGATGTTGGATTAGAAACTCAGTGAGTCTAACACCAGAGCCCATACCACCACCACTACCACTGAGAGAGACCAGAACAGAGTATGTGTAGGGAACAGGAAGGAACAGGGAGAGCTAGAGCAGAAAGAGATGGTTTAAAAACAGGGAAGTGGCCAGGCGCGGTGGGCTCACGCCTGTAATCCCAGCACTTTTGAGGCTGAGGCAGACAGATCATGAGATCAGGAGATCGAGACCATCACCACCCTCGCTAACACGGTGAAACCCCGTCTCTACTAAAAATACAAAAAATTAGCCAGGCATGGTGGCAGGCACCTGTAGTCCCAGCTACTAGGGAGGCTGAGGCAGGAGAATGGCGTGAATCCGAGAGGCGGAGCTTGCAGTGAGCCGAGATGGTGCCACTGCACTCCAGCCTGGGCAACAGAGCAAGACTCTGTCTCAAAAACAAAAACAAAAACAAAAACCAGGGAAGTTAGGTAAGCTTGCTAAAGGGGGATCATACATATGTTATAGAGGCATGAACACTGGACACAGACATTCGAACTTGATCTTGTGAATTACAGAAGAGTCAGTGAAGGTTTTGAGTAAGGGGAAAACCAGTCAAAGTGACATGTTGAGCCAAGCCCAGAGTGGGTGATAAAAATGGGGTTCTGAGTTCCTAAGCTAAAGAGATGCCACCAACAACAGTGAAGGGGCCATGTGATGCATGAGGCAAGGACTGGACAAAGAGGCTGAAGCCCTGGGTTTAAACGCAAAAAGTCATGCGGTGAGGGCATGGCTATGGAGGGCAAGCTCTATTCCATCTCCACACCTCAGTCTCTCCCCATCCATAAATCAGATGCAGTGAGAATTAATCTCTAAATGATACTCAAGCCTTGCTACTCAAAGTGTGCTCCACCAACCAGCAGCAATGACATCGTCCAAATGCTCCTTAGAAATGCAGAATCTTGTGAAAATGCCAATCATAAAAAAAAGAAATGCAGACTCTCAGGCCCCACCAGAAGAATCAGAATCTGCATTTAAACAAGATCTTTGGGTGATCTGTGAGCACATTAAAGTTTGTGAAGCATTTCTACCAGACTTTTTAATTTTGTATTCATTTTTGGAGTTTTTTGAGACAGAGTCTCATTCTGTCACCCAGGCTGGATGGAACGCAGTGACAGGATCATAGCTTAATGCAGCCTGGACCTCCTGGGTTCAAGGGAATCCTCCTGCCTCAGGCTCTCAAGTAGCTGGGACCACAGGCATGTGTCACCGTGCCCGGCTAATTTTTTTATTTTTTGTAGAGATGAGGTCTCACCATGTTGCCCAGGCTGGTCTGGAACTCCTGGGCTCAAACCATCCTCCTGCTTCAGCCTCCCAAAGTGTTGGGATTACAGGCATGAGCCACCACACATGGCACTTCCAGTTCTCAAATGCAATTACTTCACACTCACCTCAAATTCTGTTACTTCACAGGATAAAAAAAGGAAAATAAAGTTTACCTTTAGCCTCATTCATGCCCTTAATCCTAACAGCACCTTAGACTGGCCCACGTCCAAGCAGAGGTCTTAGGAAACACCAGTGAGGCAGTGCTGCCACCTTGTGACCATCATCAGTAAATGCACTTAAACCTTGTCACCAGTAAAGGAAGTGGGAGGGCTGGCAAGAGCAAAGGGTAGGAGGTAAAGTCCAGGTCACAAAGGAGATAAAATCACAATCGCCCACAAAGACAGGAAGTAACTGTCAGAGAGCTCAGCCTGCATCATAGGGCCGTGTCTCATTGCAAAAGACAGTTTGTATAATACCTAATATGTGGTATCAGTGGGAAACCTAGTTTCAAGCCAAGCTCTGCCCTTGTAACCTTAGAAATCACTCTAACAGGTATTTTCAGACACCCAGCTCAGGCCTGAACTCCACCAGTAAACTTGTAATTTCCCAAGGAAACTTACTTTACTGTGACAGTTCTTTTCCATCCTGAGCCAAAATGTGTCTGATACACACTCACCAATTCTCATCCTACTCTCTGTAGGCTGAAATAAGTCAAACTTCATACCCCTTACCGCCCTCAATCTTCAGGAAAGGTAGAACGGACTAATGGTCTTTTAAAGACATACCTCACCAAGCTCAGTCTCCAACTTAAAAAGGACTGGACAGTACTTTTACCTCTTGCCCTTCTCAGAATTAGAGCCTGTCCTCGAGATGCTACAGGGTACAGTCCATTTGAACTTTTACATGGACACACTTTCTTGCTCGGCCCCAACCTTGTCCCAGACACCGGCCCTCTAGGCAACTATCTTCCAGGCCTCCAGCAGGCTAGACAGGAAATTCCCCAGGCTGCTAATCTTCTCTTGCCTACTCCAGATTCCCAGCCATATGAAGACACCCTAGCTGGACAACCCGTTCTTGTTAAGAATCTGACCCCTCAAACTCTACAACCTCAATGGACTGGACCCTACTTAGTCATCTCTAGCACCCCAACTGCTGTCCGCCTGCAGGATCCTCCCCATTGGGTTCACCATTCCAGAATAAAGCTGTGTCCATCAAACAGCCAGCCTAATCTCTCCTCTTCCTCCTGGAAGTCGCAAGTACTCTCCCCTACTTCCCTTAAACTCACTTGTATTTCTGAAGAACAGTAATAACCCTCATGAGCCTAATACGTCCCTTCATTCTACTAGGTCTGTTCATCCTTACCCTACTTTTTGCAACAGGGCTTTATGCAGTCACCCCCACTACTTGGACTGCACCCCAAAAAACTTGTCATCCCTACTATCTTCTGTCTAGTCATACTCTTATTCACCGTTCTCAACTACTCATAAATGCCCTGCTCTTGTTTACACTGCCAGTTTACACTGTTCCTCCAAACCATCACAGTGGATATCTCCTGGTGCTATCCCCAAACTGCCACTCTTAACTCCCTCTTAGAGTGGATAGATGATCTTTGCTGGCAGGGCACCCTCCAATACTTCCACCCTGATGAAGTTCTATTCTTTACTTTTATACTCACTCTTATTCTCATTCCCATTCTTATGCCACCCTCTACCTCTCCCCAGCTATCTCCACCACACTATCAGTCTCATTCACTCTCTCCTAGCCGTCTCTGATCCCTCCTTAGAGAACAATTGCTGGCTTTGCATTTCCCTTTCTTCCTGTGCCTACACAGCTGTCCCCGCCTTACATACAGACTAAGCAACATCTCCTGTCTCCCTACACCTCCGAACTTCCTTTAACAGCCCTCACCTTAACCCTCCTAAAGAAATTCTTTACTTTCTAGACAGGTCCAGCAAGACCTCCCCAGACATTTCACATCAGCAAGCTGCCGCCCTTCTCCGCACTTACTTAAAAAATCTTTCTCCTTATATTAATTCTACTCCCCCCATATTTGGACCCCTCACAACACAAACTACTATTCCTGTGGCCACTCCTTTATGTATCTCTTGGCAAAGACCCACTGGAATTCCCCTAGGTAACCTTTCACCTTCTCCGTGTTCCTTCACTCTTCATCTCCAAAGCCCAACTACACATATCACTGAAACAATTGGGGCCTCCCAGCTCCATATTACAGAAAAGCCCTCTATCAATACTGGCAAACTTAAAAACATTAGCAGTTATTATTTCCTAGGAAGACACTTACCCTGTATTTCACTCCATCCTTGACTACCTTCCCCTTGCTCGTCAGACTCTCCTCCCAGGCCCTCTTTTTGTTTGCTTATACCCAGCCCTGTAAATAACAGTGAAAGGTTGCTCGTAGACACTCAACGTTTTCTCATACACCATGAAAATCGAACCTCCCCCTCTATGCAGTTACCCCATCAGTCCCCATTACAACCTCTGATGGCTGCCGCCCTAGCTGGATCCCTAGGAGTCTGAGTGCAAGACACCTCTTTTAGTATTCCTTCTCATCTTTTTACTTTGCATTTCCAGTTTTGCCTTGCACAAGGTCTCTTCTTCCTCTGTGGATCCTCTGCCTACATGTGTCTACCTGCTAATTGGACAGGCACATGCACACTAGTTTACCTTACTCCCAAAATTCAATTTGCGAATGGGACTGAAAAGCTTCCTGTTCCTCTCATGACACCGACATGACAAAAAAAAAGGTTATTCCACTAATTCCCTTACTTGTCGGTTTAGGACTTTCTGCCTCCGCTATTGCGCTCAGAACTGGAATAGCAGGCATTTCAGCCTCTGTCACGACCTTCCAGAGCCTCTCTAATGACTTCTCTGCTAGCATCACAGACATATCACAAACTCTATGAGTCCTTCAGGCCAAGGTTGACTCTTTAGCTGCAGTTGTCCTCTAAAACCGCCGAGGCCTTGACTTACTCACTGCTGAAAAAGGAGGACTCTCTATATTTTTAAATGAAGAGTGTTGCTTTTACCTAAATCAATCTGGCCTAGTATATGACAATATAAAAAAAAACTCAAGGATATAGCCCAAAAACTCGCCAACAAGCAAGTAATTATGCTGAACCCCCTTGGGCACTCTCTAATTGGACATCCTGGGTCCTCCCAATTCTTAGTCCTCTGGTACCTCTTTTTCTCCTCTTATTCGGGCCTTGTGTCTTCCGTTTGGTTTCTCAATTCACACAAAACCACATTCAGACCATCACTAATCATTCTATATGACAAATGCTACTTTTAACAACCCCATAGTACCATCCTCTGCCCCAAGATCTCCCCACAGCCTAAACTCCTATTCCATGTAACCTATTATAAAATTTTCTTTAAGGTCCACACAGCCCTTAATCCTGCTCGAAGCAGCCCTGAGAAACATGGCCCATTATCTCTCCATACCACCCCAAAAACAATTTTTTCGCCACCCCAACACTTCAACACTATTTTGTTTTATTTTTCTTATTAATATAAGAAGACAGGAATGTCAGGCCTCTGAACCCAAGCCTGCATGTATACATCCAGATGGCCTGAGGCAACCGACAAGTACAAAAGAAGGGAAACAGCCAACTCCTATCTTAACCGATTGACCAACCTTATGACATTCTGTCATGACTTGATCCTGCCCTGTCCCAATTGATCTACTGATCAACCTCGTGACATTCTTCTTCTGGACAATGAGTCTTATGATCTCCCCACCATGCCCGCAAGAGAAAAACCCCCTTTAACTGTAACTTTCCACTGCTTACCCTAGTCCTATAAAACTGCCCCATCCCTAACTCCCTTCACTGACTCTCTTTTTGGACTCAGCCTGCCTGCACCAGGTGATTAAAAGCTTTATTGCTCACACAAAGCCTGTTTGGTGGTCTCTTCACATGGATGCATGTGACACTAACATTTTTTCTTTTCCTTTTTTTTTTTTTTTTTTTTGAGATGGAGTCTGGCTCTGTCACCCAGGATGGAGTGCAGTGGCACAATCTTGGCTCACTGCAACCTCCCCCTCCTGGGTTCAAGCAATTTTCCTGCCTCAGCCTCCTGAATAGCTGCGATTACAGGTGCCCGCCACTGCGCCCGGCTAATTTTTGTATTTTTAGTAGAGACAGGGTTTTGCCATGTTGGCCAGGTTGGTCTCAAACTCCCGACCTCAGGTGATCTGCCTGCCTCAGCCTCCCAAAGTGTTGAGATTACAGGCATGAGCCAATGCACCCAGCCAAGTCTAACACTTTTTTATACAACCGACCTTCAAATATTGGTAAACATCCTTGGCCGGGCACAGTGGCTCATGCCTGTAATCCCAGCACTTTGGGAGGCCAAGGTGGGTGGATCACCTGAGGTCAGGAGATCGAGATCAGCCTGACCAACATGGAGAAATCCTGTCTCTACTAAAAATACAAAAAAAAATAGCCAGGCATGGTGGCGCATGCCTGTAATCATAGCTACTTGGGAGGCTGAGGCAAGGAGAATTGCTTGAACCTGGGAAGCAGAGGTTGCGGTGAGCCAAGATTGTACCATTGCACTCCAGCCTGGGCAATAAGAACAAAACTTCGTCTCAAAAATAAAAATAAAAAAATAAAAAAACAACCTCTATGTGCCACCTACCCCATCTTCCCTCGGCCGTTTCCCACGTAGGGTCACCTGAAGCCCCACACCCACTGCTCACTTTCCCACGGGCAAGTGAAGTGCAGCAACCACAGCCTACACTCTGAATCCTAGGGGTGTTCCCCAGAGCAGCAGAGCCACAGGAACCCCATCCCCGTCCTGGCACCTCACCCCTATCTAGAAGCTGAACGCTGTATCAGCTGATCTGGGGGGACTGATTTTTCCTGCTCCTGCTGCTGCTTAGTCATCCCACACCTGTGCAGATGTCTACTTTTTATTCAGTTTTATTTTGTAAGAAATATTTATCGGATCCTGCTGTGTACTGTCACTGGAGAGACAAAGGTGAATCACACCTGGTCCCTGCCTCACAGAGCTCCAGGCTATGGATGAAACCCACTCAAAGTCAGACCATTACCATTCAGTGAGAAACACCGTGACAGACATCAGAAAAGGGTTTTCTTTTTAAAACAAGAAACAAAAAAGCTTTTTATAGAGACAGGGTCTCACCATGTTGCCCACACTGGTCTCAAACTCCTGGACCCAAGCCATCCTCCCACCTCAGCTTCCCAAAGTGCTGGGATTACAGGCACCCATCCAACACAGGCTTTTTGACGCATCTCACTAATCCCCTGTGAAAAATCTTCCACTCTTGGTTTCCTGGGGTCAGTTTTCTTCATTTCAAGCTCAAAGTGAAAAAGAGAATACAAATATCCCTGATGGTCCTTTGTGCGGTCACAGCTGGACCCGGTATGTCCTCCCGGTTAATCCAGGGTGCTCAGGGCTCCCATTTCACTCTGAACGTCCTCTCTCCTATCGGAGCTCACCACGTCTACACCTGCAGCAGCCAGGTAGCTGCACACTAATAGAAAATCCAGCAAGTCAGAAAACTTGATTTACTCCTGTAACTTTGAGGCTACTGACTGTGTTGTTGAACTAATCCTATAACTTCCCTGCACTTTAATTTCCATGTCTGTAAAGTGGGGCAGGTGGATTCGGTCACCCTAGGTGCCACTGTATAGTGAGAGCTCCTCAGAGACAGCAGCACACCTGATCTCAGCATCCACCATCTAGTAAATACCAGGCACACACTAGGCGCTCAAAGTCTCACTGAATGTATGTGTGAATAAATGACTATATGAGAGCCATGTGGATCATGGACAAAGTCAACAAATATTTTTGAATGTCTACCAAGTACACTGTAGAATAGGGAAATAAGTAACCCAGGCAGGGCGGTGTTTTCTCCCAAATTCCCCTTACCTCCTCCTGAGGAATGGAGGGCCTCTGTACATCAGAGAGACTCTTGACACAAATAATGTTCTTGAGATGCATCATAAGAAGTTGTGATGTTAACAAGAAAAAAGTCCATTTGTCTTGGGGGTGTTTTATATTAATAGACCTAACAGACCGGAAGCCCCCTCCAATGGGACACAGGATGCAACACCCACCCCAAGTGCATGGAGGGGAAACCAGAGGGAGCAGGACCTGGAAGAACAGAGGGGTAAAGAGACTGAGGCACGGGAGGTAGGTCTGAGGAGGAGCTCCCGGCCCCTGCGGTGGCCTGGGTGTGGACTGATGCAGAACTCAGCAGCATAAGTAAAGTGGCCGCACCAGGCTCCATTTGTACATGGGATGGTTTTTCAGTAAGATTTTCTTTCTGCTAATGGGCTACATTTTCGCACACTTTCTAATACATCAGGCCCAGTTAATGGGCTACAAAACAATCATTCCATTCAACAGTCATTTATAGAATACTCCCAAAGTGCCAGACCCTGTGTAAGTTCAAGCAATACAAAAATGAACACGAACAGCTCCTGTCCTCTAAAATCCCCATCCAATGAGCTCCAGGAGGCACCTCTCCTACAACACGCCCCTGCTCTGCACGGCCCTCCTCTCTGCCCTCCACCAACCCAAATCCTCCCCCAACTCCAGCTCAAGTTCCACCCAACCAAGTCCCTCTCAGTCCCCCTGCACTCCTGCCACTTTGAGAGATGACTGCACCCATATCTCTAGGCTTTATGAAATGGATGTCATCTCCCTGGTTTTAGAATTTTCCAGAAAGAAGCCACATCAGTGATTTGCATCAGAACAAGCTTAGGCCCACCCTGAGCCTTCAACTTGGACACAGGCTCAGTCATAGCAGTCCCTGGCCCCTGCAGTGCTTTATAAACACTGCAGTAGCAAAGTCCACAATCAACTCTGTGACAAGTCAACAGGCCGAGATAATTTGAAAACGTGGAGAAAAAAGAATGGTCAAACAAAACCAAAGGGCTTTGACTCATGCCTTTCCTCTTTCCTTCTCTCAGGGAAATAAAGTCACACCCCCTGCTCTCACTCCTGCCTGGAGGCTTCCAAAAAAAGGGCTCCCTTGTTAGCCTTCCCTTCAGCCCCCATGAATATCACCCAGCATTCAAGCCCAGCCTCTCCTCTCCCTTTGAGCACATTTCCTAAAGTCTCAAATAAATGTCAAGTTTAGTGAGTGCTGATATTCTATGCCCCTAATGTTTACTTCAAGTATTATTACCTTTCTTCTTTTGCCCGGGGCCATTTCCAAACAAGGGCTGGAGCCAGGCGCCCCAGCAGCTGGGCAAACACACTTCAGGGCTCCTTCCCTCCTGTGGCTCCTGTTTCTCAAACCCTCTGAGACCTAAAGCTCTGGGGGTCTCTTCCCCCAACCCAGTTCCCTCCCCTTTAGACCAGAACAACTAAGCCATGGCCACCTTCCCGATGGACACACAAGGAGGCCTGGTGTCACCCACTGCTCCAGGGGCGGTGTTCTCGGCAGGGGAGCTGCCTCTTGTCCCGGATCCTGCTCTGCTGCCATCTTATGTGGCTGCAGAATTGGAGGGAATTGTGAACAGAGAGAGGACAGGGCAACTTCCCAGGCAACAACACTACTATTGCCGATATTTTGCCAAGGATGGGAGCAGGAGCACAGAGGGGAAACAGACCTTGTCAAAGTCTCTTCTACCAACACTTAGTATCCACTTTCCTGCCAAATATTCAGATAGAGAGGGTCATTGAAAGGTATAAGGAAATCCAAGCAAGAAAAAAAGATTTGAGGAAGAAATCATGAGGCATTGGGGTGTGAGGAGGCGGGAAAGAGTACAGGAGAGAACTGGCACAGCTGCCAAGTTATCAGTCACCTTCTTATGTTCTTAAGAATGCTGAATTTCTTTTGTTTGACCAGTTTCACCTCCCAGATTCCCATAAAGCACATGGTCTAATCTGTTACGTAACAGCAAGACAGCGTCACCTCACCTGTTCTCGCCCTCAAATGGGAACGCTGGCCTGGGACTAAAGCATAGACCACCAGGCTGAGTATCCTGACCTGAGTCATCCCCAGGGATCAGGAGCCTCCAGCAGGGAACCTTCCATTATATTCTTCAAGCAACTTACAGCTGCACCGACAGTTGCGATGAAAGTTCTAATCTCTTCCCTCCTCCTGTTGCTGCCACTAATGCTGATGTCCATGGTCTCTAGCAGCCTGAATCCAGGTAAACAAGACTGTCTATGAAGGGGAAAACGGGGGGAGAAATGTGGCAAAACAGGCCACAGACACATCAAAATGCAGCTTCTCTTAGCTATGGGGGATGGGGCAAGTGAGCCTTTCTCAATGCCAGTTTCCTCCTTTACAAAAAAACAGCAAACTGTACTTACACCCAAACAATGTTGAGAGAGTTAAACGAGATATTGTATGTGAAAATATCTGCAACTGGCCGGGCGCGGTGGCTCACTCCTGTAATCCCAGCACTTTGGGAGGCCAAGGCAGGGCGGATTACAAGGTCAGGAGATCGAGACCATCCTGGCTAACACGGTGAAACTCCATCTCTACTAAAAATACAAAAAATTAGCCAGACCTGGTGGCACGCACCTGTAGTCCCAGCTACTCAGGAGGCTGAGGCCAGAGAATTGCTGGAACCCAGGAGGTGGAGGCTGCAGTGAGCCGAGACGGCACCACTGTACTCCAGCCTGGGTGACAGAGTGAGACTCCATCTCAAAAAAAAAAAAAAAAAAAAAAGGAAAGAAAAGAAAAGAAGATATCTGCAATTGTAGCTGATCCCCCTCACACACACGTACGTATGTATGTATATACTAGCTCAACAAAGATTTGCTCCCATGCCTTCTCCCCCAACACTTTTCCAAAAGAGTAACATAATTCTCATGGCTAAACTTAATGATGATGGTGGGAGAGTGTTGAAGGCAATGGTACCTTTATAGAAGATCAGGAAGTCCTTGCTTCTATTCTTTACAGTGCACTGGAATGCCACCAACATGTCTTAATGCTATTTACTGGTAACGTAATAAACTAGAAAAAGCCTGTCACCAGGTAGTGTCCATATTTGAAGCTTTATCCATAGCAAGCCCTGCTGTAACAGCTCACATTTTGGGAAGCCGACTTTAGCTTAGGGGTTCCAAATCTGCTCCAGCTTTCACTATAAAGTGGCCCAGCCCTGCACAGAGCAACCACGCAGAAAAGACCTGATCCCCATGTATATTTCCGCTTGTGAGCACCATCTCCCCAAAGGCCACTTTGAGGTGAAATGGCTATGTTACATACTCAGCATCAACTTGGTCCTAAAATCAGGAGGCATTCTCCCTTCTCCACCCCAATTTCCAACATCCCCTCCTTTGTAGAGAGAGTGCTCTGGAAGCTGTTAAGCCCCATAGCCCTAGGGCCTAGACCACTGTTCTGAAAGGGAAGACTTTTCCATCACTATGACAGACACCCAGGCTAGAGTCCTCTGCCTGGATTCAAAGCTGTAGCCCCAACCTGCCTTTCTAGTGTACCTCCCTCTACTCACTAAAAATACTATTTCTCCAACCAAACTAACCTGTTTGCCCTTCCCTGAACAGGTATTGTGTTTTTCCACCAGTTCAACTTTGCTCACACACCCAGCTCAAAACCACCTTCCCACAGCTTCCTTCAGTTCCTCCCACAGCCAGACATGTGGTCTCCCTCCTGAGCGCTGGCTTAGCCCTGCTGGACACTCTCTTCTTGCACTTATCATCTGCTGCCTTATATTGAGGGCCTTCATGTGCCTTTCCTGCCCCCACCCCCTGTCCTTCTAGGCTGCAAACTACTTGGTGACACAGACTGGTGCACTGTTTCCATATCCCTCACGCTATCCAGCTCAGTACTCAGCAAACATTAGCTAACTGCAAGAATGCATCCTCAGGTTGCTAAATCAAACCAGGGCTTCATAGCAGCTCTACTGACATTTGGGCTGAACAGTTCCTTGCGGTGGGGGCTGTTCTGTGTATTGTGAGATGTTCAGCAGCATCCGCGTGGCCTCTCTCCCCTACATGCCAATAGCAGCCTCCCCTCTCCCTCATCCAAACCCCTGTTATGGCAGCCAAAAATATCTCTAGACATCGCCAAATGACCCCGGAGGGGGAACCACCCTTGGTCAACAACCACTGCTCTACACCAATACTTCTCTGCATGGCCACACTTTTAGACTCACCTAGACCTTTACACTCAGCTTGGAAGTCAGGGGGACCTAGATCCTGGCTCTGCCACACACTTTGCAACCCTAGACAAGTCGCCTCACTTTTTTGAGTTTCAGTTTTATCATCTTAAAATGAAGAAAATACCACTTGTCACACACACTTGTGAAGATTAAATGATCCGCAGCGTGTCCTAGAAAGGGTTTAATAAATGGACTGAGTAGTTTCTAAGTCGCTCCTAAAGCACGAGGGTGAGGAACTGGGGAAAGCTCCCTGCGCCACCAGGGGGCGCCATCACAAACCACGTCGAGTGGGTGGCGGCCGGGCTCAAATCTTGTTTCCCAGCCAAGCAAAGTTTTGCAGTGCAGGCCTGAGTCTGAGCTACTTAGTGGCTAAAGGAAATAATAGCTCCTCCATCCCCAAAATAAATCTCAGAATAAAGTCTAATCTTATTTTATCTCTTAATCACATACATGCTCAATATGCTTTTCACAGGGTTAAGGGAAATAGAAATAAGTGAGAATATATGAGGTCATTAGGAAATAAATTACTTAAAATAACAGATTATTCATTAATTATAATATTATTTAATTATAAAATTACTTATAATATCAGACACATTAAGAACTCCTATATCACAAGCATTGTTCTAATCACTTCACACTTACTATCTCATTTGTCCTCACAAATCTAATGCATTTCTTACTTTTTCTTACTTTTCATTTTTCAGACTTTGAAAAATATTGTAAAAATAGAGTTCCAGTACAGCCTTCATCCAATTGTTTTCAAACAATATCTTATGTAACCATAATACAATTATCAAAACCAGGAGATTAGCACTGATACCATAATATTAACTAATCTACAAATGTTCAAATCTTGCTAATCATCCCACTCATGTCCTTTTTCTGCTCCAGACTCCAATCTGGGATCCCACTGAATAAAATGTCAGATCTCCTAGGTCTCCTCCAACCTGGGATAGTTTCTCAGTCTTTCCCTCTCTTTCAGGACCTTGACACTTTTGAAGAGTTCTAGCCAGTTGTTTTGTAGAATGCCCCCTGAATATGGGTTTGTCTGATATTTCCGGCTACACATTTTGGGCAAGAATACTTCAGAAGTGATGTATCCTTCTCTGGACATCCCAGCAAGAGCCCCAGGATGTCGATATCTCTCATTACTGATGAGGTTCACTTTAAGCACTTGGTTCAGGTGGTGTCTGCCAGGTTTCTCTACTGTAAAGTTACTATTCATCTTATTGTAATTAATAAGTATCTTGTGGAGAGACACTTTGGAAATATGTAAATAGCCTGTTTCTTCTCATCATACTTTTTTTTTTCTTGTTATTCACCAGTTATGGCATCATCATACTTTTAATATTAACTTTTAGAATCTATGGATGATTGTTTCCTATAAAGAATTATTACTGTGGTGTTGGCCAAATAGTGATTTTCTACTTCCATTGTTCCTTCTACATTTATTTAATCGGAATTCTGCCATAAGAAAGAGTTATTCCTTTTTCTTTTTCTTTTTTTTTTTTTTTTTTTTTGAGATAGAGTCTTGCTCTGTTGCCTAGGCTGGAGTGCAGTGGTGTGATCTTGGCTCACTGCCGCCTCCACCTTCTGGGCTCAAGCGATCCTCCCACCTCAGCCTCCTGAGTAGCTGGGACTACAGGCAGACACCACCACACCCAGCTAATTTTTGTATTTTTAGTAGAGACGGGGTTTTGTCATGTTAGCCAGGCTGGTCTCTAATTCCTGGCCTCAAGTGATCCCCCCACTTTGGCCTCCCAAAGTGCTGGGATTACAGGCGTGAGCCACCATGCCTAGCCTCTTCCTTATTTATTTATTTGTTCAGTTATTTATTTATATCAGCATGGACTCATGAGTATTTATGGGTTGGAATCCACTACTATCATTATTTATTATGTTGCTCATATTGTCCCAAAATTGGCCATTGGGAGCTCCTTCTAGTTGGCTTCTGTGACCTTTAGACACATCTCCACCATTTTTTGAGCAGCTCCTTACTTTCTGACACCACAAGAAGCTTTGGGCTCCTCTTGTGTTTTTCTGCCCCAGCCCTGGATCAGCTATTTTTCCTGGAAGCCCTAGTTCCTTTCATGGGAGAATGATATTTACAGACTATGGGCACTGACTGATAGGTCCATTGCTAGTAGGTGCTGGTGCTTCTAGGCCCTCTAGTGGTCAGAGCTGGGAAATAACACACACGCACACTCATGTACAGTAGTCCCCACTTAATCGCAGTTTCAGTTACCCGCCAACAGTGGTCCAAAAATATTGTTATCTTGAGAAAGAGACAAAGAGAGAGAGAGACCACATTCACGTCATTTTCATTACAGTATATATGTGTGTGTGTGTGTGTGTGTGTGTGTATTTTATATATATATATATATATATATATTTTTTTTTTTTTTTTTTTTTTTTTTTTGAGACAGAGTCTCTTGTCGCCCAGGCTGGAGTGCAGTGGTGCAATCTCGGCTCACTGCAAGCTCTGCCTCCTGGGTTCACACCATTCTCCTGCCTCAGCCTCCCGAGTAGCTGGGACTAAAGGCGTGCGCCACCACACCTGGCTAATTTTTTGTATTTTTAGTAGAGATGGGGTTTCACCGTGTTAGCCAGGATGGTCTCAATCTCCTGACCTCGTGATCCGCCTGCCTCGGCCTCCCAAAGTGCTGGGATTACAGGTGTGAGCCCCCACCTGGCCTATTACAGTATATTTTTAAAATTGTTCTATCTTATTGTTAATCTCTTACTGTGCCTAATTCATAAATTAGACTTTATCGTAAGTGTATATGTGTAGAAAAAATATATATATAGGGTTTGGTACTATCTGAGACTTGAAGTATCTTGGGGGTCTTGGAATGCATCCCCTGTGGATAAGGGAGGAATATTATTAACCACATCTTACAAATTAGGAAAATGAGGCACAGAAAAGTTACACAACTTTGTCCAAAATCACAAAGCAAATATGTAGTGGATCTGGGAAGTGAAAATAATGACAGATGCACCACAAATCCTAACAAGTGGAAGTAACTTCTTTACACATCCACATCAGCAGAAAGCCACAAGCCCAATATTCCAGCATAGACACTCACTTTGGAAAATAACCAGAATTCCACAGCAATAAACACAATGATAACCATCATGTACTCAACACCCGCCTGGACACTGGGCTCCCACAGCAGCTCACTTATTCCCAACAACTCTGCAAGGAGGATTTTACCACCCTCCTTTCACAAATCAGGGAATCAAGGATCATAGAAGCCAAGTGACTTGTCCAAGTCGACAGTTAAGTGACAGAGCCAGTAGCTGACCCCAGGCCTATGTGGATATAAAGTGCATGCTTATGCCACTGTATCAGTGGTTCCCAAAACTGATTTTAGGTGGAAAGTAAATAAGCTTCTTTTTACTTTAATATTTATGTGTTTATTCCAATGCATGTTAGGAAAAAACTAAGCATACATCAAACCTGTAATTTCACAGATAATATTGCATAGGATGAGGATGTTTTGCAAAATAAATTTGTTTAGAGAAAAAGTATAAAGTGGCCAGGCATAGCATCTCATGCCTATAATCCCAACGCTTTGGGAGGCCGAGGGGAGCGGATCACTTGAGGTTAAGAGTTCAAGACCAGCCTGACCAACATGGTAAAACCTGCCTCTACTAAAAATACAAAAATTAGCCAGGCATGGTGGTGGGTGCCTGTAATCCCAGCTACTTGGGAGGCTGAGGAAGGAGAATTGCTTGAACCCGAGAGGCAGAGGTTGCAGTGAGCCGAGATCACAACACTGCACTCCAGCCTGGGCGACAGAGTGAGACTCCGTCTCAAAAAAAATAAATAAATAATTAAATGAAAAAAAATTTAAACATTAGTATAGCTCTTCTGAAAGCAATTCTTAACTTTTGACCCAGTAATTCCACTTTGGGAACTCTCTCTCAAGAAAATAATCTAAAATTTGGAAAACAGTTACAAGAACAAAGAAATTTACCAACATCTAAAAAATAAAACTTTCTAAATATTCAGCAATGGGAAAGCAGTTAAATAATTTGGAACACATAATTATTGAGAGTATTATGCATTCATTAAAAATGTGTTATGAAGATGACACAGCAACATGCCTATGAATGGAAAAAGAGAATGTGTTTACATGCTATGGTTATCACTATATTAATAAAAAGCATATGTAGGTAACAAATATGCCAAAATACCAACAGTTGGTAAGAATAATAATTTCTCTGTTTGTACTTTCAAAATTTTCTCCAACAGTTAAATTACATTTAGACTGAAAAAAAAAAAAACTTCAGAATTAAGGAATTCAATTAAATAATCTCTGGGATTTCCTTCAAGGTCTAATATTCTGTGGTTTTTCTCTGGAACTAGGAGTAGAGGTCAGGCAAGAGTAAAAATGTTAGAAAAGTTTAAATGGCAGGACCTATGCCTGCTTAAATTACTTTGATAACACTCAAAACAGCACATGAGAACATTGGAAAAGCAGCCCTTGGGGAAATGACGCAACCCCCTCCATCTGTGTGGCAGAAGTCTGGGAAGTAGGAGGCCTGAATTGAACCATATGATCTCTAAGGGTCCTCTCCAAACAACTTATCCATCCACGTGTTGAACAAACATTTGCCAAATGCCTACCATGTGTTAGGAACCACGTACCTGAATGACTACTGAACCAATGGTTCAGAGTCTAGTGAAGGAGAAATATTTTATTTTAGTTTGCTAGGAATGCCATAACACAATACCACAGACTGGGTGGCATAAACAAGAGAAATTTATTCCTCACAGTTCTGCAGGCTGGATATATGAAATCAGGGTGCCAGCACAGCTGGGTTCTGGCAAGGGTCCTCTTCCAGGTTGCAGACAGTGGACTTCTCCTCTTATCTTCAAGAGGTGGAAAGAGAATGAAAGAGCTCTCTAGGATCCCCCCTACTTTTTTTTTTTTTTTTTAGACAAAGTCTTGCTTTGTTGCCCATGCTGGAGTGCAATGGTATGATCTCAGCTCACTGCAACCTTTGCCTCCCGGGTTCAAGCAATTCTCCTGCCTCAGCCTTCCAAGTAGCTGGGACTACAGGCACGCGCCACCATGCCCTGCTCATTTTTGTATTTTTAGTAAAGACAGGGTTTCACTATGTTGGCCAGGCTGGTCTCAAACTCCTGACCTGTGATTCACCCACCTCGGCCTCCCAAATTGCTGAGATTATAGGCATGAGCCACCGCGCCCAGCCCAAATCTCCTTTTCTTATAAGGACACCAGGCAGACTGGTGTAGGGCCCACCATAACAGCCTGATTTTAATCACCTCTTTAAAGGTCCTATCTCCATATACAGTCATTCTGAGGTACTGGGGGTTATGGATTCAACATGTGAATTTCGGGAGACACAATTCAGTCCATAAAAGATTTCAAACAACAACATTACAGTGCAATAACAGAACTGCATTCAACAACAATGGGAACCATATGAAGGTATAATTCATGTTGACAGGAAATATCAGAAACTACCATAAAGGAAGTGTCATCTGAGCCAAGCTCTTACTTGAGAATCTCAAGTCTATAAACCATCATTCTTGATTGTCTTAGGAATTTTTTTTTTTTTTTTGAGACCGTGTCTCGCTCTGTCGCCCAGGATGGAGTACAATGGTACGATCTCAGCTCACTGCAACTTCCGCCTCCTGGGGTCAAGAGATTCTCCTGCCTCAGCCTCCCGAGTAGCTGGGACTACAGGCGCCCGCCACCACGCCCGCCTAATTTTTTGTATTTTTAGTAGAGACGGGGTTTCACCATGTTAGCCAGGATGGTCTTGACCTCCTGACCTCATGATCCGCCTGCCTCAGCCTCCCAAAGTGCTGGGATTCCAGGCATGAGCCACCGTGCCCAGCCTGTCATAGGAATATTTTAAGTATCAAAAAATGGAGATAAGATAGAATCGGAAAATAAAACAGGCTCGGATAAAGGCCAAAAGAAGAATGTATTTGTTCCAGAGGAACAAAGGTAAATACCATCGTTTAATAGTTGAACTGGGACTCTGGATTCAAATACAGCTACTTGGGGTGGGTGTGGTGGCTCATGCCTATAATCACAGCACTTTGGGAGGCCAAGACAGGCGGATCGCTTACGCCCATGAGCTCCAGACCAACCTGGGCAACTTGGCAAAACCCTATCTTTACAAAAAATACAAAAAACTAGCCAGGAGTGGTGGTGCATGCCTGAAGCCTCAGCTACCCAGGAGGCTGAGATGGGAGGACCAACCAAACCCAGGAGGTCAAGGCTGCAGTGAGCCGTGATTGCACCACTACACTCCAGCCTGGATGACAGAGTGAGACTCTGTCTCAAAAAACAAACAAACAAACAAAAAACCCAGCAACTTGGAGGTCAAGGGAAAATCTTGATTTAAGGAATAATCTCCTCCTCGCTCTCACTCTTTTAAGTCATGAGGATTTTAATGTGAGGTATGAGGAGAGGGCAGGAGGTTTCGACAAACCCCTGCCTTTTATCATCTCTTCCATCTAGAAGCCATTCTTTCTCCACCTACCTTCAGCTAAGCTTTTCTCTAGGCCAGATTTTTTTAATCATTAAATTTTTGAATATGCTTATGTATAGGCCAGATTTTAAACCTCAATCCCTTATCGATTAAAATACCCCTCAGCTGGGCACAGTGGCTCACGCCTATAATCCTAGCACTTTGGGAGGCCAAGGCAGGAGGACCACTGGAGCCCAAGAGTTCAAGACCAGCCTAGGCAACACAGCAAGACCCCATCTCAAAAATATAAATAAAAATAAAATATTCATCTCTTGAAGTAACCTAGATTCTTGAAGTAAAAATGGAAAAATGGAACTGTGCTGACCTAGGTAGAACAATGCTGGGAGGATCATTTCTGTGCCCTTTCCAGTGTCTGGATGTGACCTGTTTCCTTCCGACAGGGGTCGCCAGAGGCCACAGGGACCGAGGCCAGGCTTCTAGGAGATGGCTCCAGGAAGGCGGCCAAGAATGTGAGTGCAAAGGTCAGTAATTCAGCAACAACAACAGCGATGGCATCACCATGACCCCAGCTCTCTCCCTTGGGCCCCTCTGAGACCAATGCAGATGTTATCTCAGCTGACCTCACCCATTCCCCTCTCCACAGCCTGCCACATGCAGCACCTGTGCCCACTTTCTTCCTGACTCTCAGGCAAGAACTGGACTTCTCCAAGGTCTAGGGGAAAGCCAGCCAAATGTCAGGCTGCGCCCTGCCCCTTATCCTTTTCCTGAAGAACCCAGAGCTACCGTCCAAAAGCCTTTTTATTTTTTCCTGGCCTTCCAAAAGCTTCCTGAATCCTATTCTCAGCCTTATTTTACTCACAGGCAAGACTGAAAGCAGAGAGGCAAAATGGCTTCCCCAAGGGAAAGTAGCCACTGAAAAGCAGACACCCAAGCCTTACTCCTCATTCTTTGGAGTAATGATATTCTGATGCACCCTCCAAACCTGCCACCAAACCCTTGCCCAAACCCTTGCCCAAACCTTGCCCAAAGTTGTCAGGAAAAACAACTCAGAAATACTGGCATTCAAATAGCTGGATGGACACTGTTCTCTGTTGACCCCTTTTCCCACCCCATTGCAGTGGAAATGCAAGGCACAGAAGATGGCGATTAAAGCTCTGTCCTACTCCCTCCTATCAAATGTATTAACTCTCCCATCTAAGCAGCAATGCTGTTGTTCCAGATTGGTTCCTGAGAGCCCCGAGAAGAAAATTCATGACAGTGTCTGGGCTGCCAAAGAAGCAGTGCCCCTGTGATCATTTCAAGGGCAATGTGAAGAAAACAAGTAAGTTTCCAAAGGATGATTTTCCTTATACCAGAGTCACTCCGTGAAATCACTAGGGAAGAAGCACGTTGAGAATAGAAAAAAGAGGTGAAATTAAGACCAGGATAAGCACACAACTCAGCCCTTTCTACTCAATGTCACCTTGTCGGGAAATAGGAAGAGAGGAAAAGCAGGATACAATTTTCCTGATACTGGAAAGGTTTAACCAAATTCTTAGATTTTAAAACCTCACTGTTTACCAAAGTGGGGGTAGATGGGGCTGTTGGAGATCTGGTCATTAATCTCTGAAGATTACACCAGTGTCAGCATCAAACAGAATTTGACTCCTCCCTAGTCTAGCAGTTTTGTGTTTGTTATTTTGTTCTGTTTTTTGAGTAGGGGGTCTTGCCATGTTGCCCAGGTTGGTCTCAAACTCCTGGGCTCAAGTGATCCTTCCACCACAGCCTCCCAAGGATCTGGGGTTAGAGGTACACACCACCACACCCAGTTTAGTCTACCAGTTTTTAAGTGTCATATAAAAAGTAAATTGGCAGCCGGGCACAGTGGCTCATGCCTGTAATCCCAGTACTTTGGGAGGCCGAGGCAGGCGGATTGCTTGAGGCCAGGAGTTCAAGACCAGCCTGGCCAACATGGTGAAACCCCGTCTCTACTAAAAATACAAAAATTAGCGGGGCATAGTGGTGCATGCCTGTAATCCCAGCTACTCGGGAGGTTGAGGCACGCGAATTGCTTTAATCCGGGAGGTGGAGGTTGCAGAGAGTTGAGATCATGCCACTGCACTCCAGCCTGGGCGACAGAGTGAGACTCTGCCTCAAAAAAAAAAAAAAAAAAAAACTAAATTGGCAAATGTTAAACTGATTGATATTATGATATTATCAAGAATGGGATATATCAGGATCCTTATACACTATTGACGGAAGTAAAATAAATTTGGCTGTATCAAAATTGTAAATGAGTATAATAACTTTAGTAATCTTACTTTAGGAAATCTCAACAATGGAATACTAGCATGGATGCTCAAAATATAGGTACAAGAATATTAATTATAGCAGTATTTGTATTGACAAATAAATGGGGGAAATTTTCTTCAAAGGCAAATTGGGAAAAACTAATTACTGTCAAAAATAATTAAGTAAACCAGGGGCAGTGGCTCAGGCCTATAATCCTAGCTACTCAGGAGGCTGAGGCAGGAGGATCCAGTAAGCCAAGGAGCTCAAGACCAGCCTGGGCAACATAGCAAGATCCTGTCTCTAAAATAAATATAATAATAACAATAATAATAAAAATAATAATAATAATAATGAGATAAATCATTATGTGTTGGCTGGAGAGATATCCACAATATATTAATGAAAAAAAAATGATGTAGAGACCCCCTATTTCACATCCTTCATTAACGTAAGTTTCAGGTGGATTACAGATCTAAATTTGAAAGACAAATTTACAAGGAAATACAGGAGAATATATTCACAACCTTGAGGTATGAAAGCCTTTCTTAAACAAAATACAAAATGCACAAACCATAAAGTAAAAGAGTAAATAAATCTGACTTCACTGAGATTATGAAATTTTGATCATCAAAAGAATAAAATGACAAGCTGCCAAATAGGAGACGATATCTGTAACATACACAACCTTCAAAGGATTAGTATTCAGAATACATATATAAGGAATTGCTACAGACCAGTGAGAGGAGGGCAGGAAATACAACAGACAAACGGGCAAAAATACTTGAATAGCCACTTCACAGATGATGAAACCCAAACAGCTAATAAACAGATGCAATGGCACTCAACCTTATTATTACAAGGAAAATGTGAATTAAAACTAAAGTGAGGCCAGGTGCAGTGGTTCATGCCTGTAATCCCAGCACTTTGGGAGGCCAAGGCAGGGGGATCACCTGAGGTCAGGAGTTCGAGACCAGCCTGGCCAACATGGTGAAACCCCGTCTCTACTTAAAATACAAAAAAATTAGCCGGGCGTGATGGTGCACATCTGTAATCCCAGCTACTTAGGAGGCTGAGACAGGAGAATTATTTGAACCCGGGAGGCAGAGGTTGCAGTGAGCCAAGATCACGCCACTGCACTCCAGCCTGGACAACAGAGTGAGACTCCATCTCAAAAACAAAAACAAAAAAAATGGGGAGAGACATAAACATTCAGACCATAATATATACATAAAGTTTAAAAATGAGAAAAAATAAACTAAATTATTTAGGAATCTATACACATAGGTGGTAAATAATAAAGAAAAGAAAGTAAATAATTACTATAAAAGTCAAGATTATCACTGTGAGGGGGAGAGAAAGCAGTGATCAGAAAAGGAGGGGTGCTGTTGGCAATATTCTATTTCTTTCTTTCTTTCTTTTTTTTTTTTTTTTGAGATGGAGTTCTGCTCTTGTTGCCCAGGCTGGAGTGCAATAGCGCAATCTCGGCTCACTGCAACCTCCGCCTCCCGGGTTGAAGCAATTCTCCTGCCTCAGCCTCCTGAGGAGCTGGGATTACAGGGATGCGCCACCACACCCAGCTAATTTTGTATTTTTAGTAGAGATGGATTTCTCCATGTTGGTCAGGCTGGTCTCGAACCCCTGACCTCAGGTGATCTGCCTGCCTCGGGCTCCCAAAGTGCAGGGATTACAGGCATGAGCCACCGTGCCCGGACACAATATTCTATTTCTAAGCCTAGGTAGTAGTTTCATGAATATCTGCTTTATAACTATTTATTGAATTGCATGTATAGGTTTCTATGAACTTCTATAGATATATAATACTTTGCAATAATAGATTCAGTTGTTTTTTTTGCAGAGGGAGGGGCGCAGTTGAGACAAGGTCTTGCTCTGTCACCCAGGCTGGAGTGCAGTGGCATGATCACGGCTCACCTCCTGGGCTGAAACATTCCTCCTGCCTCAGCCTCCCCAGCAACTGGAACCACAGGTACACGCCACCATGCCTGGCTAATTTTTGTATTTTTGTAGAGATAGGATTTCGCCATGTTGCTCAGGCTGGTCTTTAACTCCTGGGCTCAGGCAATCTGCCCACCTCGGCCTCCCAAAGTGCTGAGATTATAGGCACAAGCCACTATGCCCGGCCAGATTTCTTAAAGGTGCCGACTAAGGCAATACGTATAGTATAATCTCATTTTTGTTTTTAAAATAAACCATTGTATTTATATACCAGAAGGTATGGAAAAATACGTAGCAAACTATTAACAGTGGTTAGCCCTGGAAAATGTGTTGTAGAGGCTGGGGTGGGAGGAGTCCTTTTACTTTTTACTGGATTTTAAAATTTTTTTCCACTGGATGAGTCTTATTTTTATAATTTTTAAAACTCTCATAAAAATTAAATGTTGGCTGGGCACAGTGGCTCACACCTGTAATCCTAGCATTTTGGGAGGCAAAAGCGGGTGGATCACCTGAGGTCAGGAGTTCAAGACCAGCCTGGCCAACATGGTGAAACCCCATCTCTACTAAAATACAAAAATTAGCCAGGCATGATGGTGGGTGCCTGTAATCCCAGCTACTCGAGAGGCTGAGACAGGAGAATCGCTTGAATCTGGGAGACAGTGGTTGCAGTGAGCCAAGATTGCACCACTGCACTCCAGCCTGGGCAACTGAACGAGACTCCATCTCAAAAAAAAATTAAATGTGAAGGCCAGGCATGGTGGCTCATGCCTGTAATCCTAGCACTTTGGGAGGCCGAGGTGGGTGGATCACATGACGTCAGGAGTTCCAGACCAGCCTGGCCAAAATGGTGAAACCCTGTCTCTACTAAAATACAAAAATTAGCCAGCCATGGTGGCAGGCACCTGTAATCCCAGCTACTTGGGAGGCTGAGGCAGGAGAATCACTTGAACCCGGGAGGCAGAGGTTGCAGTGAGTTGAGATCCTGCCACTGCACTCCAGCCTGGGCAATAGAGCAAGACTCCGTCTCCAAAAAAAAAAGAAATGTTAAAAATGGTTTTAACACTAGCCTCTCCCCTTTATTTGCACCCTAGGACACCAAAGGCACCACAGAAAGCCAAACAAGCATTCCAGAGCCTGCCAGCAATTTCTCAAACAATGTCAGCTAAGAAGCTTTGCTCTGCCTTTGTAGGAGCTCTGAGCGCCCACTCTTCCAATTAAACATTCTCAGCCAAGAAGACAGTGAGCACACCTACCAGACACTCTTCTTCTCCCACCTCACTCTCCCACTGTACCCACCCCTAAATCATTCCAGTGCTCTCAAAAAGCATGTTTTTCAAGATCATTTTGTTTGTTGCTCTCTCTAGTGTCTTCTTCTCTCGTCAGTCTTAGCCTGTGCCCTCCCCTTACCCAGGCTTAGGCTTAATTACCTGAAAGATTCCAGGAAACTGTAGCTTCCTAGCTAGTGTCATTTAACCTTAAATGCAATCAGGAAAGTAGCAAACAGAAGTCAATAAATATTTTTAAATGTCACAGATCAAAATTGTTTCCTTCAAATGGGGTCTGCCAATTCACAACCAGATGACCCATTTTACCCTATTCACTGCAGACTGAATCCAGATTCTACACATACTTATCCCCACCAAGACCCTCACTCTGTCTCCATTGGCCTACTTGTTCATCTTTCACTCATTCGACAAATCTTTCTGAGGTAAGAGCGAGGTGGGACAAAAAAAAAAAAGCATACCAATGAACCAGACACGGTCTTATTAAAGATAATATAGGTTTAAAAAAAAAACTTGGCACAGTTTCTTAGCACTTAGGCAGCCTTTGGTATTTATGACTACTATCATCACCATTACCACCATCATTATCAGTCATTGTCATCAGTGGTCACTGTCTTCTGTGAGTTTCCAATCTAGTACAGGATCATAGTTCAGGGCTAGAGAGATGGCATGGAGTATCTCAAATGCCATTCAGAAGGGCCTCAAGCTATAAAAGTGGGAAGGCATGACATTAGTTTTTAACATGAGAGTTAAATGATCAGAATGACAATATAAGGAAATTAAACTAGCAACCTGGCTGGGCGTGGTGGCTCACACCTGTAAACCCAGCACTTTGGGAGGCCCGGGGGCGGGGGGTGGGGGTGGATCACTTAAGGTCAGGAGTTTGAGACCAGCCTGGCCAACATGGCAAAACCCCATCTCTACTAAAAATATAAAAATTAGCCGGGCGTGGCAGTGCACGCCTGTAGTCCCAGCTACTTGGGAGGCTGAGGCAGGAGAGTCGCTTGAACCCAGGAGGTGGAGGCTTCAGTGAGCCAAAATGGTACCACTGCACTCCAGCCTGGGCAACAGAGAAAGACTTGTCTCAATAAGTAAATAAATAAATAATCTGGCAACCATTTGTAGGAATGAACAAAGAGGGAAATAATTATTACAACAACTACAGAGACTGCCCCCTGAATGACGCTTTCCTCAGACATTAGAAGGAAAGAGAAAAAAGGAACACTCATCCAGCATCTGGCTTCTGTCATCCCAGATGACACGGAGGCCTAAATTGGGATGCTTGCCTTATGAGAAGAAACATTTTAACGGAGTGGTGGGTGGGGTGGGGCCCTATTTATGACACAAGAGAGCAAGCCCCTCCCTTCTTGTAAGAGAGTGCTAGGCACATAGCCTCCTCCTATTCCTAATCCTCCCACCAAAGAAAGAGGCACAGAGTTCATTACTTAGTGGGGGCCAGCTGTGATCGGCCAACTGCCAGCTGCCTTAAAAAGGAAGACCAGTGATGCTAGGATGGAGTGAAACCCAAGAGGAAGTGCCATCATGAGGAATCAATGAGAGATCTGTGAAGAGAGAGGGCTGGGTGGGAGCCCAGAAGGATAGAACCTGGAAGATCAATATCTCCCGTGAGGGAAATAACAATGGAGCCAGGTTCTAAGTCAGTGTCTAGGTCAGACTGGCAACCTGAACCACACCAGAGGCCTATAACCCCGCTAGAGCCTGGGCCAGAAAAGACACCCATAGCCCAGCCAGAATCGAAGACTCTGCAGGGATCCAATACCCAACAGAAGCCTGCTTCAAACCAAAGACCCCTCACCCAGCAGGAGACCCCTGCACAACATGATGCTGAATCCCAGAAGGAACCTAGAGCCCAACAAAAATCTGCTTCACAAGAGGAATTTCTTGCCCCACAGAAGCCCGCACCACAGCAATCACCTTACATCCAAAGGGTGCTGCTCACTCAACAGGAAGCTGCCTCCCAGCAGGGACCTGGGCTAGGAAAAGAATCTATAACTCAACAGGAGCCAGCATTGAGACAAAGACATGTAGCCCAGCCAGGGCCTGGGCCAGGAGAGCCACCTCCAGCTCAACAAGAAGCTGAATCAACACCTGCGGCCCAGGCTAAACCTGGAGCCAAAAGGGAGCCATCTGCCCCGACTGAATCTACGTCCCAAGAGACACCTGAACAGTCAGACAAGCAAACAACGCCAGTCCAGGGAGCCAAATCCAAGCAGGGATCTTTGACAGAGCTGGGATTTCTAACAAAACTTCAGGAACTATCCATACAGCGATCAGCCCTAGAGTGGAAGGCACTTTCTGAGTGGGTCACAGATTCTGAGTCAGAATCAGATGTGGGATCATCTTCAGACACAGATTCTCCAGCCACGATGGGTGGAATGGTGGCCCAGGGAGTGAAGCTAGGCTTCAAAGGAAAATCTGGTTATAAAGTGATGTCAGGATACAGTGGGACGTCGCCACATGAGAAAACCAGTGCTCGGAATCACAGACACTACCAGGATACAGGTGAGTGTGAATCTGGAGGAATTGAAGCCTCTCAGGGACAGTCATTCATTTACTTAAAAAATACTAAAAACTTACGGTGTATCAGGTTAGCTCTGGTCATCCTTCAACAATCCTGAGATAAAGATCAACATCCCCATTATTAAAAAAAAAAAAAAAAAAAAAAAAGGCTGGGCGCAGTGGCTCACACCTGTAATCCCAGCACTTTGGGAGGCCGAGGCAGATGGATTGCTTGAGGCCAGGAGTTCAAGACCAGCCTAGCCAAGATGGTGAAACACCGTCTCTACTAAAAATACAAAAATTAGCCAGGCGTGGTGGCAGGTGCCTGTAATCCCAGCTACTCGGGAGGCTGAGGCAGAGAAACACTTGAACCCGGGAGGCAAAGGTTGCAATGAGCTGAGATCGTGCCACTGCACTCCAGCCTGGGTGACAGAGTAAGACTCCATCTCAAAAAAAGAAAAAAACAAAGTCTCACTCTGTCGCCCAGGCTGGGGTGCACTGGTATGATCATGGCTCACTGCAGCCTCAAACTCCTGGGCTCAAGCGATCCTCATACCTCAGCCTCCGGAGTAGGTGGGACTACAAGTGCACCACCATGCCCCGCTAATTTTTACATTTTCCGTAGAGACGTGGCCTCGCTATGTTGCCCAGGCTGGTCTCGAACTCCTGGCCCCAAGCAAGCCTCCCACCTCAGCTTCCCAAAGTGCTGAGATTACAGGCATGAGCCACCGAGCACCTGGCCAACATCCTCATTTTAGAAATGAGGACATCAGGTAGAAAATAAAGAAGTAAGGGTTCTTGCACAGGGCCATGCAGTTAGGAAGTGGCAAAGTCAGGATTTGAAGCCGGGGTCTTTCTCCCCTGGACCAGGCTGCCTCCCTATAGAGGATTTGGGGAAAATCAAATCCCAGAGTGGGAAGGCACTCTGAGCTAGGGACCAGGAGACCAGGAAAGCGGCCCTCTTGCCAGTGTTCATTCATCCATCCACAGAAACTGACTGAGCACCAGCTCTGGGGTAGACACGGGCGTAAGTCCCAGCAATACAATACAAAGACGGTACCTTACCCTTCTGGAGTTTCCAGGCAGGCTAGGCAGAACATTGGGGCATCAACAGTCTCTCAGTTTACCAGGTCTGTCCTCTTCTGCCAGGAAGATACCTGCTCCCTGCCAGGCTGCCTCCATAGGGGACTCAGTCCAGCCAGGCGGAAGGGCCTTGCGGGTTGTGTTCTCAGCAAGGAGGAGCCGGGAGAGAGGTGCGGGAGCCGCCAAGGTCTCAGGCAAGGTCAGGGACTGACGGCAGGAAAGTTGGGGGAGCAGCATCAGAGGATAACGGGCCCAAGGCTCTGGGCTCACCGCAGGCACTCCCTCGCCTTCTCCGCCTCTTCCCGGGGCCCAGTGCTGCCCCCTGCCTGCTTCACAGGAGCCCCAGGAAGCTCCGATCTTCCTTCTCTAGGCTCAAAACCCCTGCCATGGAGAAGGGGGGAATACAAGTTTTATCTATGGAACTGGAGGTTACTTGTTGAAGTCCCCTGATGTGGGGGGAAAAACCAACGCAGCCCTAATCCTGAAGCTGAGGGTATCTGTGAGGCCCTGGTCCAGAGGGCAGGCAATGGCGGCCCCTCCGCCCAGAGGCCAGTCTGTCTTGTCTCTCCCACAGCTGATAAGAGAGTAACGCGTTTCTCAGCGCCGGGGCTGCTGGGTATGCTTTGAGAGGGAAGGAAGAGGGGCGGCAGGCAAAGGCAGGGATTGAGGCCTGCTCTCCCCAGTGCTGAGGATAGAAAGCTGTTTCTCCAGGCCTCCAGAGCACAGTCTCAAGGGATGCCCGCCCCACACCACCGCGGCGGGCGAGGTTGCCTTTCAGGCGGTCCAGAAGCAGTTGGCTGTGTGCGTGTGAGCAAGGCGGTCCAGAAGCAGTTGGCTGTGTGCGTGTGAGCAAGCCTCGAGCCTCCTCTGTTTCCCGCCATTTCTCAAGCATGCGTCGTTCCCTCTACCTCCGCTCTTGGGCCGGCCCGCGGCCTGAAGCTAGTGCGCAGGCGCCGAGCGTTCTCCTACCACCATCCCCCACCCTCATTATCGGGAGCATGGATTAGGGGGCGGAGACAGAGGGAGAAAGATCCCCCAGGAAAAGCGCAATAGGAGAACTAGGAGACAGGAGAGGGAAAGCGGGGCTCCCTCCTCCAACGGCTCTCAGGCACAGCCACGCCTCCAGCGCTGGCGCCCCGCCTCGTCTTTGAGTTGGCAGAGGACCTGGCCCGCCCCCACCCCAGGCAGAGGCTCAGAGGCGCCCCACTTTCCCCCTTCAAAAGGCGGGCCGGGCCGCGTGCTAGGGCATCCCTCCCTGGGAAGGTGAGTGGGATGGCGAGACTGAGCCAGCACATGGGAGGCTTCCCAGCACGTGGGAAGATCGGGACTTCCCTGCTGGGGTGCTCCCCGCGGGGCTCCGCACTAGTCCTGCCCGAAGGACGCTTTTCGCCACCCCCGGGGTTGCCTTTTTGTTGGCCGCGAGCCCTTTAATGCGCGGTAGGGGGCGGAGCCAGATCTTAAATTCTGGCGGTTGGGGGCGGAGCACGGCAGCGGAGGGAGACCAGAATTGGTTAGGGAGCTGGACCCAGAGAAGAGCAAGCTCGGGATTGGGTAATAGGGGGGCCCGACAGTAGTGTGTAGCGAGGATTGGCCCTCCGGGCAGGGCCTCGCGGCTGGAATTGGCCCCCGCGGGAGGACCGCGGGGAATTGATGGAGTTGGCCGGGGGAACGGAGCCCGCCGAGGCCGCTATGGCCCCGGCCTCGAAGAATGCCAAAGAGGGCTCAAGGAGCCACGGTCGCCGGCGGTGGCGAAAAGACAAGGCCAAAGGTGAGCGCGCGGAGACCGGCAGCAGCCCGGAAGGAACCTCGTACATCCTACGGGGCAGTGGGGACAGCGTGGACTGGCCCACTGCCACAGGGAGTTGGGGGGGTCCGCGGACTGGCCCATTGCCGCTTGCGGGGACAACGGGATGATCCATTGTGAGAAGGGGGTGATGTGACAGCCGAGAGGCCCACCCTGGCACAGGGACTAGCTGACGCCCGGATCGGCTTGGGAGCAGAGTCCGGAATGCGAGCTTCGTGGACCAGGGTTCCCGCTCGGATTCCGTATTCGCTGTGTGACCAAGGGCAACGGATGCCCTCAGTGTTTCCCACCTGGGGAATGCTTCAAGCGCCGATGTTCAGGGCTCCAGCGCTCTTGAGAGGATAAGGGGGAAGGAGGTTAGCAGGTGTTACTCAAAGAGGAAGTCTAGCGGTGAGTCAAGGAGAGGTAGGAGGAAGGGGTGCCCATAGTGGAGAGTGCAGCGGGGCCAGTAAAGTTCATCGCAGTCCCGGCCTCCCACCCGGCAAGTCAGTCCATCCATCCATCCATTCATTGTCAGTCAACCCGCTTCAGCCGGCTCCACTGGGGCCTAGCCCTGACCCCTACCCTTTCCAGGACAACGGGCCCTGGCTTGGCTTCAGACCTCCACACCTGCCTCAGCAAAAGGGAAGGCCTCATTTCTCTAGGGTGTCACATTATTTTCAGGTCTCAAAAGGCGGAACAAAGGCTGACAGACCAACAGAAATGCTGCAAGCCTCAGGCAGGGGCAGGTCCTCAGTTACAAGCATTTATCAATCAGCATGGGGACCCGTGGGAGGTTCCCATGCAGGAAGGAAACTAACACCACCCCTCAGCCCCAGGGACCCCAAACTCATTGCTTCCCCTGCCGTAGAACACATCATTAGCCCAGAATAGACCTGGAGTTGGCTTCAGACACACGCAGGCTCAGACAGGCTCAGAGGGCAGACGGACTGGAGCCCAAGGGCACTCGCTGTCACAGCAAGACACTGAGCCTCACACCAGTATAGCATACCCAGAGGCAGTACAGACTGTAGTTAAGAAACGTGGGCGTCGGAGATCCGGTTCCTCAGGCTGGGAGCTGTGATGTTCTGGGCAGGAGACTCCCTCTTTCCCTGCCTCAGCTTTCTGAGCTCTAAAATGGGTATGATGATAGGAGTACCTCCTTTTGTGAGGTTAGAATGAATGTAGAGCGTTTGGCACAGGCACGCAGCAAACCCTCAGGAGAAGTGAAGGTTATTGTTACTGTTAGTCCCCACCGGACGGTGAACATCCTAAAAGCAGGGCTGTATCTGCCTTGTTTACCCTGTATTTCTAGAGCCTGGTATGCCAGGCAAATAGGCACTCAAATATTTATTGGATTAATAAGTGAAGGAATGTGTGAACTGTAACAGAGATCATAATAATCACGCTTCCCTTAGGGTTGTCATGAGGAGTCAGAATCCAGTTGGGCAGGGCTCCCTGCAAAACGAGCCATTCACAAAGGCTCATTCCTGCAAACTCCAAGATTTGCCTGTCATTTCCTGAAGCCCCGCCCTCGTGCCAGGCTTTAGATAAATTAATCAGACCTCACTCCTGCCTCAAGGGCATCTGGGCTGGCTGGAGCAATCCTCGTCATCAGTTTCATCTTGCCAGTAACTGGATGAGGCTAGTGTCCTTAGGATCACCCCATTTCCCAGATGACGACACTGGGGCTCTGAGGGACCAAGGCCGCCTGGGCTTCCTTACTTGGCCAGTGAGGGCAAAGAGATGGCTGCCTCAGCCTCCTCGGGGCAGGGAGTTTGTGGACGCACAACTGCTGTGGGCCCAAACTTGATTCTGGGCCCAAGAGGTTCCAGTCACACAGATTCATTCAGCAGACATTCACTGAACACTGAGCTGTGCCAGGCCTGGGCTGACAGATTCACAGTTGAGCTGGGGACACAGATATTACTCAGATAAGACTATGATTGTAAACTGTGATAAATACAACAGAGAAAAACACCCTGGGAAGATAGAATTGAGAGGCTTCCCAAGGAGGCAATATTGGACCCAAGATGGACAGGCGTTAAGTGCTGTGCAGGGGGCAGGCAGGGGAACAGAGAGGACAGTATGGAGAAAGACCCGAGGCTTGAGGAAACACTGAGTTACAGTGCAGAGGGAGCTCAGCCAGGGCCAGGAGGAAGAGGAAGAGGAAACAGGGCAGGCAGTTTAAGAGAGGAGGATGGTAGCTGGGTACAGCGGCTCACACCTGTAATCCTGGCACTTTGGGAGGCCAAGGTGGGAGGACCCCTTGAGTCCAGGAGTTTGAGGCCAGCGTGGGCAACATAGCGAGACCCCGTCTCTACCAAAAACACAAACATTAGCCGGGCATGGTGGGGTGTACCTGTAGTCCCAGCTACTTGGGAGGCTGAGGTGGGAGGATCAATTGAGCCCAGGAGGTTGAGGCTGCAGTGAGCTGTGATCGCACCACTCTACTCCAGCCTGGGCAACAATGAGACTTTGTCTCAAAAAGAGAGAGAGAGAGGAGGATGGTACCTGGCTTGGGAGGCCATGTGCAGGATTGGGGGCTTTATCCTGAAAGCAAGGGAGGGGGTGTTGAAGGGTTGGAAGTGTGTGAACAGATTTGTGTGCTAAAAAGATCCTGTGGCTGCTATGTGGACAACAAATCAAAGAGAACAAAATCAGAAATATATAAAGATCTGTCATAGTCACCCAGGTAATGATGCTACCGCCTGGACCAGGGAGGAGGCAGTGGAGGTGGGGAGAAGGGCCAGGTTCCAGAGGCCTTTAGTAGGCATAGTGGGCAGGACTAGGGGATGGATTGCATGGGAGTTGGGGGGTGGGGAGGTGGCCAGGATGACATCCTGGGTTCCAGCTTGAGCAAATGGGGAGAGGTTTGTTCTCAACACACACACAGAGACCAAGACACGCACAAGCATGTATATCCATTCATACATAAACAAACACGCCCACACAAGCTCACAGGCCAAGAGAAACAGAGACACAGATACATTCACAGGCATACAAACATTCATACCTTCAAATGTACCAGTGCCGACGGACACAGGCCAGGACACACGCCAGCCATGACACATACCTGCAGAGGTACATATGTACACGTGAACCCCAGACACACTCACACCCGACCAGAAAGCATATACTTTGAAGCACAGACAGAGGGAGCAGCACACAGAAACACAGCAGAGATCAGCAGCTCTGCCCTGGAGCTGCCCCCTGCTGGCCGTGTGACCCCGGGGGTTATGTCACCTTTCTGTGCCTCAATTTTGTCATCTGCCAAAAGGGATGATAATGGTCTCTCCCTCATAGGTTGTGGGGCAGGCGACATGAGTCACTTCACATAAAACACATAAAGAAATCTCATCACCTCCTTTGAGAATGAAAAAAAAAAAAAAAAGAAAAGAAATCCCAGCACTTTGGGAGACCAAGGCAGGAGGATTGCTTGAGCACAGGAGTTCGAGACCAGTCTAGGCAACACAGCTAGACTCGATCCCTATTTTTAAATTAAACACACACACGCACAGAGAAAGAGACCAGGCACGCAGAGGCTGTTGGTGCAACGTTTGCTCTTTTATGCACACACTCTCGGGGATCCAGCCACTCATTGTCCCCACCTGCATCTGATTCCAGGCTTCCTGGCTTCAGAAGCCTTTGCTTCCTCCCAGGCCCCACACCTGGCCCTTCCTCCATCCCCCATCCACCCCCACCCCACTTCCTTCCCCACCGCCCTCCTTACCCCTGCTCAGTCCCCAGGAGTCGGATTCAGCTGTCCAGAAACTCTTCAGGGCAAAGAAAGGTCCAGTGCCCAGTCAGTGGGACACCACCCAAAGCCAAATCCCCTCTGCCCTACCTCTCCCCTAGTCCTTACCCACGGCCCCAGTGGGCCTACCCCTGCCCCAGTGCCCTCTGCCAGGGATTCCTGGCGAGTTGCTGGCAACCTCAGCATCCCTTCCTGCCAGCTCCACCCAGCCCAGTCCTCGGGGAGCCGCCTGGAACAGG
Source organism: Homo sapiens (assembly GCF_000001405.40). Classification (NCBI taxonomy): domain Eukaryota; kingdom Metazoa; phylum Chordata; class Mammalia; order Primates; family Hominidae; genus Homo; species Homo sapiens. Next base: position 42,419,407 of record NC_000019.10, on the reverse strand, counting down.
ACAAAGGGCAGAGCTCTGGAGTCCCTAGGGCCTGGGTCCAGCCCCTTCCCCACTCCTTTGTGCAGTCACTTGTTTTGTTGGAAATGTCCCCTCTCCTCATCTTTTTATTTATTTTATTTTAATTTTTTTGAGACAGAGTTTCTGTCTTGTTGCCGAGGCTGGAGTGCAATGGTGTGATCTTGGCTCACCGCAACCTCTGCCTCCCAGGTTCAAGCGATTCTCCTGCCTCAGCCTCCCGAGTAGCTGGGACTACAGGCACGCGCCACCATGCCCGGCTAATTTTGTATTTTTAGTAGAGACAGGGTTTCTCCATGTTGGCCAGGCTGGTCTCGAACTCCCGATCTCAGGTGATCCACCGGCCTCAGCCTCCCAAAGTGGTGGGATTACAGGTGTGAGCCACGGCGCCCGGCCCCCACTCCTCATCTTAAAAGATCCCTACCGGCATGGATGCTACCACTTTACCAAGGGGCGGCAGTGCACCAGGCACTGTCCAAAGGCTGAATAAAAAAGGCAAAAGTCCCTGCCCTCAGGGAGTTTACAATCTAGTGAGGGAATCAGAGAGCAAACAATATAAATTCAGGCATGTCTCAGAGATATTTGGGGTTCAATTCCAGACCACTTGATAAAGTGAGTCACACAAATTTGTTGGTTTCCCAGTGCATAGAAAAGTTATGTTTACACTATCCTGTAGTCTATTAAAGTGTACAACAGCATATGTCTAAAAATACCATGTACATATTTTAATTTTTTTTTTTCTGTAGAGACGGAATCTCACTATGTTGCCCAGGCTAGTCTCGAACTCCTAGCCTCAAGTGAGCCTCCTGCTTTGACCTCCCAAAGTGCCAGGATTACAAGCATGAGCTACCACGCCTGGCCCCATACTATGCTAATGATCATCTGAGCCTTCAGCAAATCCTCATCTTTTTGCTGGTGGAGGGTCTTGCCCCAGTGGTGGTGGCTGCTGACTCACGAGGGTGGTGGTTGTAGAAAGTGGCTGTGGCAGTTTCTTAAAATAAGGTAACAATGAACTTTTCTGCTTCGATTCACTCACAAAACTGTTCTCTGTAACATGTGATGCTGTTTGATAGCATTTGGTCCACAGTAGAACTTTCAAAATTGGGGTCAGGCCAGGCACGGTGGCTCACACCTATAATCCCAGCACTTTGGGAGGCCGAGGTGGGCAAATCACCCAAGGTCAGGAGTTTGAGGCCAGCCTGGCCAACATGGTAAAACCCCGTCTCTACTAAAAATACTAAAATTAACCAGGCGCGGTGGCAGGCACCTGTAGTCCCAGCTACTCAGGAGGCTGAGGTAGGAGAATCACTTGAACCTGGGAGGCGGAGGTTGCGGTGAGCTGAGATCGCACCATTGCACTCCAGCCTGGGCAACAAGAGCGAAACTTGTCTCAAAAAAAAAAAAAAATGGGGGTCAGTCCTGTCAAAGCCTGCTGGTGCTCTATCAGCCAAGTCTATGTCATAGTCTAAATCCTTTGTTGCCATTGTTCCTGCTATCAAATGTATTTCTGTTTTTTTATTTTTTTATTTATTTTTTGTAGAGGGGGAGGGTCTCACTATGTTACCCAGGTTGATCTCAAACTGGCCTCAAGCTATCTTCCTGCCTTGGCCTCCCAAAGTGCTGCGATTATAAGTATGAGCCACTGCACCCAGCCTACAAAATGTATTTCTAAATGTATTTCTATTTTTTATTATTTAATAAGACTTAGAGCTGGGCATGGTGGCACATGCCTGTAATCCCAGCTATTCAAGAGGCTGAGGCAGGATGATCACTTGAGGTCCAGTGTTCAAGACCAGGCTAGGCAACACAGCCCTGTCTCTTAAAAAACACAAAAAATTAGCCAGATGCAGTGACTCTCCCAGCTACTCAAGAGGCCAAGGCAGGAGGATCTCTTGAGGCCTGGAATTCAAAACCAGCCTAGGCAATATAGCAAGACTCTGTCTCTAAAAACCTGGAAAAAAAAAAATGAACCAGGCATAGTGGTGCCCATCTGTAGTCCCCACTACTCAGGAGGCTGAAGTAGGAGGATCACTTGAGCCCAGAAGTTCAAGGCTGCAGTGAGGTATGATCGTGCCACTACACTCCAGCCCAGGTGACACAGCAAGAATCCATCTCTAAAACTAAAAATTTTAAAAATAAGAATAACAAATAATAAGACTTAAAAGTTGAAATTGGCCGGGCGCAGTGGCTCACGCCTGTAATCCCAGCATTTTGGGAGGCCGAGGCAGGCGAATCACGAGGTCAGGAGATCGAGACCATCCTAGCTAACATGGTGAAACCCCGTCTCTACTAAAAATACAAAAAATTAGCCAGGTGTGGTGGCGGGCGCCTGTCGTCCCAGCTACTCAGGAGGCTGAGGCAGGAGAATGGCGTGAACCCGGGAGGCGGAGCTTGCAGTGAGCTGAGATTGCGCCACTGCACTCCAACCTGGGCGACAGAGCGAGACTCCGTCTCAAAAAAATATAATAATAATAACAAATAACAAGACTTAAAAGTCGAAATTACTCCTTGGCTGGTGGGCTGCAGAACAGATCATGTGTTAGCGGGCATGAAAACACATTAATCTACTCCACCAGGGCCCTTTGGTAACCACATGCATTGTCATTGAGAAATATTTTGTTGTTTTCTGTGCAGTCCGTCTCAACAGTGGGCTTGAAATATTCAGTAAACCATGCTGTAAACAGACGTGCTGTCATCCAGGCTTTGTTCCATTTAAGAGCATAGGCAGAGTACATTTGGCGTAATCCTGAGGGCCCTAGAATTTCTGGAATGATAAATGAACACCGGCTTCAACTGAGTCACCAGCTGCATTAGCCCCTAACAAGGGGGTCAGCCTGGCCTTGAAGCTTTGGCGCCCAGGCACTGACCTCCCCTCCAGCTAGGAAAGTCCTGGATGGCATCTTCTTCCAATACCTGGTGGTTTTATCTACACTGAAAATATGTTGCTTAATGTAGCCGTCTTCATCAATGATCTTAGCTAGATCTTCTGCATAACTTGCTGCGGCTCCTCCAGCAGCACTTGCTACATCACCTTGCACTTTTTTTTTTGAGACAAAGTTTCACTCTTGTTGCTCAGGCTGGAGTGCAATGGCACGATCTCGGCTCACTGCAACCACCGCCTCCCAGGTTCAAGTGATTCTCCTGCCTCAGCCTCCCAAGTAGCTGGGATTACAGGCATGCGCCACCACGCCCGGCTTCTTTTTTGTATTTTAAGTTGAGATGGGGTTTCTCCATGTTGGTCAGGCTGGTTTCAAACTCCCGACCTCAGGTGATCCACCTGCCTCAGCCTCCCAAAGTGCTGGGATTACAATCGTGAGCCACGATGCCCGGCCGTCACCCTGCACTTTTATGTTACAGAGATGCCTTCTTTCCTTAAATCTCATGAATCCACCTCTGCTAGCTTCCAACCTTTTTTCTGCAGCTTCCTCACCTCTCTCACCCTTCAAAGAATTGAAGAGGGATAGGGCTTCGCTTGGGATTAGGCTTTGGCTTAAGGAAATGTGGCTGGTTTGACCTTCTATCCAGACCGTTCAGACTTTCTCCATATCCACAATAAGCCTAGTTCACTTTTTTTTTTTTTTTCCAGACGGAGTCTCACTCTGTCACCCAGGCTGGAGTGCAGTGGCGCGATCTCGGCTCACTACAAGCTCCGCTTCCCAGGTTCACGCCATTCTCCTGCCTCAGCCTCCCTAGTAGCTGGGACTACAGGCACCCACCACCACGCCCGGCTGATTTTTTGTATTTTTAGTAGAGCTGGGGTTTCACCGTGTTAGCCAGGATGGTCCCGATCTCCTGACTTCGTGATCCGCCCGCCTCGGCCTCCCAAAGTGCTGGGATTACAGGCATGAGCCACCATGCCCAGCTAAGACTGGTTCACTTTCTTATCATTCATGTGTTCACTGGAGTAGCACTTTTAATTACTTTCATGAATTTTTCCTTTGCATTCACAACTTAGCTAACTGGCAGAAGAGGCCTAGTTTTTAGCCCGTTTCAGCACTGGACATGCCTTCCTCACTAAGCTTAATCACTTCTGGCTTTTGATTTAAAATGAGAGACATAAGACTCTTCTTTCACTTGAACACTTTGAGGTCATTGTAGGGTTGTTAATTGGCCTGATTTCTATTTTATTTTATTCTATTTTTCATCTCATTTCATTTATTTGAGACAGACTCTCGCTCTATTTTCCAGGCTGGAGTACAATGGTGTGATCTTGGCTCACTACAACCTCCACCTCCCGGGTTCAAGCGATTCTCCTGCCTCAGCCTCCCGAGTAGCTGGGATTACAGGCACACACCACCATGCCCAGCTAATTTTTGTATTTTTAGTAGAGATGGGGTTTCAGCATGTTGGCCAGGCTGGTCTCAACCTCCTGACCTCAAGTGATCCACCTGCCTCAGCCTCCCAAAGTGCTGGGATTACAGGCATTAGCCACCGTGCCCGGCCTCAATATTGTATGTCTTAGGGAATATGGAGGCTCGAGAAGAGAGATGGGGGAAATGGCTGGTCAGTGGAGCAGTCAGAACACACACAGCATTAATCGGTAAAGTTCGCCCTCTTACGTGGACATGGTTGGTGGTGCCCCCACTCACAATAGTAACACCAGAGATCATTGATCACAGATCATCATAACAAATATAATAATAATGAAAAAGTGTGAAACACTGTGAAAATTACCAGAATGTGACACAGAGACACAAAGTGAGCAACTGCTGTCAGAAAAATGGTGCCAACAGACTGGTTTGACGCAGGGTTGCCACAAACCTTCAATTTGTAAAAAATGCAGTATGTGCGAGGCACAGTGAAGCAAGGTATTCCTGTAGTAAACTGTATAGTATGCTAGATGGTGACAAGTGCCGCAGAGAAAAATCACCCAATACACCATCTCAGGAAGGCCAAGTGAGCCCACAAAGCAAACCACATGCAGAACATGCCGGCCATGGCCCCACTTATAAATTATGTCTCCCACCCTGAGCCAGCAGAACAGCCAAGTGCAGTTTCCAGATGAGGAAAACAGACTCATCCAGGGTCGCCAGCAAGGGCTTGGGCCATCTTTCTTTCCTTTTCTTTTCTTCTTTCCTTTCTTTCTTTCCTTCCTTTCCTTTCTTTCTTTCCTTTCTTTTCTGACAGAGTCTCGCTTTATCGCCAGGCTGGAGTACAGTGGCGTGATCTCAGCTCACTGCAACCTCTGCCTCCTGGGTTCAAGTGATTCTCCTGTCTCAGCCTCCCAATAGTGGGGACTACAGGCATCCACCACCATACCGCTAATTTTTGTATTTTTAGTAGAGACGGGGTTTCAGCATGTTGGCCAGGATGGTCTCGATCTCCTGACCTCGTGGCCCACCCACGTCGGCCTCCCAACGTGCTGGCATTATAGGCATGAGCCACTGTGCCTAGCCCACATCGTCCCATTTTCACAGCTGCAAGCCTAACACTGCCTCCTGAGGCCTCTGTCTATCCATCTGTCTGCCAGCCCTGGGGAGGGGCCGTCCTCTCCTGAGCTAACTAGCCCCTCTGCCCTCGCTCTGCTTCTTCATGCCTTCCTTCCTGCTTCATATATCCACTGAGCACCTGCTATGTGCCAGGTCCCATGATAGGCCCCAGGGCCACCTGGGGGATGACAGTCCGGGACAGAAGATTCACTTCCAGCCAAGCAAATGACCCTGAGGCCTCAGAGCCCCTCAGTCACACAGGCCCCTTTCAAGGCCCTAATCTTTTTTGTTTTGTTTTAAGACAGAGTCTCGCTCTGTCACCCAGGCTGGAGTGCAGTGGCACGATCTTGGCTCAGTGCAAGCTCCGCGTCCCAGGTTCACACCATTCTCCTGCCTCCGCCTCCCGAGTAGCTGGGACTACAGGTGCCCACCACCATGCCCGGCTAATTTTTTTGTATTTTTAGTAGAGACGGGGTTTCACCGTGTTAGCCAGGATGGTCTTGATCTGCTGACCTCATGATCCGCCCGCCTCGGCCTCCCAAAATGCTGGGATTACAGGCGTGAGCCACCACGCCTGGCCCAAGGCCCTAATCTTGTATTTGTAATTCTGTATTTCTTCTTCCTAAAGGGCCACACCCCGGTACCTTATAAGTTTCATGGCTCCATAAAACCTAGTCCTGTCCTGGGGGAGATGAACAAACACGTAAACAAATTATAAAGTGTCAAATGGCAGGATGGAACAGAACTAAATATCATGGCAGAAAATAACGGGGGCGTGCATATCTTAGCTGGGGAGAAGCAACTGGGGAGTACCTCTTGGAAGTGACAAGCTGAGGCCAGACAAGGAATCTGTGGAATGACACGGGTGAATGACATGGGTGAGGAATCTCTCTCTCTGAGCCTCTGTTTCCCTGTGTGAGGTGGGGATGCCAGTCACAGCAGGGTGGGCTGAGAGGGGTAAGTGGCAGGTCCAGGTTACCCAGTGTGGTCACACCACCCAGTAGGACCGACAGGCAGCTCAGGCCCCTAGCTGAGCCTGGCACTGCCCTTAATCGGCTTTTGTCCTTCCAGGAGGGACAGGCAGGGCTGGCTACCTCCTCTCTCCCCCCAACAGCTGGGGCTGGCTGTGCCAGGGCCAGACTAGGAGGCGGGAGCTGAGATCACTGGGCCTTTGGCTCCCTGAGTCCTCTCTGGGGACAGAGAGGGCAGCCTGGCTGGGTGAGAGGGGACGGTTTGTTCAGGACTGGGGCTAGGACTCCTGGGTCCTAAAGGATGAAGGGGCTGGGGGCCTGGACTCCTGGGTCTGAGGGAGGAGGGGCTGTGGGTGTGGACTCCTGGGTTCTAAGGCAGAGGAGCCTGTAACAGGACTACCAGTTGAGCTGAGTCTGGGAGCAGGTGGGGGGCAGAGCAGGGAGCTGAGCCCTCTACTCTGTTTACAGCACGTGGTCCTCACTGATCTTTCTGGGTGGGAGGTGGCTTGTGCGGCTACACCCTGGGCAGGCCAGCCCCGCCCCCGGGTTTATTGCCCCAGGCTGCTACTGGCACAAGCCACAGACCAGCAGTCCCAGCCCAGGGAAGCTCGGAAGATGCCTAGGAGGGGTGAGTGTCCAGCCAGCTGAGAGACGGGAATGGCCGCTGCCAGGCCCCAGGACCTAGAAGGGAAAGGAAATACCTTCTTCTAGGGGAACAGGCAAGGTGCTGGGCTTTGGGAGGGAAGTCACTGGAGCAGATGGTAGCATTCCACCAAGGGCAGCTTGTTCAGGACCTGGGTGACAGGGCATCCAAGAAACAGGGCAGCCTGAATGGCTGGGAAAGGATATCAGAGGAAAGATCACTGGGGACTGGAAAGTGTGGAGATCAGACGTAGTCCAGGGCAAGTTTTGAGATGTGGCTTCCAGAGTCCTAGCGGGGAGCCCCACATAAGTGTGGCTGTGGACCCAGAGAGCTGGGTTTACAAAAGCTCTGCCACTTGCAGTGCAACTTTAACCTCCTCACTTAAAACCTGAGCCTCAGTTTCCTCTCCTGTAAAATGGGGATGCTGGCAATAATAGAGATTTGAACCTAGGTGGTGTGGGTCCCAGAGGGTTAGCACGCTAAAGCAGCAAACACACAGAAAGCTCTCAGCACGGGACCTGCACGGATATGCTCAAGGTCGACACCAGTGATGAGTATCGCTGTTCCAGGCAGGGGAGCAGGGCCGGCCATGCAACCCAGGACCAGTGGACAAGCCTGAAGGCCAGGGGACCCCACTGGGGGAGAAGCAAGACTGAGTTTTGGGGATCTCACAGAGAAACAGGGAGGGAACTGGGATTTGGAGGGGGTTCCACAGCCAGACTTGAAGGATGAGGAATGACTCTTCAGTGAAGTCTAGAATTGTGAACTCCTGAGTTCAGGGAGAGCTGCGCTTGGGGACCAGGGTCCCGAGAGATGGGAATGGGAGGGCTGGGGCTGAACTCTCCCAAATGTTGTTGGAGGGGAAGGGCCTATGGGTAGCACTTGGGGCCTAAGAAGGAAAGATGGGATGGGGGACCCGGACTCCTGGGTCCTGAGAATGGGGACCAACTGGAGGTTTAGACTTCTTGGAATCTAGGAGAAGGAGTCTTGGGCCCCAGGAGAATTCATGGAGACAGGTGACTAGACTCTTGGGTTCCTGGAAGGAAGAAAGAAGGACCGGCAGCCTCCTGGATCACAGGAGAGGTGAATGAGTTAGGGAAGCAGAGTCGTGTGGGCTCAGGGAATGTCCGGATTCAGGAGGCCAGGGCAGCAAGTTTCTGAGTCCCAAAGAGGTGATAGCAGGGGCTCCTGGGTCCTGAAGAGGAAGGGCTTGGGGCTTGGACTCCTGGGTCTGAGGGAGGAGGGAGCTGAGGGCCCAAACTCCTGGCTCCCGAGGAGGGACAAAGGCACTGGGAACTGGGGCCCCAAACTTCTGATTCCCAGAGACAAGAGGGTGACCTCTTATGTCTAAGGGAGGAGGAACCTGGGGTCCTGGGCCCCTGGAACTGAAAGAAGACAGCACTGAGGTTTGAAGGAGGAGTGGGTAAGCTATGGCCCAGACTCCTGGGCCCCAGCTAAGCAAGGCTTGATCCAGCCCCACCTAACAGGCCTCCCCACCTGCCCACAGCCTCAAGGCTCATCCACAACATGGACCTGCGCACAATGACACAGTCGCTGGTGACTCTGGCGGAGGACAACATAGCCTTCTTCTCGAGCCAGGGTCCTGGGGAAACGGCCCAGCGGCTGTCAGGCGTTTTTGCCGGTGTACGGGAGCAGGCGCTGGGGCTGGAGCCGGCCCTGGGCCGCCTGCTGGGTGTGGCGCACCTCTTTGACCTGGACCCAGAGACACCGGCCAACGGGTACCGCAGCCTAGTGCACACAGCCCGCTGCTGCCTGGCGCACCTCCTGCACAAATCCCGCTATGTGGCCTCCAACCGCCGCAGCATCTTCTTCCGCACCAGCCACAACCTGGCCGAGCTGGAGGCCTACCTGGCTGCCCTCACCCAGCTCCGCGCTCTGGTCTACTACGCCCAGCGCCTGCTGGTTACCAATCGGCCGGGGGTACTCTTCTTTGAGGGCGACGAGGGGCTCACCGCCGACTTCCTCCGGGAGTATGTCACGCTGCATAAGGGATGCTTCTATGGCCGCTGCCTGGGCTTCCAGGTGAGCCCCCTGCCCCGTGCCCCTCTGGGCCCACAATGAAGGCACCTGGTGGCCCCTGGCCTGGCCTATAGTATGGTAAAGTAACCAGTGGTCAGCATTATCGGACTCAGCAAACAGCAGGTACAGAAAGGAGAAGTTGGCTGGAGCTCAGACAGAGCTGCACCAGGGGTCTCAAACTCATGGTCCCTAGGTCATATCTGCTAGGTGGTAAGAAATGCAACTTGCAGAGCTTTTTTCACCAGGATATCCACTACTCTCTATTGTCCTACATGCAAGAGATGTATTCACTCTTTGTTACCTGTCTGGCCCCTGAAGTCACTTGAGTTTGAGACCCCTCAGGGAGGGATCTGGAGCCATGTGACCCTATAGTCATTCTGGCCCTCTCTGGGCCTCCCCGCACCTCAGCCTCCCCCTCCCACCCCACATCTCCAGGCTTCCCTTCAGGCTAGCCTATCCTCAGCAACCCAGCCCAGGCATTCCTGGAAACCTCCCCTCACCAGGGCTGAACCCACAAGTATTGATCAGCCCAGCTGGGCCAGCCAGCTCCTCCCTGTGTCCCAGCCGTGACCCTAGAGTCATGAGAAAGAGATCCCGGGGCTGCCCAAACCAGCATCCCAGCCACAATAGCCAGGCATCAGGTGCCCTCTGGCCTACTGGGCGCACAGCCAGGGGCAGGGCCCAGCTCTGCCTTGGTGCAGGGCAGTCTCCCCTTTAAAATGTCCGTCCCCGGGAGGGCAGAGGCCTCCCCTGTCTTGGTCACTGCTCCAGCCCAGTGTCTAGCATGCAGTAGGAACTTGGCCAGTACAGAGTGAACAGAAGAACCCGCCAATCCCTTGCCTTGGCCTCCTATGGCTCCATTTCCTCTAATCCTGTGTCCCCATTGTATTTTTTTTTTTTTTTTTTTTTGTATTTTGTTTAGTAGAGATGGGGTTTCACCATGTTGGCCAGGCTGGTCTCAAACTCCTGACCTCAAGTGATCCACCCACCTTGGCCTCCCAAAGTACTGGGTTTACAGGCATGAGCCACTGCACCTGGACCCCACTGTCTTTCCTTAACTGCCTGTCTGCTCTGTCAGACGCTGTCTCTCCCTGCCCCCGTGGTGGCTGGCTGGTCCTATGTCTAGGCCTCAGTCTCCCTCTCTGACTGTCTTTCTGCCTCAGGTCCCTGTGCCTGGGGGGCTGTCTCTGGCCATCTCCCTGTTCCTGTCTTCCAGCTGCCTCCTCTCCCCATCCATCCTCTCTCTGACTTTCAGGAAGTCCCTGCACCATCCTACTCCCCACCTCACAGCCTACCAGTGGCACCACCCCGCACTGGGAATGAAATCCAAATTCCTCTGCCCAGGCCCTATATGAGCCCCCTTTGCCTCTCCAATGTCACCACCTGCCCCTCTCCCCACTGCTCACTCTGCTCCAGCCACACTGGCCCCCTGACTGTCGCTACCCAGGTCAAGCACCAAGCATGAGCTCACCTTTTTTTTTTTTTAGAGACAGAGTCTCGCTCTGTCGCCCAGGCTGGAGTGCAGTGGTGTGATCTCCACTCACTGCAACCTCTGCCTCCTGGGTTCAAGCGATTCTCCTGCCTCAGCCTCCTATGAGCTCACCTTTAAGCCTTCATGCTCTCTGTTCCCTGTGCAGGGAACACCCTCCCCTCGCTTCAGTCAGATCTCTCCTCCGAGACCCGCTAAGTAGCCTGACCCCTAGTCATCACTGGTGCCCTCTCCACCTACTGCCTTTTTTTTTTTCCAAACCATTCGTCATTCCTTGTCATGATACTGCGCGTGGCTTTGCTTATCTGCTGATCATTTGTTTTCCCTTTGAGAACATCAGGTCCGTGAACCAGCCGAGAGCTATGCCCAGCACACAGTAGGAGCTCATGAAACGTTTACTGAATGAATGTGTCTTCCCCGCACATCCCTGTGCCTCGCTCCTGCCCTGTCCCCATCCCTCTCTTGAGCGGTGGGTGACGCAGCCGCGTCTCTCCACAGTTCACGCCTGCCATCCGGCCATTCCTGCAGACCATCTCCATTGGGCTGGTGTCCTTCGGGGAGCACTACAAACGCAACGAGACAGGCCTCAGTGAGTCCCAGCCAGGTTCTACTCGCAGCCTACTCTCTTGGCCCTCCTCCCCACTCCTGCCCAAGCAGCCTGACCCACTGGGGCTCCCTGACACCCCTTCTGACCCCTAGGTGTGGCCGCCAGCTCTCTCTTCACCAGCGGCCGCTTTGCCATCGACCCCGAGCTGCGTGGGGCTGAGTTTGAGCGGATCACACAGAACCTGGACGTGCACTTCTGGAAAGCCTTCTGGAACATCACCGAGATGGAAGTGCTATCGGTGAGGGCCTGTTGCAGATGGGGACACTGAGGCCCAGAGACTCATCTGAGGCCACAGTAGGTCTCTGTGGGGCTCCAGGCCCAGGGATGGCACACAAGGGGAAAGACTGGGGATCAGAGGGAGAGGTGAAGGGCACCCCTGCAGGCAGACCTTCCCTAGCACCCCTTCTGTCCCCTCCCTCCAGTCTCTGGCCAACATGGCATCGGCCACCGTGAGGGTAAGCCGCCTGCTCAGCCTGCCACCCGAAGCCTTTGAGATGCCACTGACTGCCGACCCCACGCTCACGGTCACCATCTCACCCCCACTGGCCCACACAGGCCCTGGGCCCGTCCTCGTCAGGCTCATCTCCTATGACCTGCGTGAAGGACAGGTAGGGTTCCAGCCTCAGCCAGGGACAGGGACAGAGCCGAGGAGCGTGGGCAGCCCCCACCTTGGCATCCCCATGGAGGGGTGCAGCCCTGGCCAGCTCTCCCCAACCTCACACACCGTCTCCCTCCTCACCCCCAGGACAGTGAGGAGCTCAGCAGCCTGATAAAGTCCAACGGCCAACGGAGCCTGGAGCTGTGGCCGCGCCCCCAGCAGGCACCCCGCTCGCGGTCCCTGATAGTGCACTTCCACGGCGGTGGCTTTGTGGCCCAGACCTCCAGATCCCACGAGCCCTACCTCAAGAGCTGGGCCCAGGAGCTGGGCGCCCCCATCATCTCCATCGACTACTCCCTGGCCCCTGAGGCCCCCTTCCCCCGTGCGCTGGAGGAGTGCTTCTTCGCCTACTGCTGGGCCATCAAGCACTGCGCCCTCCTTGGTGAGCCTCAGGCCCCCACAGCCACCTGCGCCTGCTCCCATCCCACCCAGCTTGCTTTAAGCTCCTCCAGCCTCAGCCTCACACCCTCTACCTTTCTCTCCCCCCACACCTCCCAGCTCCTGCTCACCCAGGTCCTGCCCAATCTTCCACCTCAGCCACTTTATCCTCTGTCCCCAACTGTGGCACCCAGACTCTCCATCTCCTCCACCTCCACTTCCCACCCACCGTCCTGTCTCCCTGGGCCTCTGTCGTCCCCCTCTGATAGCTCCAGGCCCTGCTCTCCTGTCCTACCAGCCTCCTGGCCCACAGTCCAGCTTCTCTGACCTCCCTCTTCGAAGATCAACATCTTGGGAGGACACTGAGGCACAGAGCAGAGTGTGGCCATGCCCCAGGGCACAGAGCTTGCAGCCCAGCCCCTCTGTACTGACCCTGAACCCTGACCTTCCATTCCCGCCCTCTGAGGCCCCCCTCCTGCAACAGGCCTGAGCTCAGCTCCCCTTTCCCACCACCTGCCCTCCCTGCTCCCAACCTCCAGCCCCGACAGACTTTCCCAGTGCTTCCCTGGGCCTCTCCAGGTCCTGAGTCATCCTGACCCTCTGTCTACCACATGAGCCCAAATCTGTGCCTCAGTCTGCCAGTCTCTAAAACTGCAGTCTGCTAGGCCTTGGAGTGCCCCACACCCCACCTTGGAGAGCCCAGTTCTCCCAGCTTGAGTTCCTCCCTGCCCTCCTCCCCAGGCCTCTGCCCCTGCCAGGTTGTCACCAACCACCCCTCTCCCAAACCAGGCTCAACAGGGGAACGAATCTGCCTTGCGGGGGACAGTGCAGGCGGGAACCTCTGCTTCACCGTGGCTCTTCGGGCAGCAGCCTACGGGGTGCGGGTGCCAGATGGCATCATGGCAGCCTACCCGGCCACAATGCTGCAGCCTGCCGCCTCTCCCTCCCGCCTGCTGAGCCTCATGGACCCCTTGCTGCCCCTCAGTGTGCTCTCCAAGTGTGTCAGCGCCTATGCTGGTGAGGCCCACACCCTCAGCAGGGAAACAGGACTGCATGGATGTCTGACTCCTGCAGGGACGGGCTGGGGACCAGGACTCCTGTGACTGAGGAAGGAGAGGCCAGGCAGAGGAATCTAAGACTCCTTGTCCCTTTTTTTTCGTGTGTGTGTGTGTGTGTGTGTGTGTGTGTGTGTGTGTGTGTGAGAGAGAGAGAGAGACAGACAGACACAAGGTGTCATGTCGCTCAGGCTGAGTGCAGTGGCTCAAACACACCTCACTGCAGCCTTGACCTCCCAGGCTGAAGCAATCATCCTGCCTCAGCTTCCCAAGTAGCTGGAACTACAGGCGTGCACCACCACTACCACGCCCAGCTAATTTTTGTGTTTTTCGCTATGTTGCCCAGGCTGGTCTTGAACTCCTGGGCTCAAGCCATCCTCTCGCCTTGGCCTCCCAAAGTACTGGGACTACAGGCGTGAGCCACTGCGCCCAGCCTCCTTATCCCTTTTGAAGCGATTGGATATTCTCGGGTCCCTGGGACCACAGATGCCTGAAGTTCTGGGCGTTAAAACTGGGCCCAGAAAGGGGAAAACAACTCAGCTACCCACATATATTCTGCAGGTGCAAAGACGGAGGACCACTCCAACTCAGACCAGAAAGCCCTCGGCATGATGGGGCTGGTGCGGCGGGACACAGCCCTGCTCCTCCGAGACTTCCGCCTGGGTGCCTCCTCATGGCTCAACTCCTTCCTGGAGTTAAGTGGGCGCAAGTCCCAGAAGATGTCGGAGCCCATAGCAGGTGAGTGATTCACTCCCGTCACATGCCCAGCCAGGGTGGGCAGGAGGGACAGCCTAGCACAGCAAAAGTCCCAGGGAAGATGCTGGGCATGGTGGTTCAGACCTGCAATCCCAGCACTTTGGGAGGCTGAGGTGGGCAGATCACTTGAGGTCAGGGGTTCAAGATCAGCCTGGTCAACATGACGAAACCCTGTCTCTAGTAAAAGTACAAAAATATTAGCCAGGTGTGGTGGTGCACACCTGTAATCCCAGCACTTTGGGAGGCCAAGGTGGGCAGATCACTTGAGGTCAGGAGTTCGAGACCAGCCTGGCCAATATGGCAAAACCCCTTCTCTACAAAAAAATAAATTAGCAGGGTATGGTGGAGTACACCTGTAGTCCCAGCTACCAGAGAGGCTGAAGCATGAGAACCGCTTGAACCTGGGTAGCAGAGGTTGCAGTGAGCCAAGACTGAGCCTCTGTACTCCAGCCTGGGTGACACAGCGATACCTTGTCTCAAAAAAAAAAATTTAAAAAAAGAGTACGCTTACTGGGCTGTGGTGAGGTCTGCCTCCAACCATTTGGCCAGTACAATATATGGCACCCAGTAGGTGCTATTAGAAGATGCCAGCACCCCTGGTGTGTCCATTCTGTTCCAGTGACCCTCTGGGCCACAAAGTACTTAAGTAGTTATTCTCACATTGTTTTGCACCTCACCTTCGTAGATTTATAAAGACAAGTAAGGCTGGGTGTGGTGGCTTACGCCCATAATCCCAACACTTTGGGAAGCCAAGGCAGGCGGATCACTTGAGGTCAGGAGTTCAAGACCAGCTTGGCCAACATAGTGAAACCCCATCTCTATTAAAAATACAAAAATGGGCCAGGCGCAATGGCTCATACCTGTAATCCCAGCACTTTGGGAGGCCGAGGCGGGCAGATCACGAGGTCAGGAGTTTGAGACCAGCCTGACCAACATGGTGAAACCCCATCCCTACTAAAAATACAAAAATTAGCCGGGCATGGTGGCATGCATCTGTAATCCCAGCTACTCAGGAGGCTGAGGCAGGAGAATCACTTGAACCCAAGAGACGAGGTTGCAGTGAGCCGAGATCACGCCACTGCACTCAAGCCTGGGTAACAGAGTGAGACTGTCTCAAAAAAAAAAAAAATACAAAAAGTAGCTGGACATGGTGGCATGCCTGTAATCCCAGCTACTCAGGAGGCTGTGGCGGGAGAATTGCTTGAACCCGGGAGGCAGAGGTTACAGTGAGCCGAGATCGCACCACTGCACTCCAGCCTGGGCAACAGAGCAAGACTCCATCTCAAAAAAAAAAAAAAAAAGTAAAAAACTAAAACTGTAGCATCTTGGCCCTCATGGTAGGCAGTGTGGGTCTGATAAAATGAACAGAGCTGAGGCCAAGCTGGGCACGCCAGGTGGGCTGGAAGTGTATCTTTAGCATCGTTTGGGCACTTGCTTGCCTGGTCACGTGAACGGATAAAACTGAAGAACACAAAGGAAATGTGGGGAAGCAGATCCATGTGGCTACAGGTGCCAGACCCCTAGAAATGTGATACACCCTGGAGACTTGTTAGCTCCCTGTGAACAGAGCCTCCCTTCAAGCCACTGGGCCTGCTTACTATTCAAATCATTTTGATCCATTTACACCTTGTGGTAAGTGTAATCCCAGCACTATGGGAGGCCGAGGCGAGCGGATCACTTGAGGCCAGGAATTCGAGAACAGCCTGGCCAACATGGCGAAACCCCATCTCTGCTAAAAAAAAAACACAAAAATTAGCCGGGCATGGTGGCACATGCCTATAGTCCCAGCTACTCAGGAAGCTGAGGCACGAGAATCACTTGAACCTGGGAGGTGGAGGTTGCAGTGAGCCATGTTCTTGCCACTGCACTCCAGCCTGGGTGACAGAGCGAGACTTTGTCTCAAAAAAAAAAAAACAAAAAACGATATATTATGATCCCCAGTGGGTAGCGGTACCTAATCCCACATCTTATCCCACTGAGTCCTGCCACCTATGAACCAAGGACTATTTTCATTTCCTTGATCTAGAAGAAAAAATAGGTTCCTAGAGGTAAACTGCACCTAATCTTCCCAGTCACACACACACACACACACACACACACACACACACACACACACACACACACATCCTTCACTAGAACACACTGCCCCACTGCCAAGACCCCCACCATGACCACCTGGGGCATCTGGAACTCCACCCATCCCCTAGGCAAGAGTCTGGGGAAACACAGCCTTTCACAGCGCTCCACAGGCGACTGCCCTTCCCATGGCATTCCCTGCCAGCCACACACACAACCAAACTAACGGAGCCAGGCCTATCTGCTCTCCCTCTCTCAGAGCCGATGCGCCGCAGTGTGTCTGAAGCAGCACTGGCCCAGCCCCAGGGCCCACTGGGCACGGATTCCCTCAAGAACCTGACCCTGAGGGACTTGAGCCTGAGGGGAAACTCCGAGACGTCGTCGGACACCCCCGAGATGTCGCTGTCAGCTGAGACACTTAGCCCCTCCACACCCTCCGATGTCAACTTCTTATTACCACCTGAGGATGCAGGGGAAGAGGCTGAGGCCAAAAATGAGCTGAGCCCCATGGACAGAGGCCTGGGCGTCCGTGCCGCCTTCCCCGAGGGTTTCCACCCCCGACGCTCCAGCCAGGGTGCCACACAGATGCCCCTCTACTCCTCACCCATAGTCAAGAACCCCTTCATGTCGCCGCTGCTGGCACCCGACAGCATGCTCAAGAGCCTGCCACCTGTGCACATCGTGGTGAGCGACAGAGGGGGCCGGTACAGGTGCATTTAGAGAAGAGCAGGGCACCCGGGGAGGAGGGGGACCGGGCACGGGTACACCTGGGAAAAAGAGCTCCGGAGTGGGGAGAAAGGGACAGGCGTGTCCCCAGGGGAGAACAATGCCCCGAACGAACGGGAGGAGGACAAGAGTCAGGGCTGCCTCCGTTTTACTTTGCAATTTTGAGTACCAAGAGACAGGATCAGTGGGGCAGCCCCTTGGGCTTGGAGAATCAAGAGAAAAAAAAGGTGGGTTTGGCGGGGTGGGGAGGGAGAGGCTGGAGAGAGGCCGGGGATCGCAGTTAAAGTCATTCTCCCATCCTTCCCACAACTCCCCCCATTCCCTCCATTCTCTCCCCAACTCCTCACCCACCATGTCTCCTGCCTCCGTCCACTCCGTCTGTATCCGTATTTCCCGCTCCCTTTGTTCATCAAACCCCTCCTCGCTCTACCCGACCCCGGTCTGTCTGTCCCCCACCCTCTCTCCACGTCCCTCCCCGCTGTCCCGTAGGCGTGCGCGCTGGACCCCATGCTGGACGACTCGGTCATGCTCGCGCGGCGACTGCGCAACCTGGGCCAGCCGGTGACGCTGCGCGTGGTGGAGGACCTGCCGCACGGCTTCCTGACCCTAGCGGCGCTGTGCCGCGAGACGCGCCAGGCCGCAGAGCTGTGCGTGGAGCGCATCCGCCTCGTCCTCACTCCTCCCGCCGGAGCCGGGCCGAGCGGGGAGACGGGGGCTGCGGGGGTAGACGGGGGCTGCGGGGGGCGACACTAAAAGCCTGTTGTTCCCATCTGCGCCGGCCTCCGTCATGAATGCCTTCCGGGCCGGGCGGAAGGGGACGCGGGCTGTGCCTTACTTAAGTCGGGGGTGGCAAGGGGGCGGGGCGGGGGCCCGAAAGCTGAGACCCTCGCCACGGGGAGGGGGACGCGCACACACACCGGTCACCGAGACGGCTGGACCTGCACGCCACCGCTGCCTTTTGCTGCTGCTGCTGCGGCGACCGCCGCAGGGACGGGGACTGGCCCTCCCTTGCAGGTCGGTTTGGTTTGTTGTAAATAAAAGTATTTAATTAGTTTGGCCTCTCTCAAATACGGTGGGGTGTTTGCCCACCAGGGGGCAGCATCGGACTCAAGCGGCTGGGAACCAAGAAACCTGGAATGAGGGGTATGGGGGACTGGATTTTTGGGACCAGAAGGGAGTGGACTCCTTGGTAACCCGGACCCACCTCCCCTCGGACTTCATCCAGGTACACTGCCAGGAGATGCTGGGTCCTCAGCTCCTCCCCTTGAAGACCTTCGGTTAGCTGGACTCACCCTGGTCCCAGGGAGACCAGGCTCAGCATCCATCAGGGGGATATAAAAGTTAAAAATAATCTCTCGGGTCTCAAAGGCTCCAGTGACCCAAACACCCTACAGAACTGGAGCAAAGTTAGCAGGAAATCAGAAACAAACTGGCGCTCAAAATACTGTAAATGCAGCCGGGCACGGAGGTTCACGCCTGTAATCCCAGCACTTTGGGAGGCAAGACAGGAGGATAGCTTGAGTCCAGGGGTTTGAGACCAGCCTGGGCAACATAGACCAGTCTCTACAAAAACATTTAAAAATTAGCCGGGCGTGGTGGCACACTCCTGCAGTCCTACCTACTCAGGAGGGTGAGGCAGGAGGATCACTTAAGCCCAGGAGTTCGAGGTTGCAGTGAGCTATGATCGCACCACTGCACTCCAACTTGGGCAAGAGTGGGACCCTGTTTCCAAAAAAACAAAAACTGGAAATGCAAGCTCTGTCCAGCTGTGACAATCAACTCTTGGACCAACTCTCTGGCCCCTTGTAAGCCCTGAGTTTGGAGTTGAGATGATTTATACCCAAGACATGCCTTCAAAGGGCTTCTGATCCTGGATTCAGAGAGGGTGGAAGAACAGACACAGGCTGTCACAGTCCCCAGGGGTTCCACCTGTGGTAGTCAGGGAGGGCTTCACAGAGGTGGTGATCTGAGCTTGACACTACAGGATGAACAAAAGTCTGCTAGGAAGAAAAAACATGCCAGGTTGTGAGAGCCAGCTGGCAGTGATCAAAGCTGCCACCTGGCTAGAAAAAGCTTCCACCTGACCAGAAGGTCAGGTGCAAAGTGGGGAGGGGCGTGAGGGGCCTGGAGTGGTCAGCAGGAGCAGGGCCTGAAGAGCCTGGAGTACGATTTGGACTAAACTGGAGGGCAGTGGGGAGCCACAGGAGCACTTTGAGCAGGAAAGGGCCAGGGTCAGCTCAGGGCACTGAAAGATCCTGCTGGGACACTGGGGGATGGACAGAAAAGGGCAAAACTGGAGTCCTACAGGCCAAGGAGGATGCCTGAGCTGGGGCAGGAGCCGTAAGGGTAGGGAGTGTAGGTGTAGCATCCCAGAGCCATAAAAGGTGGGAAGGACAGCACCTACTGATGAGGTTACAGGACAGCAAGGGGACAGAGATGACACCCAGGTCTGGCCATGGAAGCAGGTGGACAGTGAAGCTGTCTCTTCAATGGGAGGAGGCTCAGGTGTGTGTGTGACAGGTGGGACCTGTGGAGGGCCATTCTGGACATGGTGAGCTGGAAGGTCTCAGGAAGACAATCCAGGAGACAACAAGGGTCAGAAGTGCAGTCTGGGGCTGGGTGTGGTGGCTCACACCTGTAATCCCAGCACTTTGGGAGGCTGAGGCGGGTGGATCACCTGAGGTCAGGAGTTCAAGACTAGCCCAGCCAACAT
Source organism: Homo sapiens (assembly GCF_000001405.40). Taxonomy (NCBI): domain Eukaryota; kingdom Metazoa; phylum Chordata; class Mammalia; order Primates; family Hominidae; genus Homo; species Homo sapiens. The sequence continues at coordinate 42,399,851 of NC_000019.10, read as the reverse complement.
GGTGAAACACTGTCTCTACTAAAAATACAAAAATTAGCCAGGTGTGGTGGTGCACGCCTGTAATCCCAACTAACTGAGAGGCTGAGGCAAGAGAATCGCTTGAACCTGGAAGGCAGAAGTTGCAGTCGGCCGAGACTGCACCACTGCACTCCAGTCTGGGCAATAGAATGAGACTCTGCCTCAAAAAAAAAAAAAAATGCAGTCTAGGTGGAACCAAGGGACTAGAACCTTTCCAGGAAGCCTGGGCAGGTGGGACAAGCAACAAGAGGGCCAGGACAGAGACAGCCCTGAGGATCACACCCCTAGTAAAGGGGTGGGCGGGGGTGGGCAGTGGAAGGCAAGGCTGGCGGGTTCTAAGGAGCAGCCAGAGAGGGAGGAAGCTGCCCAGGAAGGAGGATGTAGGGTGAAGGGAGTTTCAGGGAGTGGACCAGGTCAGATGAGGATTGAAATGTTACCCTCAGGTGTCAGCAATGAGCAGGTGACCTCAGTGACCTTGTCCAGAGCCACTGCAGGGTCATGGCCGTTAGGCAGCCAGACATAGTGGGTTGAAGAGGGAGTGGAAGGTAAGGGATTGAGCCAGTGGGCGCCACAAGAGAGCCTGATACAGGGCACATGTGTTTAGAGATGATGGACATGTTTGAATGCTGGAGGAGTGGGAGAGACTGAAGATGCAGAAACAAGAAAGCCGTTTCCTCACGGGGTGCGAAGCAAGGGATCCTCAGCTCAGAGGTCCTCGTTCACCCAGCAAGTGACTTCTGAGTCAGGGCCTGTGCTGGGGCAGGGAGCTGTAGCCCAGAACTCTTCCTGAAGGTCCAGATCCACTGGCCTGAGTCACCACTCTCCTTGTCCAACTCATAGAACCCCTTGGTCACCTCTGTCAAAACAGTCACTACCCATCAACCTGCTCCTCTTTTCCTGTCCCCACCTCAGAGATGGCTCCACTGTCCTCCAGACTAGAGCTCTGGGTCTCATGCTGGACAACCCCTTGTCCCATAGCCCATCAATCCCCACTTTCTGTTCTCTCTGCCTCCTGAATCTCCTTATTTATTTTTCTTTCTTTCTTTTTTTTTTTTTTTTTTTTTGAGATAAGGTCTCACTCTTGTGCAGGTTGGAGTGCAGTGGCACCATCTTGGCTCACTGCAGCCTCGACTTCCCGGGCTCAAGTGATCCTCCTGCTTCAGCCTCCTCAGTAGCTTGGACCATAGGCATGCACCACCACACCTGGCTAATTTTTCTTTTTTTTTTTTTTATTTTGAGTCTCACTCTGTGGCCCAGGCTGGGGTGCAGTGGCGCGATCTCAGCTCACTGCAACCTCCCCGTCCTGGGTTCAAGCAATTTTCTGCCTTAGCCTCCCGAGTAGCTGGGATTACAGGTGCCCACCACCAAGCCTGTCTAATTTTTTGCATTTTTAGTAAAGACAGGGTTTCACCATCTTGGCCAGGCTGGTCTTGAACTCCTGACCTCGTGATCCACCCGCCTCGGCCTCCCAAAGTGCTGGGACTACAGGAGTGAGTCACCGCGCCTGGCCACACCTGGCTAATTTTTTGTAGAGATGAGGCTGTCACTATGTTGCCCAGGCTGGTCTTGAACTCCTTGGCTCAAGTGATCTTCCCGCCTCAACTTTCCAAAGTGCTGGGATTACAGACACGAGCCACAGCACCAAGCCTTGCCTCCTGAATCTCTATCTTATCCCCTCGGCCTCTTCCCTGATCCAGGCTCCACTCTCTCCTACCTGAATCCCTGCCAGAGCCACCTCCTGGGCTACTGGCTTCCAGTCTCATTCCTCCAGTTCTGGACCAACTATGACCTTGTCCTCCACTACTCTCAACCCTTCCATGGCTCTCCACTACCCCCTCACCCTCAGGACAAAGTCCAAGCTCCTCAGCCTGGCCTCTGCTCATCTCTTCGGCCTCCTCCAGCCTTACAGTTCCCCTGCTGGCCATACAGACTTGACTGGCCTTCCGCTTAGGCACCTGCACGCAGTACTGCTCCTGCATGCCTCCCTGTCTTTGGTCACGCTGAAACACCCTCCCCACACCCATTTTGCCTGGCATCTCCACTTTGCCTGGCACCTTCTGCTCCTCCAAGATCCAGCTCCAATGGCCCCTCCCCTGGAAACCCTTTCCCGACCACGCCAAACTCAAAAAAGTCTCTCCTGGGCTCCCACCGTCTCCGCACACCCATGCCCATCAACGTCCATCCTCCCATCTGACCCGGGCTCCTTGAGGGCACGGCCCAGGCCTGACTCATCTTGGTCACCAGCATCGCCCAGCACGAGGCTTGGCACACCAGAAGCCTCAGGAAATGTTTGTCTAACTAATAGGTGGGAGAGTGTGTGAGTGAGTGGCTAGACGAGGGAATCCGTGAGTGAGAGAATTGAGGGCAGGAAGGGCAGAACGGATGAAGGAACAGGAAGGCAGGAGCAGACGAGAATCAGGCTTAGGGTGGGAGGAACGGATGGATGAATAACAGATCCAGTATCCCGGTCTCAGTTTCTCCAAGAAAGCAAGATGGGTTCGCCGGGACTGAGCTCCTCCCCCCTCCGCCTCAAGCCTCACTAAGCCTCACGGTTTTCCACCCGAGCTATGTGCAGAATCCTAATACTAGGCGTGCTGGAAAGGGCTTACCCGGCCAGACTCGGAGAACCCGTTCCCTCGCGAGCCCGCTCGGGCCTCTGCGGAGTGGACCAGGATTCCGATCCCTCAGGTTCCGGGTCTATTGGCCGACTGACTGGGCCTGGCAGAGACTGGCGTCTCCGAAAGCCTATCGCTGCCCGAGTTGGGCTGTGGGCCCCGCCTACCAGGCAAAGGGTCCTGAGTGGCCCAGGGAGGTAGAAGGCCGAGTGTCCATTGGCTGGAAGATAGTGACTGACGTCATGGATAGCTTTCGCCGCCAGACTCCAAAGAAGCGCCTCGCGTGTCGGACCCGCCTCCGGAGGGACTGAGTCGGGGTGGGAGCCCTGGGCGTAGACGGTCGCAGAATGGTCGTGAATGGAGTTTCTGGCCCCACATACCTAGGCTGTTTGCTGACCCGATCCTTGGGTCTTGAGGAAGGTTGGGGATTTGAGAGTTCAGACTCCTTGGTTCTGAAGGAGGAGAAGTCTGGGACCCGAGGAAGGAGGGACTAGGGGCCCGGACTCCTGGGTCAGAGGGAGGAGGGGGCTGGAAACCTGAAGGTTTGGTGTCTAGGAGCGGGAACTCCGGGATCTTGAGTCACTCGCCCGCCCAGGGATGACAGGTTTGGGGTTCAGGATTTTATGAGGCTATTTATGGGAAGGGAGCCAGGCCTTACCCCCAGGCAAGTGTTCTGGGTAATGAGGCGGAGCTTGTAATGGAGAGGGAGAAGGAAGAGGCTCAGGGGAAGCTCTGGCCTGGATATGCCCTTTCCTCATCCCGAAAAGGGAAGTCAGAGGCAGGTGCTGTCTGCAAAAGGAACCCAGAGCTAGAGGAGACTGGAGACTCACGTGAGACTAAGAGAAAAATAGAGATACCAAAGGGGAGATGGCAAAAATAAAACAGTAATAATAACAGAGCTCTCTTGTACTGAGTTTACTGTGGCCTGGTTCTGTGCTGAGCATTTTACATAATTATCTCATGTCTTCCTCGCCACAGCTCTGAGAGATTGGATTATTATTAGTAGTATTATCCCCAGTTTACAAGTGAGAAAATTGAGGCCTAGTGAGGGAGAATCCAGATACAGATGTAAAGATACAAGAGAGACACAAAACATAGATGGAGATAAACAAAGAGTTACAGGCCCAGAGAGAAAAAAGAAAACGCAGGCAACAAACAAAAGGAGAGGGGCTGAGAGCTGGGACTCCTGGGGCTGGGGAACTGGAGAGCTGGGGACCCGGACTCCTGGGTCCTGGGGAAAGCAGGTCCAAGGATGGGGTCTCCCAGATATTTTCTCCCGTGAATCCACGATACTAAGCTTGTCCAACCCTTCTGACTGTGGGCGTGAGCCTGGTTGGGGTCGAAAATAGTGATTAGGAGGTGCACTTGCATCATGAGCCTATTAGGAGGTGATAAGAACATGATTCATGGCGGTCTCCTTCGCCTGGAAGGGACCTTTCCCCCATGGCCTCTGTTCTTTGATCTGGACAGATCTGGCCTTCTCTGTCCCTCCCCATCACTGCATCTCGGTCACTCAGAACTGTCACTGAGGCCCATTGTGGAGGCAGTGGGCCACCTTGGGGCAGCAACAGCTTTCCTGGTGGGGGTCATCTCTCTGGGTCTCTCTGCTTTCCCCCAGACCCTGAACCGACCAGAGGTCCTGGCACATTGCAGGGGCTCAGGAAATGCTCATGGAATGAATGGACAGAGATCCCCGTCTCTGGGCAGCTCTTCCTCTGTCCCAATCCAGCCATCGTTTTTCTGTGTCACCATCACGTCTCTTACCCTCTCCCTGGCCTCACTGGTCCCCTCCCACCTTCCCTTTCAATCTCCTGTTTCTCCTTGAGCCACTGGGCCCACTATCCCCATTAGGGAGAAACCAAGGCTCATCTTGGAAGGATCTCTCCCAGGGGTCACCTATGGGATGTTATGTAAGGGAGTGGCCTCACAGCTGAGAGAAGGGTTCTCAAGATTCCAATTATAGACACACTCCCAGCACCTCAGAATCAGAAATGCAAGATCACACCAAACACGTGCCATCACAATTTGTGTTAGATTTGATCTTGCATTTGCACCCACACAAAGAATCACACACATGCAGCAATATAATCACCTACAAGCACAAACACAAATATAGGCACACAACCACAGAATCGCCCGTGATCACAGCACACAAGAAATATCCTATTCCACATGCAAAACAGACACCCCAGCGATGCAGTTACATGGCCAGTCACTGAGAGGCCACTCATCCAGCTCCTACCAGGAGGACCATGAGCAAAGACCTGGGTTAATTCCCTACTGTATCCCCGGCAACCAGAAGAACACATCATCGTCATCAGCAGCAGCAACAAAAAATGTTTCCTATGTGACAGGCACAATTCCAAGCACTTTTTTTTTTTTTTGAGGCGGGGTCTCACTCTGTTACCCAAGCTGGAGTGCAGTGGTGCGATCTCAGCTCACTGCAACCTCTGCCTCCCGGGTTCAAGCGATTATCCTGCCCCAGCCTCCCAAGTGGCTGGGACTACAGGCACCCACCACCATGCCCGGCTAGTTTTTGTATTTTTAGTAGAGATGGGGTTTCACCATGTTGGCCAGGCTGGTCATGAACTCCTGACCTCAGGTGATCCGCCCACTTCAGCCTCCCAAGGTGCTGGGATTATAGGCGTGAGCCACTGTGCCTGGCCGCACTTTTTATTTAATGCTCTCTACAACCTTATTTGCAACAACCCATCTTATAGGTGGGAAAATTGATATCTGAAGAAGTTTAGTGACTTGCCCAAGGTTTCACAGCCACTGACAGGTGGTCAGAATTTGGTGGGTTTTGTTTTTTTTTTTTTTTGAGATGGAGTCTCGCTCTGTCACCCAGGCTAGAGTGCAGTGGCACAATCTTGGCTCACTACAGCCTCCGCCTCCTGGGTTCAAGCAATTCTCCTGCCTCAACTTCCCAAATAGCTGGGACTACAGGCACATGCCACCACACCTGGGTTTTTGTGTGCGTTTTTAGTGGAGACGGGTTTTCACCATATTGACCAGGCTGGTCTTGAACTCCTGAACTCAAGTGACCTGCCTGCCTCAGCCTCCCAAAGTGCTGGGATTACAGGTGTGAGCCACCGTGCCCAGCCAGCAGTCAGAAATTGAACCCAGGCTGGGCATAGTGGCTCATGCCTTTAATCCTGACACTTTAGGAGGCCGAAGCAGAAGGATTGCTTGGGCCCAGGAGTTTGAGACCAGCCTGAGCAACATAGCAAGACTCCGTCACTACAAAAAAATTTTAGAAATTAGCTGGCATGGTGGTGCACACCTGTGGCCCCAGCTACTCAGGAGGCTCAAGTGGGAGGATCACTTGAGTCGGGGAGGTCAAGGCTGCAGTGAGTCCTCCCACTCATTGCACTCCAGCCTAGGGAACAGAGTGAGACTTTGTCTCAATAAAAAAAGAATTTGAGGGTGGGCACGGTGGCTCACGCCTATAATCCCAGCACTCTGGGAGGCCGAGGTGGGAGGATCACCTGAGGTTGGGAGTTCGAGACCAGTCTGCCAAAATGGAGAAACTCCATCTCTACTAAAAATACAAAAAATTAGCCGGGCATGGTGGTGCATGCCTGTAATCCCAGCTACTCGGGAGGCTGAGGCAGGTGAATTGCTTGAACCTGGGAGGTGGAGGTTGCGGTGAGCTGAGATCACACCATTGCACTCCAGCCTGGGCAACAGGAGTGAAACTCCATCTCAAAAAAAAAAAAAAACACGAATTTGAACCCAGGCTTTCTGGCTCCAGAGTCCATCACATAAGGCTGCCATTCAATAAATAATTGCTGCCTTAATCCAACCGGAATTACAGAATCACAGTAACTGCAAACACACCCAAACAGCAGTGCACAGTGTGTAGACTCACAGGAGGGCAATACAGACACACAAATAGAAGAGACCCTCTCATATCACACCGCAGACCACAGAAAAAGCACAGAGACACATCATGACAGTTGGGGGTTGTCATGACAATTGGTCACAACCACACACAGAGACACAATACACCCAAACACAGGGGCACACCCAGAGCTCCCCAAGTCCCTCCTGTTCTGCTCCCAGCCCCGCTGGGCTGGCCTTCAAGGAAACAGCAGGTTGAGGAAGGGAAGGGGGACCACGCCACTTGTCCGCTCTGCCGGACCGGTTCCACCAGGGCCACAGATGGCACAACCCACCTTGTGAAACCCAAAGTGATGACTGACCCACATTGGGCAACTGGACTGAGACCTGGTCTGGATGCCTGGGTTCTGGGGAGAAAGGGGCTGGGAGCCTGGACTCCTGTATTTCCAAAGGAGGAGGGGGTTGGGTGCCCCATTCCTTCTAAGGGGGAGGAGGAGGATTAGGACCTGGACTCGCAGATCCTAAGGAGGGAAGGCTGGGGCCTGGACTCCTAGGTTCTGGGAAAAGAGGGGGCTGGAGTCCTGAACTCCTCTGTCTTTGATGGTAGGGTTCCAGATTTAGCAAATAAAACTATAGGAAGCCCAATTTAATTTGAATTTTAGATAAATAACAAATACTTTTTTAGTATAAATATGTCCCAAATACTGCATGAAACATGCTAAAAAACCTGTTTGTTGCTTATCTGAATTTCAGATTTTACAGGACAGCCTGTATTTTATGTGGCAACCCTGTTTGAGGAGGATGTAGGCCAATGCCTGGTGACTGGGCCACCATCACTCCTCAGCCCCCCAGGAGCTCCTCCTCCTGCTCACGGCCCTCCTCACCCCCAAGCAGGCCACCTCACAGCTTCCCCAGTCTCTATTTCCTCACCTGCATGAATTGCTAGATCTAATTGGGGCCCCCAGGCTGTGTCAGGAGTGAGAGAG